>NC_000009.12:44485862-44851272 GCF_000001405.40 Homo sapiens | reverse complement strand
CTTCTCTCTAGGTTTTATATGTAATCCCGTTTCCAACGAAATCCTCAAAGCTATCCAAATATCCACTTTCAGATTCCACAAAAAGAGTGTTTCAAAACTGCTCTGTAAAAAGAAAGGTTCATCTTTTTTTGTTGAATACACACATCATTTTCTTTTTTTTTTTTATGGAGAAACTTTGTTTTTATTTTAATTTTTATTTTTTTTTTGCGTTTTTTTTTTTGTTTTTTATCCTTTTTTTTTTGGATTTTTTGGCAGAAGATTTTTTTTTACCCAGGATATTTAGGTTTTTTTGATCACACCTTTGTTTTCCAGCCTGTTTAACAAGATTAAATTTTTTTTTTTTTAAAAAAAAAAAAAAAAGAAAAAGAAAAAAAAAATTTTTTAAATAGGCTTGTTACAGTGTTTTTTGCCTCCCATGTTCTTCCCAGCACTTTTTGAGGTGGAGGCGGGTTTTTTTTTTTTATTTTGGAGTTAGATTTTTTTTTTTTTTATCTTTTTTTTACCTTTTTTCTTTTTTAATCTGTCTAGTTTTTATGGGAAGATATTTCCTTTTTCAACATAGGCCTCAAAGCGCTCCAAATGTCCACTTCCAGGTAGTGCAGAAAGAGTGTTTCAAACCTGCTCTATAAAAGGGAATATTCAACTCTGTGACTTGAATGCAAACATCACAAAGCACTTTCTGAGAATGCTTCCGTCTAGATTTTATATGAAGATATTCCCGTTTCCAACGAAACCTTCAAAGCTATCCGAATATCCACCTGCAGATTCTACAAAAAGAGTGTTTCCAAAATGCCGTATCAAAACAAAGGTTCAACTCTGTTAGTTGAGAACACACATGGCAAATAAGTTTCTGAGAATGCTTCTGTCTAGTTTTTATTTGAAGATATTTCCTTTCTCACCATAGGCCTGAAAGCGTTTGAAATGTCCGTTTGCAGATACTACAGAAAGAGTGTTTCAAACATGCTCTATGAAAGGGAATGTTCAGTTCTGTGACGTGAATGCAAACATCACAAAGAAGTTCCTGAGAATGCTTCTCTCTAGATTTTATATGTAATCCCGTTTCCAACGAAATCCTCAAAGCTATCCAAATATCCACTTTCAGATTCCACAAAAAGAGTGTTTCAAAACTGCTCTGTAAAAAGAAAGGTTCATCTCTGTTAGTTGAATACACACATCACAAACAAGTTTCTGAGAATGCTTCTGTCTAGTTTTTATGGGAAGATATTTCCTTTTTCAACATAGGCCTCAAAGCGCTCCAAACGTCCACTTCCAGGTTGTGCAGAAAGAGTGTCTCAAACCTGGTATATAACAGGGAACATTCTACTCTGTGACTTGAATGAAAACATCACAAAGCAGTTTCTGAGAATGCTTCCGTCTAGATTTTATATGAAGATATTCCCGTTTCCAACGAAACCTTCAAAGCTATCCGAATATCCACCTGCAGATTCTACAAAAAGAGTGTTTCCAAAATGCCGTATCAAAACAAAGGTTCAACTCTGTTAGTTGAGAACACACATGGCAAATAAGTTTCTGAGAATGCTTCTGTCTAGTTTTTACTTAAAGATATTTCCTTTCTCACCATAGGCCTGAAAGCGCTTGAAACGTCAGCTTGCAGATACTACAGAAAGAGTGTTTCAAACCTGCTCTATGAAAGGGAATGTTCAGTCCTGTGACTTGAAGGCAAACATCACAAAGAAGTTCCTGAGAATGCTTCTCTCTAGGTTTTATATGTAATCCCGTTTCCAACGAAATCCTCAAAGCTATCCAAATATCCACTTTCAGATTCCACAAAAAGAGTGTTTCAAAACTGCTCTGTAAAAAGAAAGGTTCATCTCTGTTAGTTGAATACACACATCACAAACAAGTTTCTGAGAATGCTTCTGTCTGGTTTTTAGGAGAAGATATTTCCTTTTTCAACATAGGCCTCAAAGCGCTGCAAATGTCCACTTCCAAATATTACAAAAAGAGTGTTTCAAACCTGCTGTATGAAGGGAAGTGTTCAACTCTATGAGTTGAATGCAAACATCACAGAGAAGTTTCTGAGAATGCTTCTGTCTTGATTTCATATGAAGATATTCCCGTTTCCAACGAAACCTTCAAAGCTATCCAAATATCCACTTGCAGATTCTACAAAAAGAGTGTTTCCAAAATGTTGTATCAAAAGAAAGGTTCAACTCTGTTAGTTGAGGACACACATCGCAAATAAGTTTCTGAGAATGCTTCTGTCTAGTTTTTATTTGAAGATATTTCCTTTCTCACCACAGGCCTGAAAGCGCTTAAAACGTCCGCTTGCAGATACTACAGAAAGAGTGTTTCAAACCTGCTCTATGAAAGGGAATGTTCAGTTCTGTGACTTGAATGCAAACATCACAAAGAAGTTCCTGAGAATGCTTCTCCCTAGATTTTATATGTAATCCCGTTTCCAACGAAATCCGCAAAGCTATCCAAATATCCACTTTCAGATTCCACAAAAAGAGTGTTTCAAAACTGCTCTGTAAAAAGAAAGGTTCATCTCTGTTAGTTGAATACACACATCACAAACAAGTTTCTGAGAATGCTTCTGTCTGGTTTTTAGGAGAAGATATTTCCTTTTTCAACATAGGCCTCAAAGCGCTGCAAATGTCCACTTCCAAATATTAGAAAAAGAGTGTTTCAAACCTGCTGTATGAAGGGAAGTGTTCAACTCTATGAGTTGAATGCAAACATCACAGAGAAGTTTCTGAGAATGCTTCTGTCTTGATTTCATATGAAGATATTCCCGTTTCCAACGAAACCTTCAAAGCTATCCAAATATCCACTTGCAGATTCTACAAAAAGAGTGTTTCCAAAATGTTGTATCAAAAGAAAGGTTCAACTCTGTTAGTTGAGGACACACATCGCAAATAAGTTTCTGAGAATGCTTCTGTCTAGTTTTTATTTGAAGATATTTCCTTTCTCACCACAGGCCTGAAAGCGCTTAAAACGTCCGCTTGCAGATACTACAGAAAGAGTGTTTCAAACCTGCTCTATGAAAGGGAATGTTCAGTTCTGTGACTTGAATGCAAACATCACAAAGAAGTTCCTGAGAATGCTTCTCCGTAGATTTTATATGTAATCCCGTTTCCAACGAAATCCGCAAAGCTATCCAAATATCCACTTTCAGATTCCACAAAAAGAGTGTTTCAAAACTGCTCTGTAAAAAGAAAGGTTCATCTCTGTTAGTTGAATACACACATCACAAACAAGTTTCTGAGAATGCTTCTGTCTAGTTTTTATGGGAAGATATTACCTTTTTCATCATAGGCCTCAAAGCGCTGCAAATGTCCACTTCCAAATATTACAAAAAGAGTGTTTCAACCCTGCTGTATGAAGGGAAGTGTTCAACTCTATGAGTTGAATGCAAACATCACAGAGAAGTTTCTGAGAATGCTTCTGTCTTGATTTTATATGAAGATATTCCCGTTTCCAACGAAACCTTCAAAGCTATTCAAATATCCACTTGCTGATTCTACAAAAAGAGTGTTTCCAAAATGTTGTATCAAAAGAAAGGTTCAACTCTGTTAGTTGAGGACACACATCGCAAATAAGTTTCTGAGAATGCTTCTGTCTAGTTTTTACTTGAAGATATTTCCTTTCTCACCATAGGCCTGAAAGCGCTTGAAACGTCAGCTTGCAGATACTACAGAAAGAGTGTTTCAAACCTGCTCTATGAAAGGGAATGTTCAGTTCTGTGACTTGAATGCAAACATCACAAAGAAGTTCCTGAGAATGCTTCTCTCTAGGTTTTATATGTAATCCCGTTTCCAACGAAATCCTCAAAGCTATCCAAATATCCACTTTCAGATTCCACAAAAAGAGTGTTTCAAAACTGCTCTGTAAAAAGAAAGGTTCATCTCTGTTAGTTGAATACACACATCACAAACAAGTTTCTGAGAATGCTTCTGTCTAGTTTTTATGGGAAGATATTTCCTTTTTCAACATAGGCCTCAAAGCGCTCCAAACGTCCACTTCCAGGTAGTGCAGAAAGAGTGTCTCAAACCTGGTATATAACAGGGAACATTCTACTCTGTGACTTGAATGCAAACATCACAAAGCAGTTTCTGAGAATGCTTCCGTCTAGATTTTATATGAAGATATTCCCGTTTCCAACGAAACCTTCAAAGCTATCCGAATATCCACCTGCAGATTCTACAAAAAGAGTGTTTCCAAAATGCCGTATCAAAACAAAGGTTCAACTCTGTTAGTTGAGAACACATATGGGAAATAAGTTTCTGAGAATGCTTCTGTCTAGTTTTTATTTGAAGATATTTCCTTTCTCACCACAGGCCTGAAAGCGCTTAAAACGTCCGCTTGCAGATACTACAGAAAGAGTGTTTCAAACCTGCTCTATGAAAGGGAATGTTCAGTTCTGTGACGTGAATGCAAACATCACAAAGAAGTTCCTGAGAATGCTTCTCTCTAGATTTTATATGTAATCCCGTTTCCAACGAAATCCTCAAAGCTATCCAAATATCCACTTTCAGATTCCACAAAAAGAGTGTTTCAAAACTGCTCTGTAAAAAGAAAGGTTCATCTCTGTTAGTTGAATACACACATCACAAACAAGTTTCTGAGAATGCTTCTGTCTAGTTTTTATGGGAAGATATTTCCTTTTTCATCATAGGCCTCAAAGCGCTGCAAATGTCCACTTCCAGGTAGTGCAGAAAGAGTGTCTCAAACCTGGTATATAACAGGGAACATTCTACTCCTGTGACTTGAATGAAAACATCACAAAGCAGTTTCTGAGAATGCTTCCGTCTAGATTTTATATGAAGATATTCCCGTTTCCAACGAAACCTTCAAAGCTATCCGAATATCCACCTGCAGATTCTACAAAAAGAGTGTTTCCAAAATGCCGTATCAAAACAAAGGTTCAACTCTGTTAGTTGAGAACACACATGGCAAATAAGTTTCTGAGAATGCTTCTGTCTAGTTTTTACTTGAAGATATTTCCTTTCTCACCATAGGGCTGAAAGCGCATGTAACGTCCGCTTGCAGATACTACAGAAGGAGTGTTTCAAACATGCTCTATGAAAGGGAATGTTCAGTTCTGTGACTTGAATGCAAACATCACAAAGAAGTTCCTGAGAATGCTTCTCTCTAGATTTTATATGTAATCCCGTTTCCAACGAAATCCTCAAAGCTATCCAAATATCCACTTTCAGATTCCACAAAAAGAGTGTTTCAAAACTGCTCTGTAAAAAGAAAGGTTCATCTCTGTTAGTTGAATACACACATCACAAACAAGTTTCTGAGAATGCTTCTGTCTAGTTTTTATGGGAAGCATATTTCCTTTTTCAACATAGGCCTCAAAGCGCTCCAAACGTCCACTTCCAGGTAGTGCAGAAAGAGTGTCTCAAACCTGGTGTATAACAGGGAACATTCTACTCTGTGACTTGAATGAAAACATCACAAAGCAGTTTCTGAGAATGCTTCTGTCTTGATTTTATATGAAGACATTCCCGTTAACAACGAAACCTTCAAAGCTATCCAAATATCCACTTGCAGATTCTACAAAAAGAGTGTTTCCAAAATGTTGTATCCAAACAAAGGTTCAACTCTGTTAGTTGAGAACACACATCGCAAATAAGTTTCTGAGAATGCTTCTGTCTAGTTTTTACTTGAAGATATTTCCTTTCTCACCATAGGCCTGAAAGCGCTTGAAACGTCAGCTTGCAGATACTACAGAAAGAGTGTTTCAAACCTGCTCTATGAAAGGGAATGTTCAGTCCTGTGACTTGAAGGCCAACATCAAAAAGAAGTTCCTGAGAATGCTTCTCCCTAGATTTTATATGTAATCCCGTTTCCAACGAAATCCTCAAAGCTATCCAAATATCCACTTTCAGATTCCACAAAAAGAGTGTTTCAAAACTGCTCTGTAAAAAGAAAGGTTCATCTCTGTTAGTTGAATACACACATCACAAACAAGTTTCTGAGAATGCTTCTGTCTAGTTTTTATGGGAAGATATTTCCTTTTTCAACATACGCCTCAAAGCGCTCCAAATGTCCACTTCCAGGTAGTGCACAGAGTGTTTCAAACCTGCTCTATGAAAGGAAGTGTTCAACTCTATGAGTTGAATGCAAGCATCCCAGAGAAGTTTCTGAGAATGCTTCTGTCTTGATTTCATATGAAGATATTCCCGTTTCCAACGAAACCTTCAAAGCTATCCAAATATCCACTTGCAGATTCTACAAAAAGAGTGTTTCCAAAATGTTGTATCAAAAGAAAGGTTCAACTCTGTTAGTTGAGGACACACATCGCAAATAAGTTTCTGAGAATGCTTCTGTCTAGTTTTTACTTGAAGATATTTCCTTTCTCACCATAGGCCTGAAAGCGCTTGAAACGTCAGCTTGCAGATACTACAGAAAGAGTGTTTCAAACCTGCTCTATGAAAGGGAATGTTCAGTCCTGTGACTTGAAGGCAAACATCACAAAGAAGTTCCTGAGAATGCTTTTCCCTAGATTTTATATGTAATCCCGTTTCCAACGAAATCCTCAAAGCTATCCAAATATCCACTTTCAGATTCCACAAAAAGAGTGTTTCAAAACTGCTCTGTAAAAAGAAAGGTTCATCTCTGTTAGTTGAATACACACATCACAAACAAGTTTCTGAGAATGCTTCTGTCTAGTTTTTATGGGAAGATATTTCCTTTTTCAACATAGGCCTCAAAGCGCTCCAAACGTCCACTTCCAGGTAGTGCAGAAAGAGTGTCTCAAACCTGGTATATAACAGGGAACATTCTACTCTGTGACTTGAATGAAAACATCACAAAGCAGTTTCTGAGAATGCTTCCGTCTAGATTTTATATGAAGATATTCCCGTTTCCAACGAAACCTTCAAAGCTATCCGAATATCCACCTGCAGATTCTACAAAAAGAGTGTTTCCAAAATGCCATATCAAAACAAAGGTTCAACTCTGTTAGTTGAGAACACACATCGCAAATAAGTTTCTGAGAATGCTTCTGTCTAGTTTTTATTTGAAGATATTTCCTTTCTCACCACAGGCCTGAAAGCGCTTAAAACGTCCGCTTGCAGATACTACAGAAAGAGTGTTTCAAACCTTCTCTATGAAAGGGAATGTTCAGTTCTGTGACTTGAATGCAAACATCACAAAGAAGTTCCTGAGAATGCTTCTCCCTAGATTTTATATGTAATCCCGTTTCCAACGAAATCCGCAAAGCTATCCAAATATCCACTTTCAGATTCCACAAAAAGAGTGTTTCAAAACTGCTCTGTAAAAAGAATGGTTCATCTCTGTTAGTTGAATACACACATCACAAACAAGTTTCTGAGAATGCTTCTGTCTAGTTTTTATGGGAAGATATTACCTTTTTCATCATAGGCCTCAAAGCGCTGCAAATGTCCACTTCCAAATATTACAAAAAGAGTGTTTCAAACCTGCTGTATGAAGGGAAGTGTTCAACTCTATGAGTTGAATGCAAGCATCACAGAGAAGTTTCTGAGAATGCTTCTGTCTTGATTTTATATGAAGATATTCCCGTTTCCAACGAAATCTTCAAAGCTATCCAAATATCCACTTGCAGATTCCACAAAAAGAGTGTTTCCAAAATGTTGTATCAAAAGAAAGGTTCAACTCTGTTAGTTGAGGACACACATCGCAAATAAGTTTCTGAGAATGCTTCTGTCTAGTTTTTACTTGAAGCATATTTCCTTTCTCACCATAGGCCTGAAAGCGCTTGAAACGTCAGCTTGCAGATACTACAGAAAGAGTGTTTCAAACCTGCTCTATGAAAGGGAATGTTCAGTCCTGTGACTTGAAGGCAAACATCACAAAGAAGTTCCTGAGAATGCTTCTCTCTAGGTTTTATATGTAATCCCGTTTCCAACGAAATCCTCAAAGCTATCCAAATATCCACTTTCAGATTCCACAAAAAGAGTGTTTCAAAACTGCTCTGTAAAAAGAAAGGTTCATCTCTGTTAGTTGAATACACACATCACAAACAAGTTTCTGAGAATGCTTCTGTCTGGTTTTTAGGAGAAGATATTTCCTTTTTCAACATAGGCCTCAAAGCGCTGCAAATGTCCACTTCCAAATATTACAAAAAGAGTGTTTCAAACCTGCTCTATGAAGGGAAGTGTTCAACTCTATGAGTTGAATGCAAACATCACAGAGAAGTTTCTGAGAATCCTTCTGTCTTGATTTTATATGAAGATATTCCCGTTTCCAACGAAACCTTCAAAGCTATCCAAATATCCACTTGCAGATTCTACAAAAAGAGTGTTTCCAAAATGTTGTATCAAAACAAAGGTTCAACTCTGTTAGTTGAGGACACACATCGCAAATAAGTTTCTGAGAATGCTTCTGTCTAGTTTTTATTTGAAGATATTTCCTTTCTTACCATAGGCCTCAAAGCGCTTGAAATGTCCGTTTGCAGATACTACAGAAAGAGTGTTTCAAACATGCTCTATGAAAGGGAATGTTCAGTTCTGTGACGTGAATGCAAACATCACAAAGAAGTTCCTGAGAATGCTTCTCTCTAGATTTTATATGTAATCCCGTTTCCAACGAAATCCTCAAAGCTATCCAAATATCCACTTTCAGATTCCACAAAAAGAGTGTTTCAAAACTGTTCTGTAAAAAGAAAGGTTCATCTTTGTTAGTTGAATACACACATCACAAAGAAGTTTCTGAGAATGCTTCTGTCTAGTTTTTATGGGAAGATATTTCCTTTTTCATCATAGGCCTCAAAGCGCTCCAAATGTCCACTTCCAGATAGTGCAGAAAGAGTGTCTCAAACCTGGTATATAAAAGGGAACATTCTACTCTGTGACTTGAATGAAAACATCACAAAGCAGTTTCTGAGAATGCTTCCGTCTAGATTTTATATGAAGATATTCCCGTTTCCAACGAAACCTTCAAAGCTATCCGAATATCCACCTGCAGATTCTACAAAAAGAGTGTTTCCAAAATGCCATATCGAAACAAAGGTTCAACTCTGTTAGTTGAGAACACACATCTCAAATAAGTTTCTGAGAATGCTTCTGTCTAGTTTTTATTTGAAGATATTTCTTTTCTCACCACAGGCCTGAAAGCGCTTAAAACGTCCGCTTGCAGATACTACAGAAAGAGTGTTTCAAACCTGCTCTATGAAAGGGAATGTTCAGTTCTGTGACTTGAATGCAAACATCACAAAGAAGTTCGTGATAATGCTTCTCCCTAGATTTTATATGTAATCCCGTTTCCAACGAAATCCGCAAAGCTATCCAAATATCCACTTTCAGATTCCACAAAAAGAGTGTTTCAAAACTGCTCTGTAAAAAGAAAGGTTCATCTCTGTTAGTTGAATACACACATCACAAACAAGTTTCTGAGAATGCTTCTGTCTAGTTTTTATGGGAAGATATTACCTTTTTCATCATAGGCCTCAAAGCGCTGCAAATGTCCACTTCCAAATATTACAAAAAGAGTGTTTCAAACCTGCTGTATGAAGGGAAGTGTTCAACTCTATGAGTTGAATGCAAACATCACAGAGAAGTTTCTGAGAATGCTTCCGTCTTGATTTTATATGAAGATATTCCCGTTTCCAACGAAACCTTCAAAGCTATTCAAATATCCACTTGCAGATTCTACAAAAAGAGTGTTTCCAAAATGTTGTATCAAAAGAAAGGTTCAACTCTGTTAGTTGAGGACACACATCGCAAATAAGTTTCTGAGAATGCTTCTGTCTAGTTTTTACTTGAAGATATTTCCTTTCTCACCATAGGCCTGAAAGCGCTTGAAACGTCAGCTTGCAGATACTACAGAAAGAGTGTTTCAAACCTGCTCTATGAAAGGGAATGTTCAGTTCTGTGACTTGAATGCAAACATCACAAAGCAGTTCCTGAGAATGCTTCTCTCTAGATTTTATATGTAATCCCGTTTCCAACGAAATCCTCAAAGCTATCCAAATATCCACTTTCAGATTCCACAAAAAGAGTGTTTCAAAACTGCTCTGTAAAAAGAAAGGTTCATCTCTGTTAGTTGAATACACACATCACAAACAAGTTTCTGAGAATGCTTCTGTCTAGTTTTTATGGGAAGATATTTCCTTTTTCATCATAGGCCTCAAAGCGCTCCAAATGTCCACTTCCAGATAGTGCAGAAAGAGTGTCTCAAACCTGGTATATAAAAGGGAACATTCTACTCTGTGACTTCAATGAAAACATCACAAAGCAGTTTCTGAGAATGCTTCTCTCTTGATTTCATATGAAGATATTCCCGTTTCCAACGAAACCTTCAAAGCTATCCAAATATCCACTTGCAGATTCTACAAAAAGAGTGTTTCCAAAATGTTGTATCAAAAGAAAGGTTCAACTCTGTTAGTTGAGGACACACATCGCAAATAAGTTTCTGAGAATGCTTCTGTCTAGTTTTTATTTGAAGATATTTCCTTTCTCACCACAGGCCTGAAAGCGCTTAAAACGTCCGCTTGCAGATACTACAGAAAGAGTGTTTCAAACCTGCTCTATGAAAGGGAATGTTCAGTTCTGTGACTTGAATGCAAACATCACAAAGAAGTTCCTGAGAATGCTTCTCCCTAGATTTTATATGTAATCCCGTTTCCAACGAAATCCGCAAAGCTATCCAAATATCCACTTTCAGATTCCACAAAAAGAGTGTTTCAAAACTGCTCTGTAAAAAGAAAGGTTCATCTCTGTTAGTTGAATACACACATCACAAACAAGTTTCTGAGAATGCTTCTGTCTAGTTTTTATGGGAAGATATTTCCTTTTTCAACATAGGCCTCAAAGCGCTCCAAATGTCCACTTCCAGGTAGTGCACAGAGTGTTTCAAACATGCTCTATGAAAGGAAGTGTTCAACTCTATGAGTTGAATGCAAACATCACAGAGAAGTTTCTGAGAATGCTTCCGTCTAGATTTTATATGAAGATATTCCCGTTTCCAACGAAACCTTCAAAGCTATCCGAATATCCACCTGCAGATTCTACAAAAAGAGTGTTTCCAAAATGCCGTATCAAAACAAAGGTTCAACTCTGTTAGTTGAGAACACACATGGCAAATAAGTTTCTGAGAATGCTTCTGTCTAGTTTTTCCTTGAAGATATTTCCTTTCTCACCATAGGCCTGAAAGCGCTTGAAACGTCAGCTTGCAGATACTACAGAAAGAGTGTTTCAAACCTGCTCTATGAAAGGGAATGTTCAGTTCTGTGACTTGAATGCAAACATCACAAAGAAGTTCCTGAGAATGCTTCTCTCTAGGTTTTATATGTAATCCCGTTTCCAACGAAATCCTCAAAGCTATCCAAATATCCACTTTCAGATTCCACAAAAAGAGTGTTTCAAAACTGCTCTGTAAAAAGAAAGGTTCATCTCTGTTAGTTGAATACACACATCACAAACAAGTTTCTGAGAATGCTTCTGTCTAGTTTTTATGGGAAGATATTTCCTTTTTCAACATAGGCCTCAAAGCGCTCCAAACGTCCACTTCCAGGTAGTGCAGAAAGAGTGTCTCAAACCTGGTATATAACAGGGAACATTCTACCCTGTGACTTGAATGAAAACATCACAAAGCAGTTTCTGAGAATGCTTCTGTCTTGATTTCATATGAAGATATTCCCGTTTCCAACGAAACCTTCAAAGTTATCCAAATATCCACTTGCAGATTCTACAAAAAGAGTGTTTCCAAAATGTTGTATCAAAAGAAAGGTTCAACTCTGTTAGTTGAGGACACACATCGCAAATAAGTTTCTGAGAATGCTTCTGTCTAGTTTTTATTTGAAGATATTTCCTTCCTCACCACAGGCCTGAAAGCGCTTAAAACGTCCGCTTGCAGATACTGCAGAAAGAGTGTTTCAAACCTGCTCTATGAAAGGGAATGTTCAGTTCTGTGACTTGAATGCAAACATCACAAAGAAGTTCTTGAGAATGCTTCTGTCTAGATTTTATATGAAGATATCCCGTTTCCAAAGAAATCCTCAAAGGTATCCAAATATCTACTTCCAGATTCTACAAAAAGACTGTTTCAAAACTGCTCTGTAAAAAGAAAGGTTCATCTCTGTTAGTTGAATACACACATCACAAACAAGTTTCTGAGAATGCTTCTGTCTAGTTTTTATGGGAAGATATTTCCTTTTTCATCATAGGCCTCAAAGCGCTCCAAATGTCCACTTCCAGATAGTGCAGAAAGAGTGTCTCAAACCTGGTATATAAAAGGGAACATTCTACTCTGTGACTTCAATGAAAACATCACAAAGCAGTTTCTGTGAATGCTTCCGTCTAGATTTTATATGAAGATATTCCCGTTTCCAACGAAACCTTCAAAGCTATCCGAATATCCACCTGCAGATTCTACAAAAAGAGTGTTTCCAAAATGCCATATCGAAACAAAGGTTCAACTCTGTTAGTTGAGAACACACATCTCAAATAAGTTTCTGAGAATGCTTCTGTCTAGTTTTTACTTGAAGATATTTCCTTTCTCACCATAGTCCTGAAAGCGCTTGAAACGTCAGCTTGCAGATACTACAGAAAGAGTGTTTCAAACCTGCTCTATGAAAGGGAATGTTCAGTCCTGTGACTTGAAGGCAAACATCACAAAGGAGTTCCTGAGAATGCTTCTCTCTAGGTTTTATATGTAATCCCGTTTCCAACGAAATCCTCAAAGCTATCCAAATATCCACTTTCAGATTCCACAAAAAGAGTGTTTCAAAACTGCTCTGTAAAAAGAAAGGTTCATCTCTGTTAGTTGAATACACACATCACAAACAAGTTTCTGACAATGCTTCTGTCTAGTTTTTATGGGAAGATATTTCCTTTTTCATCATAGGCCTCAAAGCGCTGCAAATGTCCACTTCCAGGTAGTGCAGAAAGAGTGTCTCAAACCTGGTATATAACAGGGAACATTCTACTCTGTGACTTGAATGAAAACATCACAAAGCAGTTTCTGAGAATGCTTCCGTCTAGATTTTATATGAAGATATTCCCGTTTCCAACGAAACCTTCAAAGCTATCCGAATATCCACCTGCAGATTCTACAAAAAGAGTGTTTCCAAAATGCCATATCAAAACAAAGGTTCAACTCTGTTAGTTGAGAACACACATCGCAAATAAGTTTCTGAGAATGCTTCTGTCTAGTTTTTACTTGAAGATATTTCCTTTCTCACCATAGGCCTGAAAGCGCTTGAAACGTCAGCTTGCAGATACTACAGAAAGAGTGTTTCAAACCTGCTCTATGAAAGGGAATGTTCAGTTCTGTGACTTGAATGCAAACATCACAAAGAAGTTCCTGAGAATGCTTCTCTCTAGATTTTATATGTAATCCCGTTTCCAACGAAATCCTCAAAGCTATCCAAATATCCACTTTCAGATTCCACAAAAAGAGTGTTTCAAAACTGCTCTGTAAAAAGAAAGGTTCATCTCTGTTAGTTGAATACACACATCACAAACAAGTTTCTGAGAATGCTTCTGTCTAGTTTTTATGGGAAGATATTTCCTTTTTCAACATAGGCCTCAAAGCGCTCCAAATGTCCACTTCCAGGTAGTGCAGAAAGAGTGTTTCAAACCTGCTCTATAAAAGGGAATATTCAACTCTGTGACTTGAATGCAAACATCACAAAGCACTTTCTGAGAATGCTTCCGGCTAGATTTTATATGAAGATATTCCCGTTTCCAAGGAAATCTTCCTAGCTATCTAAATATCAACTTGCAGATTCTACTAAAGGAATGTTTCCAAAATGCTGTATCCACACAAAGGTTCAACTCTGTTAATTGAGGACATACAGCACAAAGAAGTTTCTGAGAATGCTTCTGTCTAGTTTTTACTTGAAGATATTTCCTTTCTCACCATAGGCCTGAAAGCGCTTGAAACGTCCGCTTGCAGATACTACAGAAAGAGTGTTTCAAACATGCTCTATGAAAGGGAATGTTCAGTTCTGTGACTTGAATGCAAACATCACAAAGAAGTTCCTGAGAATGCTTCTCTCTAGATTTTATATGTAATCCCGTTTCCAACGAAATCCTCAAAGCTATCCAAATATCCACTTTCAGATTCCACAAAAAGAGTGTTTCAAAACTGCTCTGTAAAAACAAATGTTCATCTCTGTTAGTTGAATACACACATCACAAACAAGTTTCTGAGAATGCTTCTGTCTAGTTTTTATGGGAAGATATTTCCTTTTTCAACATAGGCCTCAAAGCGCTCCAAATGTCCACTTCCAGGTAGTGCAGAAAGAGTGTTTCAAACCTGCTCTATAAAAGGGAATATTCAACTCTGTGACTTGAATGCAAACATCACAAAGCACTTTCTGAGAATGCTTCCGTCTAGATTTTATATGAAGATATTCCCGTTTCCAACGAAACCTTCAAAGCTATCCGAATATCCACCTGCAGATTCTACAAAAAGAGTGTTTCCAAAATGCCATATCAAAACAAAGGTTCAACTCTGTTAGTTGAAAACACACATGGCAAATAAGTTTCTGAGAATGCTTCTGTCTAGTTTTTACTTGAAGATATTTCCTTTGTCACCATAGGCCTGAAAGCGCTTGAAACGTCAGCTTGCAGATACTACAGAAAGAGTGTTTCAAACCTGCTCTATGAAAGGGAATGTTCAGTCCTGTGACTTGAAGGCAAACATCACAAAGAAGTTCCTGAGAATGCTTCTCTCTAGGTTTTATATGTAATCCCGTTTCCAACGAAATCCTCAAAGCTATCCAAATATCCACTTTCAGATTCCACAAAAAGAGTGTTTCAAAACTGCTCTGTAAAAAGAAAGGTTCATCTCTGTTAGTTGAATACACACATCACAAACAAGTTTCTGAGAATGCTTCTGTCTAGTTTTTATGGGAAGATATTTCCTTCTTCATCATAGGCCTCAAAGCGCTCCAAATGTCCACTTCCAGGTAGTGCAGAAAGAGTGTCTCAAACCTGGTATATAACGGGGAACATTCTACTCTGTGACTTGAATGAAAACATCACAAAGCAGTTTCTGAGAATGCTTCCGTCTAGATTTTATATGAAGATATTCCCGTTTCCAACGAAACGTTCAAAGCTATCCGAATATCCACCTGCAGATTCTACAAAAAGAGTGTTTCCAAAATGCCATATCAAAACAAAGGTTCAACTCTGTTAGTTGAGAACACACATCGCAAATAAGTTTCTGAGAATGCTTCTGTCTAGTTTTTACTTGAAGATATTTCCTTTCTCACCATAGGCCTGAAAGCGCTTGAAACGTCCGCTTGCAGATACTACAGAAAGAGTGTTTCAAACATGCTCTATGAAAGGGAATGTTCAGTTCTGTGACTTGAATGCAAACATCACAAAGAAGTTCCTGAGAATGCTTCTCTCTAGATTTTATATGTAATCCCGTTTCCAACGAAATCCTCAAAGCTATCCAAATATCCACTTTGAGATTCCACAAAAAGAGTGTTTCAAAACTGCTCTGTAAAAAGAAAGGTTCATCTCTGTTAGTTGAATACACACATCACAAACAAGTTTCTGAGAATGCTTCTGTCTAGTTTTTATGGGAAGATATTTCCTTTTTCAACATAGGCCTCAAAGCGCTCCAAATGTCCACTTCCAGGTAGTGCAGAAAGAGTGTTTCAAACCTGCTCTATAAAAGGGAATATTCAACTCTGTGACTTGAATGCAAACATCACAAAGCACTTTCTGAGAATGCTTCTGTCTTGATTTTATATGAAGATATTCCCGTTTCCAACGAAACCTTCAAAGCTATTCAAATATCCACTTGCTGATTCTACAAAAAGAGTGTTTCCAAAATGTTGTATCAAAAGAAAGGTTCAACTCTGTTAGTTGAGGACACAGATCGCAAATAAGTTTCTGAGAATGCTTCTGTCTAGTTTTTACTTGAAGATATTTCCTTTCTCACCATAGGCCTGAAAGCGCTTGAAACGTCAGCTTGCAGATACTACAGAAAGAGTGTTTCAAACCTGCTCTATGAAAGGGAATGTTCAGTTCTGTGACTTGAATGCAAACATCACAAAGCAGTTCCTGAGAATGCTTCTCTCTAGGTTTTATATGTAATCCCGTTTCCAACGAAATCCTCAAAGCTATCCAAATATCCACTTTCAGATTCCACAAAAAGACTGTTTCAAAACTGCTCTGTAAAAAGAAAGGTTCATCTCTGTTAGTTGAATACACACATCAAAAACAAGTTTCTAAGAATGCTTCTGTCTAGTTTTTATGGGAAGATATTTCCTTTTTCAACATAGGCCTCAAAGCGCTCCAAACGTCCACTTCCAGGTAGTGCAGAAAGAGTGTCTCAAACCTGGTATATTACAGGGAACATTCTACTCTGTGACTTGAATGAAAACATCACAAAGCAGTTTATGAGAATGCTTCCGTCTAGATTTTATATGAAGATATTCCCGTTTCCAACGAAACCTTCAAAGCTATGCGAATATCCACCTGCAGATTCTACAAAAAGAGTGTTTCCAAAATGCCGTATCAAAACAAAGGTTCAACTCTGTTAGTTGAGAACACACATGGCAAATAAGTTTCTGAGAATGCTTCTGTCTGGTTTTTAGGAGAAGATATTTCCTTTTTCAACATAGGCCTCAAAGCGCTGCAAATGTCCACTTCCAAATATTACAAAAAGAGTGTTTCAAACCTGCTCTATGAAGGGAAGTGTTCACCTCTATGAGTTGAATGCAAACATCACAGAGAAGTTTCTGAGAATGCTTCTCTCTAGATTTTATATGTAATCCCGTTTCCAACGAAATCCTCAAAGCTATCCAAATATCCACTTTCAGATTCCACAAAAAGAGTGTTTCAAAACTGCTCTGTAAAAAGAAAGGTTCATCTCTGTTAGTTGAATACACACATCACAAACAAGTTTCTGAGAATGCTTCTGTCTAGTTTTTATGGGAAGATATTTCCTTTTTCAACATAGGCCTCAAAGCGCTCCAAATGTCCACTTCCAGGTAGTGCAGAAAGAGTGTTTCAAACCTGCTCTATAAAAGGGAATATTCAACTCTGTGACTTGAATGCAAACATCACAAAGCACTTTCTGAGAATGCTTCTGTCTTGATTTTATATGAAGATATTCCCGTTTCCAACGAAACCTTCAAAGCTATTCAAATATCCACTTGCAGATTCTACAAAAAGAGTGGTTCCAAAATGTTGTATCAAAAGAAAGGTTCAACTCTGATAGTTGAGGACACACATCGCAAATAAGTTTCTGAGAATGCTTCTGTCTAGTTTTTATTTGAAGATATTTCCTTTCTCACCATAGGCCTGAAAGCGTTTGAAATGTCCGTTTGCAGATACTACAGAAAGAGTGTTTCAAACATGCTCTATGAAAGGGAATGTTCAGTTCTGTGACGTGAATGCAAACATCACAAAGAAGTTCCTGAGAATGCTTCTCTCTAGATTTTATATGTAATCCCGTTTCCAACGAAATCCTCAAATCTATCCAAATATCCACTTTCAGATTCCACAAAAAGAGTGTTTCAAAACTGCTCTGTAAAAAGAAAGGTTCATCTCTGTTAGTTGAATACACACATCAAAAACAAGTTTCTGAGAATGCTTCTGTCTAGTTTTTATGGGAAGATATTTCCTTTTTCATCATAGGCCTCAAAGCGCTGCAAATGTCCACTTCCAGGTAGTGCAGAAAGAGTGTCTCAAACCTCGTATATAACAGGGAACATTCTACTCTGTGACTTGAATGAAAACATCACAAAGCAGTTTCTGAGAATGCTTCCGTCTAGATTTTATATGAAGATATTCCCGTTTCCAACGAAACCTTCAAAGCTATCCGAATATCCACCTGCAGATTCTACAAAAAGAGTGTTTCCAAAATGCCATATCAAAACAAAGGTTCAACTCTGTTAGTTGAGAACACACATCGCAAAGAAGTTTCTGAGAATGCTTCTGTCTAGTTTTTACTTGAAGATATTTCCTTTCTCACCATAGGCCTGAAAGCGCTTGAAACGTCAGCTTGCAGATACTACAGAAAGAGTGTTTCAAACCTGCTCTATGAAAGGGAATGTTGAGTTCTGTGACTTGAATGCAAACATCACAAAGAAGTTCCTGAGAATGCTTCTCCCTAGATTTTATATGTAATCCCGTTTCCAACGAAATCCTCAAAGCTATCCAAATATCCACTTTCAGATTCCACAAAAAGAGTGTTTCAAAACTGCTCTGTAAAAAGAAAGGTTCATCTCTGTTAGTTGAATACACACATCACAAACAAGTTTCTGAGAATGCTTCTGTCTAGTTTTTATGGGAAGATATTTCCTTTTTCAACATAGGCCTCAAAGCGCTCCAAACGTCCACTTCCAGGTAGTGCACAGAGTGTTTCAAACCTGCTCTATGAAAGGTAGTGTTCAACTCTATGAGTTGAATGCAAACATCACAGAGAAGTTTCTGAGAATGCTTCCGTCTAGATTTTATATGAAGATATTCCCGTTTCCAACGAAACCTTCAAAGCTATCCGAATATCCACCTGCAGATTCTACAAAAAGAGTGTTTCCAAAATGCCATATCAAAACAAAGGTTCAACTCTGTTAGTTGAGAACACACATCGCAAATAAGTTTCTGAGAATGCTTCTGTCTAGTTTTTACTTGAAGATATTACCTTTCTCACCATAGGCCTGAAAGCGCTTGAAACGTCAGCTTGCAGATACTACAGAAAGAGTGTTTCAAACCTGCTCTATGAAAGGGAATGTTCAGTTCTGTGACTTGAATGCAAACATCACAAAGAAGTTCCTGAGAATGCTTCTCTCTAGGTTTTATATGTAATCCCGTTTCCAACGAAATCCTCAAAGCTATCCAAATATCCACTTTCAGATTCCACAAAAAGAGTGTTTCAAAACTGCTCTGTAAAAAGAAAGGTTCATCTCTGTTAGTTGAATACACACATCACAAACAAGTTTCTGAGAATGCTTCTGTCTAGTTTTTATGGGAAGATATTTCCTTTTTCAACATAGGCCTCAAAGCGCTCCAAATGTCCACTTCCAGGTAGTGCAGAAAGAGTGTTTCAAACCTGCTCTATTAAAGGGAATATTCAACTCTGTGACTTGAATGCAAACATCACAAAGCACTTTCTGAGAATGCTTCCGTCTAGATTTTATATGAAGATATTCCCGTTTCCAAGGAAATCTTCCTAGCTATCTAAATATCAACTTGCAGATTCTACTAAAGGAATGTTTCCAAAATGCTGTATCCACACAAAGGTTGAACTCTGTTAACTGAGGACATACAGCACAAAGAAGTTTCTGAGAATGCTTCTGTCTAGTTTTTATTTGAAGATATTTCCTTTGTTACCATAGGCCTGAAAGCGCTTGAAATGTCCGTTTGCAGATACTACAGAAAGAGTGTTTCAAACATGCACTATGAAAGGGAATGTTCAGTTCTGTGGCGTGAATGCAAACATCACAAAGAAGTTCCTGAGAATGCTTCTCCCTAGATTTTATATGTAATCCCGTTTCCAACGAAATCCGCAAAGCTATCCAAATATCCACTTTCAGATTCCACAAAAAGAGTGTTTCAAAACTGCTCTGTAAAACAAGGGTTCATCTCTGTTAGTTGAATACACACATCACAAACAAGTTTCTGAGAATGCTTCTGTCTGGTTTTTAGGAGAAGATATTTCCTTTTTCAACATAGGCCTCAAAGCGCTGCAAATGTCCACTTCCAAATATTAGAAAAAGAGTGTTTCAAACCTGCTGTATGAAGGGAAGTGTTCAACTCTATGAGTTGAATGCAAACATCACAGAGAAGTTTCTGAGAATGCTTCTGTCTTGATTTCATATGAAGATATTCCCGTTTCCAACGAAACCTTCAAAGCTATCCAAATATCCACTTGCAGATTCTACAAACAGAGTGTTTCCAAAATGTTGTATCAAAAGAAAGGTTCAACTCTGTTAGTTGAGGACACACATCGCAAATAAGTTTCTGAGAATACTTCTGTCTAGTTTTTATTTGAAGATATTTCCTTTCTCACCACAGGCCTGAAAGCGCTTAAAACGTCCGCTTGCAGATACTACAGAAAGAGTGTTTCAAACCTGCTCTATGAAAGGGAATGTTCAGTTCTGTGACTTGAATGCAAACATCACAAAGAAGTTCCTGAGAATGCTTCTCCCTAGATTTTATATGTAATCCCGTTTCCAACGAAATCCGCAAAGCTATCCAAATATCCACTTTCAGATTCCACAAAAAGAGTGTTTCAAAACTGCTCTGTAAAAAGAAAGGTTCATCTCTGTTAGTTGAATACACACATCACAAACAAGTTTCTGAGAATGCTTCTGTCTAGTTTTTATGGGAAGATATTACCTTTTTCATCATAGGCCTCAAAGCGCTGCAAATGTCCACTTCCAAATATTACAAAAAGAGTGTTTCAAACCTGCTGTATGAAGGGAAGTGTTCAACTCTATGAGTTGAATGCAAACATCACAGAGAAGTTTCTGAGAATGCTTCTGTCTTGATTTTATATGAAGATATTCCCGTTTCCAACGAAACCTTCAAAGCTATTCAAATATCCACTTGCAGATTCTACAAAAAGAGTGTTTCCAAAATGTTGTATCAAAAGAAAGGTTCAACTCTGTTAGTTGAGGACACACATCGCAAATAAGTTTCTGAGAATGCTTCTGTCTAGTTTTTATTTGAAGATATTTCCTTTCTCACCACAGGCCTGAAAGCGCTTAAAACGTCCGCTTGCAGATACTACAGAAAGAGTGTTTCAAACCTGCTCTATGAAAGGGAATGTTCAGTTCTGTGACTTGAATGCAAACATCACAAAGAAGTTCCTGAGAATGCTTCTCCCTAGATTTTATATGTAATCCCGTTTCCAACGAAATCCGCAAAGCTATCCAAATATCCACTTTCAGATTCCACAAAAAGAGTGTTTCAAAACTGCTCTGTAAAAAGAAGGGTTCATCTCTGTTAGCTGAATACACACATCACAAACAAGTTTCTGAGAATGCTTCTGTCTAGTTTTTATGGGAAGATATTTCCTTTTTCAACATAGGCCTCAAAGCGCTCCAAACGTCCACTTCCAGGTAGTGCAGAAAGAGTGTCTCAAACCTGGTATATAACAGGGAACATTCTACTCTGTGACTTGAATGAAAACATCACAAAGCAGTTTCTGAGAATGCTTCCGTCTAGATTTTATATGAAGGTATTCCCGTTTCCAACGAAACCTTCAAAGCTATCCGAATATCCACCTGCAGATTCTACAAAAAGAGTGTTTCCAAAATGCCGTATCAAAACAAAGGTTCAACTCTGTTAGTTGAGAACACACATGGCAAATAAGTTTCTGAGAATGCTTCTAGTCTAGTTTTTACTTGAAGATATTTCCTTTCTCACCATAGGCCTGAAAGCGCTTGAAACGTCAGCTTGCAGATACTACAGAAAGAGTGTTTCAAACCTGCTCTATGAAAGGGAATGTTCAGTCCTGTGACTTGAAGGCAAACATCACAAAAGAAGTTCCTGAGAATGCTTCTCTCTAGATTTTATATGTAATCCCGTTTCCAACGAAATCCTCAAAGCTATCCAAATATCCACTTTCAGATTCCACAAAAAGAGTGTTTCAAAACTGCTCTGTAAAAAGAAAGGTTCATCTCTGTTAGTTGAATACACACATCACAAACAAGTTTCTGAGAATGCTTCTGTCTAGTTTTTATGGGAAGATATTTCCTTTTTCAACATAGGCCTCAAAGCGCTCCAAATGTCCACTTCCAGGTAGTGCACAGAGTGTTTCAAACCTGCTCTATGAAAGGAAGTGTTCAACTCTATGAGTTGAAGGCAAACATCACAGAGAAGTTTCTGAGAATGCTTCTGTCTTGATTTCATATGAAGATATTCCCGTTTCCAACGAAACCTTCAAAGCTATCCAAATATCCACTTGCAGATTCTACAAAAAGAGTGTTTCCAAAATGTTGTATCAAAAGAAAGGTTCAACTCTGTTAGTTGAGGACACACATCGCAAATAAGTTTCTGAGAACGCTTCTGTCTAGTTTTTATTTGAAGATATTTCCTTTCTCACCATAGGCCTGAAAGCGTTTGAAATGTCCGTTTGCAGATACTACAGAAAGAGTGTTTCAAACATGCTCTATGAAAGGGAATGTTCAGTTCTGTGACGTGAATGCAAACATCACAAAGAAGTTCCTGAGAATGCTTCTCTCTAGATTTTATATGTAATCCCGTTTCCAACGAAATCCTCAAAGCTATCCAAATATCCACTTTCAGATTCCACAAAAAGAGTGTTTCAAAACTGCTCTGTAAAAAGAAAGGTTCATCTCTGTTAGTTGAATACACACATCACAAACAAGTTTCTGAGAATGCTTCTGTCTAGTTTTTATGGGAAGATATTTCCTTTTTCATCAAAGGCCTCAAAGCGCTCCAAACGTCCACTTCCAGGTAGTGCAGAAAGAGTGTCTCAAACCTGGTATATAACAGGGAACATTCTACTCTGTGACTTGAATGAAAACATCACAAAGCAGTTTCTGAGAATGCTTCCGTCTAGATTTTATATGAAGATATTCCCGTTTCCAACGAAACCTTCAAAGCTATCCAAATATACACCTGCAGATTCTACAAAAAGAGTGTTTCCAAAATGCCGCATCAAAACAAAGGTTCAACTCTGTTAGTTGAGAACACACATGGCAAATAAGTTTCTGAGAATGCTTCTGTCTAGTTTTTACTTGAAGATATTTCCTTTCTCACCATAGGCCTGAAAGCGCTTGAAACGTCAGCTTGCAGATACTACAGAAAGAGTGTTTCAAACCTGCTCTATGAAAGGGAATGTTCAGTTCTGTGACTTGAATGCAAACATCACAAAGAAGTTCCTGAGAATGCTTCTCTCTAGATTTTATATGTAATCCCGTTTCCAACGAAATCCTCAAAGCTATCCAAATATCCACTTTCAGATTCCACAAAAAGAGTGTTTCAAAACTGCTCTGTAAAAAGAAAGGTTCATCTCTGTTAGTTGAATACACACATCACAAACAAGTTTCTGAGAATGCTTCTGTCTAGTTTTTATGGGAAGATATTTCCTTTTTCATCATAGGCCTCAAAGCGCTGCAAATGTCCACTTCCAGGTAGTGCAGAAAGAGTGTCTCAAACCTGGTATATAACAGGGAACATTCTACTCTGTGACTTGAATGAAAACATCACAAAGCAGTTTCTGAGAATGCTTCCGTCTAGATTTTATATGAAGATATTCCCGTTTCCAACGAAACCTTCAAAGCTATCCGAATATCCACCTGCAGATTCTACAAAAAGAGTGTTTCCAAAATGCCGTATCAAAACAAAGGTTCAATTCTGTTAGTTGAGAACACACATGGCAAATAAGTTTCTGAGAATGCTTCTGTCTAGTGTTTACTTGAAGATATTTCCTTTCTCACCATAGGCCTGAAAGCGTTTGAAATGTCCGTTTGCAGATACTACAGAAAGAGTGTTTCAAACATGCTCTATGAAAGGGAATGTTCAGTTCTGTGACGTGAATGCAAACATCACAAAGGAGTTCCTGAGAATGCTTCTCTCTAGATTTTATATGTAATCCCGTTTCCAACGAAATCCTCAAAGCTATCCAAATATCCACTTTCAGATTCCACAAAAAGAGTGTTTCAAAACTGCTCTGTAAAAAGAAAGGTTCATCTCTGTTAGTTGAATACACACATCACAAACAAGTTTCTGAGAATGCTTCTGTCTAGTTTTTATGGGAAGATATTACCTTTTTCATCATAGGCCTCAAAGCGCTGCAAATGTCCACTTCCAAATATTACAAAAAGAGTGTTTCAAACCTGCTGTATGAAGGGAAGTGTTCAACTCTATGAGTTGAATGCAAACATCACAGAGAAGTTTCTGAGAATGCTTCTGTCTTGATTTTATATGAAGATATTCCCGTTTCCAAAGAAACCTTCAAAGCTATCCAAATATCCACTTGCAGATTCTACAAAAAGAGTGTTTCCAAAATGTTGTATCAAAAGAAAGGTTCAACTCTGTTAGTTGAGGAAACACATCGCAAACAAGTTTCTGAGAATGCTTCTGTCTAGTTTTTATTTGAAGATATTTCCTATCTCACCATAGGCCTGAAAGCGTTTGAAATGTCCGTTTGCAGATACTACAGAAAGAGTGTTTCAAACATGCTCTATGATAGGGAATGTTCAGTTCTGTCACTTGAATGCAAACATCACAAAGAAGTTCCTGAGAATGCTTCTCTCTAGGTTTTATATGTAATCCCGTTTCCAACGAAATCCTCAAAGCTATCCAAATATCCACTTTCAGATTCCACAAAAAGAGTGTTTCAAAACTGCTCTGTAAAAAGAAAGGTTCATCTCTGTTAGTTGAATACACACATCACAAACAAGTTTCTGAGAATGCTTCTGTCTAGTTTTTATGGGAAGATATTACCTTTTTCATCATAGGCCTCAAAGCGCTGCAAATGTCCACTTCCAAATATTACAAAAAGAGTGTTTCAAACCTGCTGTATGAAGGGAAGTGTTCAACTCTATGAGTTGAATGCAAACATCACAGAGAAGTTTCTGAGAATGCTTCCGTCTAGATTTTATATGAAGATATTCCCGTTTCCAACGAAACCTTCAAAGCTATCCGAATATCCACCTGCAGATTCTACAAAAAGAGTGTTTCCAAAATGCCGTATCAAAACAAAGGTTCAACTCTGTTAGTTGAGAACACACATGGCAAATAAGTTTCTGAGAATGCTTCTGTCTAGTTTTTACTTGAAGATATTTCCTTTCTCACCATAGGCCTGAAAGCGCTTGAAACGTCAGCTTGCAGATACTACAGAAAGAGTGTTTCAAACCTGCTCTATGAAAGGGAATGTTCAGTCCTGTGACTTGAAGGCAAACATCACAAAGAAGTTCCTGAGAATGCTTCTCTCTAGGTTTTATATGTAATCCCGTTTCCAACGAAATCCTCAAAGCTATCCAAATATCCACTTTCAGATTCCACAAAAAGAGTGTTTCAAAACTGCTCTGTAAAAAGAAAGGTTCATCTCTGTTAGTTGAATACACACATCACAAACAAGTTTCTGAGAATGCTTCTGTCTAGTTTTTATGCGAAGATATTTCCTTTTTCAACATAGGCCTCAAAGCGCTCCAAATGTCCACTTCCAGGTAGTGCAGAAAGAGTGTTTCAAACCTGCTCTATAAAAGGGAATATTCAACTCTGTGACTTGAATGCAAACATCACAAAGCACTTTCTGAGAATGCTTCCGTCTAGATTTTATATAAAGATATTCCCGTTTCCAACGAAACCTTCAAAGCTATCCGAATATCCACCTGCAGATTCTACAAAAAGAGTGTTTCCAAAATGCCGTATCAAAACAAAGGTTCAAATCTGTTAGTTGAGAACACACATGGCAAATAAGTTTCTGAGAATGCTTCTGTCTAGTTTTTACTTGAAGATATTTCCTTTCTCACCATAGGCCTGAAAGCGCTTGAAACGTCAGCTTGCAGATACTACAGAAAGAGTGTTTCAAACCTGCTCTATGAAAGGGAATGTTCAGTTCTGTGACTTGAATGCAAACATCACAAAGAAGTTCCTGAGAATGCTTCTCTCTAGGTTTTATATGTAATCCCGTTTCCAACGAAATCCTCAAAGCTATCCAAATATCCACTTTCAGATTCCACAAAAAGAGTGTTTCAAAACTGCTCTGTAAAAAGAAAGGTTCATCTCTGTTAGTTGAATACACACATCACAAACAAGTTTCTGAGAATGCTTCTGTCTGGTTTTTAGGAGAAGATATTTCCTTTTTCAACATAGGCCTCAAAGCGCTGCAAATGTCCACTTCCAAATATTAGAAAAAGAGTGTTTCAAACCTGCTGTATGAAGGGAAGTGTTCAACTCTATGAGTTGAATGCAAACATCACAGAGAAGTTTCTGAGAATGCTTCTGTCTTGATTTCATATGAAGATATTCCCGTTTCCAACGAAACCTTCAAAGCTATCCAAATATCCACTTGCAGATTCTACAAAAAGAGTGTTTCCAAAATGTTGTATCAAAAGAAAGGTTCAACTCTGTTAGTTGAGGACACACATCGCAAATAAGTTTCTGAGAATGCTTCTGTCTAGTTTTTATTTGAAGATATTTCCTTTCTCACCACAGGCCTGAAAGCGCTTAAAACGTCCGCTTGCAGATACTACAGAAAGAGTGTTTCAAACCTGCTCTATGAAAGGGAATGTTCAGTTCTGTGACTTGAATGCAAACATCACAAAGAAGTTCCTGAGAATGCTTCTCCCTAGATTTTATATGTAATCCCGTTTCCAACGAAATCCGCAAAGCTATCCAAATATCCACTTTCAGATTCCACAAAAAGAGTGTTTCAAAACTGCTCTGTAAAAAGAAAGGTTCATCTCTGTTAGTTGAATACACACATCACAAACAAGTTTCTGAGAATGCTTCTGTCTAGTTTTTATGGGAAGATATTTCCTTCTTCATCATAGGCCTCAAAGCGCTCCAAATGTCCACTTCCAGGTAGTGCAGAAAGAGTGTCTCAAACCTGGTATATAACGGGGAACATTCTACTCTGTGACTTGAATGAAAACATCACAAAGCAGTTTCTGAGAATGCTTCCGTCTAGATTTTATATGAAGATATTCCCGTTTCCAACGAAACCTTCAAAGCTATCCGAATATCCACCTGCAGATTCTACAAAAAGAGTGTTTCCAAAATGCCATATCAAAACAAAGGTTCAACTCTGTTAGTTGAGAACACACATCGCAAATAAGTTTCTGAGAATGCTTCTGTCTAGTTTTTACTTGAAGATATTTCCTTTCTCACCATAGGCCTGAAAACGCTTGAAACGTCAGCTTGCAGATACTACAGAAAGAGTGTTTCAAACCTGCTCTATGAAAGGGAATGTTCAGTTCTGTGACTTGAATGCAAACATCACAAAGAAGTTCCTGAGAATGCTTCTCTCTAGGTTTTATATGTAATCCCGTTTCCAACGAAATCCTCAAAGCTATCCAAATATCCACTTTCAGATTCCACAAAAAGAGTGTTTCAAAACTGCTCTGTAAAAAGAAAGGTTCATCTCTGTTAGTTGAATACACACATCACAAACAAGTTTCTGAGAATGCTTCTGTCTAGTTTTTATGGGAAGATATTTCCTTTTTCAACATAGGCCTCAAAGCGCTCCAAACGTCCACTTCCAGGTAGTGCAGAAAGAGTGTCTCAAACCTGGTATATAACAGGGAACATTCTACTCTGTGACTTGAATGAAAACATCACAAAGCAGTTTCTGAGAATGCTTCCGTCTAGACTTTATATGAAGATATTCCCGTTTCCAACGAAACCTTCAAAGCTATCCGTATATCCACCAGCAGATTCTACAAAAAGAGTGTTTCCAAAATGCCGTATCAAAACAAAGGTTCAACTCTGTTAGTTGAGAACACACATGGCAAATAAGTTTCTGAGAATGCATCTGTCTAGTTTTTACTTGAAGATATTTCCTTTCTCACCGTAGGCCTGAAAGCGCTTGAAACGTCAGCTTGCAGATACTACAGAAAGAGTGTTTCAAACCTGCTCTATGAAAGGGAATGTTCAGTCCTGTGACTTGAAGGCAAACATCACAAAGGAGTTCCTGAGAATGCTTCTCTCTAGGTTTTATATGTAATCCCGTTTCCAACGAAATCCTCAAAGCTATCCAAATATCCACTTTCAGATTCCACAAAAAGAGTGTTTCAAAACTGCTCTGTAAAAAGAAAGGTTCATCTCTGTTAGTTGAATACACACATCACAAACAAGTTTCTGAGAATGCTTCTGTCTGGTTTTTAGGAGAAGATATTTCCTTTTTCAACATAGGCCTCAAAGCGCTGCAAATGTCCACTTCCAAATATTAGAAAAAGAGTGTTTCAAACCTGCTGTATGAAGGGAAGTGTTCAACTCTATGAGTTGAATGCAAACATCACAGAGAAGTTTCTGAGAATGCTTCTGTCTTGATTTCATATGAAGATATTCCCGTTTCCAACGAAACCTTCAAAGCTATCCAAATATCCACTTGCAGATTCTACAAAAAGAGTGTTTCCAAAATGTTGTATCAAAAGAAAGGTTCAACTCTGTTAGTTGAGGACACACATCGCAAATAAGTTTCTGAGAATGCTTCTGTCTAGTTTTTATTTGAAGATATTTCCTTTCTCACCACAGGCCTGAAAGCGCTTAAAACGTCCGCTTGCAGATACTACAGAAAGAGTGTTTCAAACCTGCTCTATGAAAGGGAATGTTCAGTTCTGTGACTTGAATGCAAACATCACAAAGAAGTTCCTGAGAATGCTTCTGTCTAGATTTTATATGAAGATATCCCGTGTCCAACGAAATCCTCAAAGGTATCAAAATATCCACTTGCAGATTCTACAAAAAGAGTGCTTCAAAACTGCTCTGTCAAAAGGAAGGTTCAACTCTGTTACTTGAGTACACACATCACAAGGAAGTTTCTGAGAATGCTTCTGTCTGGTTTTTAGGAGAAGATATTTCCTTTTTCAACATAGGCCTCAAAGCGCTGCAAATGTCCACTTCCAAATATTAGAAAAAGAGTGTTTCAAACCTACTGTATGAAGGGAAGTGTTCAACTCTATGAGTTGAATGCAAACATCACAGAGAAGTTTCTGAGAATGCTTCTGTCTTGATTTCATATGAAGATATTCCCGTTTCCAACGAAACCTTCAAAGCTATCCAAATATCCACTTGCAGATTCTACAAAAAGAGTGTTTCCAAAATGTTGTATCAAAAGAAAGGTTCAACTCTGTTAGTTGAGGACACACATCGCAAATAAGTCTCTGAGAATGCTTCTGTCTAGTTTTTATTTGAAGATATTTCCTTTCTCACCACAGGCCTGAAAGCGCTTAAAACGTCCGCTTGCAGATACTACAGAAAGAGTGTTTCAAACCTGCTCTATGAAAGGGAATGTTCAGTTCTGTGACTTGAATGCAAACATCACAAAGAAGTTCCTGAGAATGCTTCTCCCTAGATTTTATATGTAATCCCGTTTCCAACGAAATCCTCAAAGCTATCCAAATATCCACTTTCAGATTCCACAAAAAGAGTGTTTCAAAACTGCTCTGTAAAAAGAAAGGTTCATCTCTGTTAGTTGAATACACACATCACAAACAAGTTTCTGAGAATGCTTCTGTCTGGTTTTTAGGAGAAGATATTTCCTTTTTCAACATAGGCCTCAAAGCGCTGCAAATGTCCACTTCCAAATATTACAAAAAGAGTGTTTCAAACCTGCTGTATGAAGGGAAGTGTTCAACTCTATGAGTTGAATGCAAACATCACAGAGAAGTTTCTGAGAATGCTTCTGTCTTGATTTCATATGAAGATATTCCCGTTTCCAACGAAACCTTCAAAGCTATCCAAATATCCACTTGCAGATTCTACAAAAAGAGTGTTTCCAAAATGTTGTATCAAAAGAAAGGTTCAACTCTGTTAGTTGAGGACACACATCGCAAATAAGTTTCTGAGAATGCTTCTGTCTAGTTTTTACTTGAAGATATTTCCTTTCTCACCATAGGCCTGAAAGCGTTTGAAATGTCCGTTTGCAGATACTACAGAAAGAGTGTTTCAAACATGCTCTATGAAAGGGAATGTTCAGTTCTGTGACGTGAATGCAAACATCACAAAGAAGTTCCTGAGAATGCTTCTCTCTAGATTTTATATGTAATCCCGTTTCCAACGAAATCCTCAAAGCTATCCAAATATCCACTTTCAGATTCCACAAAAAGAGTGTTTCAAAACTGCTCTGTAAAAAGAAAGGTTCATCTCTGTTAGTTGAATACACACATCACAAACAAGTTTCTGAGAATGCTTCTGTCTAGTTTTTATGGGAAGATATTACCTTTTTCATCATAGGCCTCAAAGCGCTGCAAATGTCCACTTCCAAATATTACAAAAAGAGTGTTTCAAACCTGCTGTATGAGGGGAAGTGTTCAACTCTATGAGTTGAATGCAAACATCACAGAGAAGTTTCTGAGAATGCTTCTGTCTTGATTTTATATGAAGATATTCCCGTTTCCAACGAAACCTTCAAAGCTATTCAAATATCCACTTGCAGATTCTACAAAAAGAGTGTTTCCAAAATGTTGTATCAAAAGAAAGGTTCAACTCTGTTAGTTGAGGACACACATCGCAAATAAGTTTCTGAGAATGCTTCTGTCTAGTTTTTATTTGAAGATATTTCCTTTTTCACCACAGGCCTGAAAGCGCTTGAAACTTCTGCTTGCAGATGCTACAGAAAGAGTGTTTCAAAGCTGCTCTATGAAAGGGAATGTTCAGTTCTGTGACTTGAATGCAAACATCACAAAGAAGTTCCTGAGAATCCTTCTCTCTAGGTTTTATATGTAATCCCGTTTCCAACGAAATCCTCAAAGCTATCCAAATATCCACTTTCAGATTCCACAAAAAGAGTGTTTCAAAACTGCTCTGTGAAAAGAAAGGTTCATCTCTGTTAGTTGAATACACACATCACAAACAAGTTTCTGAGAATGCTTCTGTCTAGTTTTTATGGGAAGATATTTCCTTTTTCATCATAGGCCTCAAAGCGCTGCAAATGTCCACTTCCAAATATTACAAAAAGAGTGTTTCAAACCTGCTGTATGAAGGGAAGTGTTCAACTCTATGAGTTGAATGCAAACATCACAGAGAAGTTTCTGAGAATGCTTCTGTCTTGATTTTATATGAAGATATTCCCGTTTCCAATGAAACCTTCAAAGCTATCCAAATATCCACTTGCAGATTCCACAAAAAGAGTGTTTCCAAAATGTTGTATCAAAAGAAAGGTTCAACTCTGTTAGTTGAGGATACACATCGCAAATAAGTTTCTGAGAATGCTTCTGTCTAGTTTTTATTTGAAGATATTTCCTTTCTCACCACAGGCCTGAAAGCGCTTAAAACGTCCGCTTGCAGATACTACAGAAAGAGTGTTTCAAACATGCTCTATGAAAGGGAATGTTCAGTTCTGTGACTTGAATGCAAACATCACAAAGAAGTTCCTGAGAATGCTTCTCCCTAGTTTTTATATGTAATCCCGTTTCCAACGAAATCCGCAAAGCTATCCAAATATCCACTTTCAGATTCCACAAAAAGAGTGTTTCAAAACTGCTCTGTAAAAAGAAAGGTTCATCTCTGTTAGTTGAATACACACATCTCAAACAAGTTTCTGAGAATGCTTCTGTCTAGTTTTTATGGGAAGATATTACCTTTTTCATCATAGGCCTCAAAGCGCTGCAAATGTCCACTTCCAAATATTACAAAAAGAGTGTTTCAAACCTGCTGTATGAAGGGAAGTGTTCAACTCTATGAGTTGAATGCAAACATCACAGAGAAGTTTCTGAGAATGCTTCTGTCTTGATTTTATATGAAGATATTCCCGTTTCCAACGAAACCTTCAAAGCTATTCAAATATCCACTTGCAGATTCTACAAAAAGAGTGTTTCCAAAATGTTGTATCAAAAGAAAGGTTCAACTCTGTTAGTTGAGGACACACATCGCAAATAAGTTTCTGAGAATGCTTCTGTCTAGTTTTTATTTGAAGATATTTCCTTTCTCACCATAGGCCTGAAAGCGTTTGAAATGTCCGTTTGCAGATACTACAGAAAGAGTGTTTCAAACATGCTCTATGAAAGGGAATGTTCAGTTCTGTGACGTGAATGCAAACATCACAAAGAAGTTCCTGAGAATGCTTCTCTCTAGATTTTATATGTAATCCCGTTTCCAACGAAATCCTCAAAGCTATCCAAATATCCACTTTCAGATTCCACAAAAAGAGTGATTCAAAACTGCTCTGTAAAAAGAAAGGTTCATCTCTGTTAGTTGAATACACACATCACAGACAAGTTTCTGAGAATGCTTCTGTCTAGTTTTTATGGGAAGATATTTCCTTTTTCATCATAGGCCTCAAAGCGCTGCAAATGTCCACTTCCAGGTAGTGCAGAAAGAGTGTCTCAAACCTGGTATATAACAGGGAACATTCTACTCTGTGACTTGAATGAAAACATCACAAAGCAGTTTCTGAGAATGCTTCCGTCTAGATTTTATATGAAGATATTCCCGTTTCCAACGAAACCTTCAAAGCTATCCGAATATCCACCTGCAGATTCTACAAAAAGAGTGTTTCCAAAATGCCGTATCAAAACAAAGGTTCAACTCTGTTAGTTGAGAACACACATGGCAAATAAGTTTCTGAGAATGCTTCTGTCTAGTTTTTACTTGAAGATATTTCCTTTCTCACCATAGGCCTGAAAGCGCTTGAAACGTCAGCTTGCAGATACTACAGAAAGAGTGTTTCAAACCTGCTCTATGAAAGGGAATGTTCAGTCCTGTGACTTGAAGGCAAACATCACAAAGAAGTTCCTGAGAATGCTTCTCTCTAGGTTTTATATGTAATCCCGTTTCCAACGAAATCCTCAAAGCTATCCAAATATCCACTTTCAGATTCCACAAAAAGAGTGTTTCAAAACTGCTCTGTAAAAAGAAAGGTTCATCTCTGTTAGTTGAATACACACATCACAAACAAGTTTCTGAGAATGCTTCTGTCTAGTTTTTATGGGAAGATATTTCCTTTTTCATCATAGGCCTCAAAGCGCTGCAAATGTCCACTTCCAAATATTACAAAAAGAGTGTTTCAAACCTGCTGTATGAAGGGAAGTGTTCAACTCTATGAGTTGAATGCAAACATCACAGAGAAGTTTCTGAGAATGCTTCCGTCTAGATTTTATATGAAGATATTCCCGTTTCCAACGAAACCTTCAAAGCTATCCGAATATCCACCTGCAGATTCTACAAAAAGAGTGTTTCCAAAATGCCGTATCAAAACAAAGGTTCAACTCTGTTAGTTGAGAACACACATGGCAAATAAGTTTCTGAGAATGCTTCTGTCTAGTTTTTACTTGAAGATATTTCCTTTCTCACCATAGGCCTGAAAGCGCTTGAAACGTCAGCTTGCAGATACTACAGAAAGAGTGTTTCAAACCTGCTCTATGAAAGGGAATGTTCAGTCCTGTGACTTGAAGGCAAACATCACAAAGAAGTTCCTGAGAATGCTTCTCTCTAGGTTTTATATGTAATCCCGTTTCCAACGAAATCCTCAAAGCTATCCAAATATCCACTTTCAGATTCCACAAAAAGAGTGTTTCAAAACTGCTCTGTAAAAAGAAAGGTTCATCTCTGTTAGTTGAATACACACATCACAAACAAGTTTCTGAGAATGCTTCTGTCTAGTTTTTATGGGAAGATATTTCCTTTTTCAACATAGGTCTCAAAGCGCTCCAAATGTCCACTTCCAGGTAGTGCAGAAAGAGTGTTTCAAACCTGCTCTATAAAAGGGAACATTCTACTCTGTGACTTGAATGAAGACATCACAAAGCACTTTCTGAGAATGCTTCCGTCTAGATTTTATATGAAGATATTCCCGTTTCCAAGGAAATCTTCCTAGCTATCTAAATATCAACTTGCAGATTCTACTAAAGGAATGTTTCCAAAATGCTGTATCCACACAAAGGTTCAACTCTGTTAATTGAGGACATACAGCACAAAGAAGTTTCTGAGAATGCTTCTGTCTAGATTTTATATGAAGATATCCCGTGTCTAACGAAATCCTCAAAGGTATCAAAATATCCACTTGCAGATTCTACAAAAAGAGTGCTTCAAAACTGCTCTGTCAAAATGAAGGTTCACCTCTGTTACTTGAGTACACACATCACAAGAAAGATTCTGAGAATGCTTCTGTCTGGTTTTTAGGAGAAGATATCTCCTTTTTCACCATAGGCTTCAAAGCGCTGCCAATGTCCACTTCCAAATATTACAAAAAGAGAATTTCAAACCAGCTCTATGAAAGGAAGTGTTCAACTCTATGAGTTGAATGCAAACATCACAGAGAAGTTTCTGAGAATGCTTCTGTCTTGATTTTATATGAAGATATTCCCGTTTCCAAAGAAACCTTCAAAGCTATCCAAATATCCACCTGCAGATCCTACAAAAAGAGTGTTTCCAAAATGCTGTATCAAAACAAAGGTTCAACTCTGTTAGTTGAGGACACACATCGCAAATAAGTTTCTGAGAATGCTTCTGTCTGGTTTTTAGGAGAAGATATTTCCTTTTTCAACATAGGCCTCAAAGCGCTGCAAATGTCCACTTCCAAATATTACAAAAAGAGTGTTTCAAACCTGCTCTATGAAGGGAAGTGTTCAACTCTATGAGTTGAATGCAAACATCACAGAGAAGTTTCTGAGAATGCTTCTGTCTTGATTTTATATGAAGATATTCCCGTTTCCAACGAAACCTTCAAAGCTATCCAAATATCCACTTGCAGATTCTACAAAAAGAGTGTTTCCAAAATGTTGTATCAAAACAAAGGTTCAACTCTGTTAGTTGAGGACACACATCGCAAATAAGTTTCTGAGAATGCTTCTGTCTAGTTTTTACTTGAAGATATTTCCTTTCTCACCATAGGCCTGAAAGCGCTTGAAACGTCCGCTTGCAGATACTACAGAAAGAGTGTTTCAAACATGCTCTATGAAAGGGAATGTTCAGTTCTGTGACTTGAATGCAAACATCACAAAGAAGTTCCTGAGAATGCTTCTCTCTAGGTTTTATATGTAATCCCGTTTCCAACGAAATCCTCAAAGCTATCCAAATATCCACTTTCAGATTCCACAAAAAGAGTGTTTCAAAACTGCTCTGTAAAAAGAAAGGTTCATCTCTGTTAGTTGAATACACACATCACAAACAAGTTTCTGAGAATGCTTCTGTCTAGTTTTTATGGGAAGATATTTCCTTTTTCAACATAGGCCTCAAAGCGCTCCAAATGTCCACTTCCAGGTAGTGCAGAAAGAGTGTTTCAAACCTGCTCTATAAAAGGGAATATTCAACTCTGTGACTTGAATGCAAACATCACAAAGCACTTTCTGAGAATGCTTCTGTCTTGATTTCATATGAAGATATTCCCGTTTCCAACGAAACCTTCAAAGCTATCCAAATATCCACTTGCAGATTCTACAAAAAGAGTGTTTCCAAAATGTTGTATCAAAAGAAAGGTTCAACTCTGTTAGTTGAGGACACACATCGCAAATAAGTTTCTGAGAATGCTTCTGTCTAGTTTTTATTTGAAGATATTTCCTTTTTCACCACAGGCCTGAAAGCGCTTGAAACGTCCGCTTGCAGATACTACAGAAAGAGTGTTTCAAACCTGCTCTATGAAAGGGAATGTTCAGTTCTGTGACTTGAATGCAAACATCACAAAGAAGTTCCTGAGAATGCTTCTCCCTAGATTTTATATGTAATCCCGTTTCCAACGAAATCCGCAAAGCTATCCAAATATCCACTTTCAGATTCCACAAAAAGAGTGTTTCAAAACTGCTCTGTAAAAAGAAAGGTTCATCTCTGTTAGTTGAATACACACATCACAAACAAGTTTCTGAGAATGCTTCTGTCTGGTTTTTAGGAGAAGATATTTCCTTTTTCAACATAGGCCTCAAAGCGCTGCAAATGTCCACTTCCAAATATTACAAAAAGAGTGTTTCAAACCTGCTGTATGAAGGGAAGTGTTCAACTCTATGAGTTGAATGCAAACATCACAGAGAAGTTTCTGAGAATGCTTCTGTCTTGATTTCATATGAAGATATTCCCGTTTCCAACGAAACCTTCAAAGCTATCCAAATATCCACTTGCAGATTCTACAAAAAGAGTGTTTCCAAAATGTTGTATCAAAAGAAAGGTTCAACTCTGTTAGTTGAGGACACACATCGCAAATAAGTTTCTGAGAATGCTTCTGTCTAGTTTTTATTTGAAGATATTTCCTTTCTCACCACAGGCCTGAAAGCGCTTAAAACGTCCGCTTGCAGATACTACAGAAAGAGTGTTTCAAACCTGCTCTATGAAAGGGAATGTTCAGTTCTGTGACTTGAATGCAAACATCACAAAGAAGTTCCTGAGAATGCTTCTCCCTAGATTTTATATGTAATCCCGTTTCCAACGAAATCCTCAAAGCTATCCAAATATCCACTTTCAGATTCCACAAAAAGAGTGTTTCAAAACTGCTCTGTAAAAAGAAAGGTTCATCTCTGTTAGTTGAATACACACATCACAAACAAGTTTCTGAGAATGATTCTGTCTAATTTTTATGGGAAGATATTTCCTTTTTCAACATACGCCTCAAAGCGCTCCAAACGTCCACTTCCAGGTAGTGCAGAAAGAGTGTCTCAAACCTGGTATATAACAGGGAACATTCTACTCTGTGACTTGAATGAAAACATCACAAAGCAGTTTCTGAGAATGCTTCTGTCTTGATTTTATATGAAGATATTCCCGTTTCCAACGAAACCTTCAAAGCTATTCAAATATACACTTGCTGATTCTACAAAAAGAGTGTTTCCAAAATGTTGTATCAAAAGAAAGGTTCAACTCTGTTAGTTGAGGACACACATCGCAAATAAGTTTCTGAGAATGCTTCTGTCTAGTTTTTACTTGAAGATATTTCCTTTCTCACCATAGGCCTGAAAGCGTTTGAAATGTCCGTTTGCAGATACTACAGAAAGAGTGTTTCAAACATGCTCTATGAAAGGGAATGTTCAGTTCTGTGACGTCAATGCAAACATCACAAAGAAGTTCCTGAGAATGCTTCTCTCTAGGTTTTATATGTAATCCCGTTTCCAACGAAATCCTCAAAGCTATCCAAATATCCACTTTCAGATTCCACAAAAAGAGTGTTTCAAAACTGCTCTGTAAAAAGAAAGGTTCATCTCTGTTAGTTGAATACACACATCACAAACAAGTTTGCTGAGAATGCTTCTGTCTAGTTTTTATGGGAAGATATTACCTTTTTCATCATAGGGCTCAAAGCGCTCCAAACGTCCACTTCCAGGTAGTGCAGAGAGAGTGTCTCAAACCTGGTATATAACAGCGAACATTCTACTCTGTGACTTGAATGAAAACATCACAAAGCAGTTTCTGAGAATGCTTCCGTCTAGATTTTATATGAAGATATTCCCGTTTCCAACGAAACCTTCAAAGCTATCCGAATATCCACCTGCAGATTCTACAAAAAGAGTGTTTCCAAAATGCCGTATCAAAACAAAGGTTCAACTCTGTTAGTTGAGAACACACATGGCAAATAAGTTTCTGAGAATGCTTCTGTCTAGTTTTTACTTGAAGATATTTCCTTTCTCACCATAGGCCTGAAAGCGCTTGAAACGTCAGCTTGCAGATACTACAGAAAGAGTGTTTCAAACCTGCTCTATGAAAGGGAATGTTCAGTTCTGTGACTTGAATGCAAACATCACAAAGAAGTTCCTGAGAATGCTTCTCTCTAGATTTTATATGTAATCCCGTTTCCAACGAAATCCTCAAAGCTATCCAAATATCCACTTTCAGATTCCACAAAAAGAGTGTTTCAAAACTGCTCTGTAAAAAGAAAGGTTCATCTCTGTTAGTTGAATACACACATCACAAACAAGTTTCTGAGAATGCTTCTGTCTAGTTTTTATGGGAAGATATTTCCTTTTTCATCATAGGCCTCAAAGCGCTCCAAACGTCCACTTCCAGGTAGTGCAGAAAGAGTGTCTCAAACCTGGTATATAACAGGGAACATTCTACTCTGTGACTTGAATGAAAACATCACAAAGCAGTTTCTGAGAATGCTTCTGTCTTGATTTCATATGAAGATATTCCCGTTTCCAACGAAACCTTCAAAGCTATCCAAATATCCACTTGCAGATTCTACAAAAAGAGTGTTTCCAAAATGTTGTATCAAAAGAAAGGTTCAACTCTGTTAGTTGAGGACACACATCGCAAATACGTTTCTGAGAATGCTTCTGTCTAGTTTTTATTTGAAGATATTTCCTTTCTCACCACAGGCCTGAAAGCGCTTAAAACGTCCGCTTGCAGATACTACAGAAAGAGTGTTTCAAACCTGCTCTATGAAAGGGAATGTTCAGTTCTGTGACTTGAATGCAAACATCACAAAGAAGTTCCTGAGAATGCTTCTCCCTAGATTTTATATGTAATCCCGTTTCCAACGAAATCCGCAAAGCTATCCAAATATCCACTTTCAGATTCCACAAAAAGAGTGTTTCAAAACTGCTCTGTAAAAAGAAAGGTTCATCTCTGTTAGTTGAATACACACATCACAAACAAGTTTCTGAGAATGCTTCTGTCTAGTTTTTATGGGAAGATATTTCCTTTTTCAACATAGGCCTCAAATCGCTCCAAATGTCCACTTCCAGGTAGTGCAGAAAGAGTGTTTCAAACCTGCTCTATAAAAGGGAATATTCAACTGTGTGACTTGAATGCAAACATCACAAAGCACTTTCTGAGAATGCTTCTGTCTTGATTTCATATGAAGATATTCCCGTTTCCAACGAAACCTTCAAAGCTATCCAAATATCCACTTGCAGATTCTACAAAAAGAGTGTTTCCAAAATGTTGTATCAATAGAAAGGTTCAACGCTGTTAGTTGAGGACACACATCACAAATAAGTTTCTGAGAATGCTTCTGTCTAGTTTTTACTTGAAGATATTTCCTTTCTCACCATAGGCCTGAAAGCGCTTGAAACGTCCGCTTGCAGATACTACAGAAAGAGTGTTTCAAACCTGCTCTATGAAAGGGAATGTTCAGTTCTGTGACTTGAATGCAAACATCACAAAGAAGTTCCTGAGAATGCTTCTCTCTAGATTTTATATGGAATCCCGTTTCCAACGAAATCCTCAAAGCTATCCAAATATCCACTTTCAGATTCCACAAAAAGAGTGTTTCAAAACTGCTCTGTAAAAAGAAAGGTTCATCTCTGTTAGTTGAATACACACATCACAAACAAGTTTCTGAGAATGCTTCTGTCTAGTTTTTATGGGAAGATATTTCCTTTTTCAACATAGGCCTCAAAGCGCTCCAAATGTCCACTTCCAGGTAGTGCAGAAAGAGTGTTTCAAACCTGCTCTATAAAAGGGAATATTCAACTCTGTGACTTGAATGCAAACATCACAAAGCACTTTCTGAGAATGCTTCCGTCTAGATTTTATATGAAGATATTCCCGTTTCCAAGGAAATCTTCCTAGCTATCTAAATATCAACTTGCAGATTCTACTAAAGGAATGTTTCCAAAATGCTGTATCCACACAAAGGTTCAACTCTGTTAATTGAGGACATACAGCACAAAGAAAGTTTCTGAGAATGCTTCTGTCTAGTTTTTACTTGAAGATATTTCCTTTCTCACCATAGGCCTGAAAGCGCTTGAAACGTCAGCTTGCAGATACTACAGAAAGAGTGTTTCAAACCTGCTCTATGAAAGGGAATGTTCAGTCCTGTGACTTGAAGGCAAACATCACAAAGAAGTTCCTGAGAATGCTTCTCTCTAGGTTTTATATGTAATCCCGTTTCCAACGAAATCCTCAAAGCTATCCAAATATCCACTTTCAGATTCCACAAAAAGAGTGTTTCAAAACTGCTCTGTAAAAAGAAAGGTTCATCTCTGTTAGTTGAATACACACATCACAAACAAGTTTCTGATAATGCTTCTGTCTAGTTTTTATGGGAAGATATTTCCTTTTTCAACATAGGCCTCAAAGCGCTCCAAATGTCCACTTCCAGGTAGTGCAGAAAGAGTGTTTCAAACCTGCTCTATAAAAGGGAATATTCAACTCTGTGACTTGAATGCAAACATCACAAAGCACTTTCTGAGAATGCTTCCGTCTAGATTTTATATGAAGATATTCCCGTTTCCAACGAAACCTTCAAAGCTATCCGAATATCCACCTGCAGATTCTACAAAAAGAGTGTTTCCAAAATGCCGTATCAAAACAAAGGTTCAACTCTGTTAGTTGAGAACACACATGGCAAATAAGTTTCTGAGAATGCTTCTGTCTAGTTTTTACTTGAAGATATTTCCTTTCTCACCATAGGCCTGAAAGCGCTTGAAACGTCCGCTTGCAGATACTACAGAAAGAGTGTTTCAAACATGCTCTATGAAAGGGAATGTTCAGTTCTGTGACTTGAATGCAAACATCACAAAGAAGTTCCTGAGAATGCTTCTCCCTAGATTTTATATGTAATCCCGTTTCCAACGAAATCCTCAAAGCTATCCAAATATCCACTTTCAGATTCCACAAAAAGAGTGTTTCAAAACTGCTCTGTAAAAAGAAAGGTTCATCTCTGTTAGTTGAATACACACATCACAAACAAGTTTCTGAGAATGCTTCTGTCTAGTTTTTATGGGAAGATATTACCTTTTTCATCATAGGCCTCAAAGCGCTGCAAATGTCCACTTCCAAATATTACAAAAAGAGTGTTTCAAACCTGCTGTATGAAGGGAAGTGTTCAACTCTATGAGTTGAATGCAAACATCACAGAGAAGTTTCTGAGAATGCTTCCGTCTAGATTTTATATGAAGATATTCCCGTTTCCAACGAAACCTTCAAAGCTATCCGAATATCCACCTGCAGATTCTACAAAAAGAGTGTTTCCAAAATGCCGTATCAAAACAAAGGTTCAACTCTGTTAGTTGAGAACACATATGGCAAATAAGTTTCTGAGAATGCTTCTGTCTAGTTTTTACTTGAAGATATTTCCTTTGTCACCATAGGCCTGAAAGCGCTTGAAACGTCAGCTTGCAGATACTACAGAAAGAGTGTTTCAAACCTGCTCTATGAAAGGGAATGTTCAGTCCTGTGACTTCAAGGCAAACATCACAAAGAAGTTCCTGAGAATGCTTCTCTCTAGGTTTTATATGTAATCCCGTTTCCAACGAAATCCTCAAAGCTATCCAAATATCCACTTTCAGATTCCACAAAAAGAGTGTTTCAAAACTGCTCTGTAAAAAGAAAGGTTCATCTCTGTTAGTTGAATACACACATCACAAACAAGTTTCTGAGAATGCTTCTGTCTAGTTTTTATGGGAAGATATTTCCTTTTTCAACATAGGCCTCAAAGCGCTCCAAATGTCCACTTCCAGGTAGTGCAGAAAGAGTGTTTCAAACCTGCTCTATAAAAGGGAATATTCAACTCTGTGACTTGAATGCAAACATCACAAAGCACTTTCTGAGAATGCTTCCGTCTAGATTTTATATGAAGATATTCCCGTTTCCAACGAAACCTTCAAAGCTATCCGAATATCCACCTGCAGATACTACAAAAAGAGTGTTTCCAAAATGCCGTATCAAAACAAAGGTTCAACTCTGTTAGTTGAGGACACACATCGCAAATAAGTTTCTGAGAATGCTTCTGTCTAGTTTTTACTTGAAGATATTTCCTTTCTCACCATAGGCCTGAAAGCGCTTGAAACGTCAGCTTGCAGATACTACAGAAAGAGTGTTTCAAACCTGCTCTATGAAAGGGAATGTTCAGTCCTGTGACTTGAAGGCAAACATCACAAAGAAGTTCCTGAGAATGCTTCTCTCTAGGTTTTATATGTAATCCCGTTTCCAACGAAATCCTCAAAGCTATCCAAATATCCACTTTCAGATTCCACAAAAAGAGTGTTTCAAAACTGCTCTGTAAAAAGAAAGGTTCATCTCTGTTAGTTGAATACACACATCACAAACAAGTTTCTGAGAATGCTTCTGTCTAGTTTTTATGGGAAGATATTTCCTTTTTCATCATAGGCCTCAAAGCGCTCCAAATGTCCACTTCCAGATAGTGCAGAAAGAGTGTCTCAAACCTGGTATATAAAAGAGAACATTCTACTCTGTGACTTGAATGAAAACATCACAAAGCAGTTTCTGAGAATGCTTCCGTCTAGATTTTATGTGAAGATATTCCCGTTTCCAAGGAAATCTTCCTAGCTATCTAAATATCAACTTGCAGATTCTACTAAAGGAATGTTTCCAAAATGCTGTATCCACACAAAGGTTCAACTCTGTTAGTTGAGGACATACAGCACAAAGAAGTGTCTGAGAATGCTTCTGTCTAGTTTTTATTTGAAGATATTTCCTTTCTCACCACAGGCCTGAAAGCGCTTAAAACGTCCGCTTGCAGATACTGCAGAAAGAGTGTTTCAAACCTGCTCTATGAAAGGGAATGTTCAGTTCTGTGACTTGAATGCAAACATCACAAAGAAGTTCTTGAGAATGCTTCTCTCTAGATTTTATATGTAATCCCGTTTCCAACGAAATCCTCAAAGCTATCCAAATATCCACTTTCAGATTCCACAAAAAGAGTGTTTCAAAACTGCTCTGTAAAAAGAAAGGTTCATCTCTGTTAGTTGAATACACACATCACAAACAAGTTTCTGAGAATGCTTCTGTCTGGTTTTTAGGAGAAGATATTTCCTTTTTCAACATAGGCCTCAAAGCGCTGCAAATGTCCACTTCCAAATATTACAAAAAGAGTGTTTCAAACCTGCTGTATGAAGGGAAGTGTTCAACTCTATGAGTTGAATGCAAACATCACAGAGAAGTTTCTGAGAATGCTTCTGTCTTGATTTCATATGAAGATATTCCCGTTTCCAACGAAACCTTCAAAGCTATCCAAATATCCACTTGCAGATTCTACAAAAAGAGTGTTTCCAAAATGTTGTATCAAAAGAAAGGTTCAACTCTGTTAGTTGAGGACACACATCGCAAATAAGTTTCTGAGAATGCTTCTGTCTAGTTTTTATGTGAAGATATTTCCTTTCTCACCATAGGCCTGAAAGCATTTGAAATGTCCGTTTGCAGATACTACAGAAAGAGTGTTTCAAACATGCTCTATGAAAGGGAATGTTCAGTTCTGTGACGTGAATGCAAACATCACAAAGAAGTTCCTGAGAATGCTTCTCTCTAGATTTTATATGTAATCCTGTTTCCAACGAAATCCTCAAAGCTGTCCAAATATCCACTTTCAGATTCCACAAAAAGAGTGTTTCAAAACTGCTCTGTAAAAAGAAAGGTTCATCTCTGTTAGTTGAATACACACATCACAAACAAGTTTCTGAGAATGCTTCTGTCTAGTTTTTATGGGAAGATATTTCCTTTTTCATCATAGGCCTCAAAGCGCTCCAAATGTCCACTTAAAGGTAGTGCAGAAAGAGTATCTCAAACCTGGTATATAACAGGGAACATTCTACTCTGTGACTTGAATGAAAACATCACAAAGCAGTTTCTGAGAATGCTTCCGTCTAGATTTTATATGAAGATATTCCCGTTTCCAACGAAACGTTCAAAGCTATCCGAATATCCACCTGCAGATTCTACAAAAAGAGTGTTTCCAAAATGCCATATCAAAAGAAAGGTTCAACTCTGTTAGTTGAGAACACACATCGCAAATAAGTTTCTGAGAATGCTTCTGTCTAGTTTTTATTTGAAGATATTTCCTTTCTCACCATAGGCCTGAAAGCTTTTGAAATGTCCGTTTGTAGATACTACAGAAAGAGTGTTTCAAACATGCTCTATGAAAGGGAATGTTCAGTTCTGTGACGTGAATGCAAACATCACAAAGAAGTTCCTGAGAATGCTTCTCTCTAGATTTTATATGTAATCCCGTTTCCAACGAAATCCTCAAAGCTATCCAAATATCCACTTTCAGATTCCACAAAAAGAGTGTTTCAAAACTGCTCTGTAAAAAGAAAGGTTCATCTCTGTTAGTTGAATACACACATCACAAACAAGTTTCTGAGAATGCTTCTGTCTAGTTTTTATGGGAAGATATTACCTTTTTCATCATAGGCCTCAAAGCGCTGCAAATGTCCACTTCCAAATATTACAAAAAGAGTGTTTCAAACCTGCTGTATGAAGGGAAGTGTTCAACTCTATGAGTTGAATGCAAACATCACAGAGAAGTTTCTGAGAATGCTTCTGTCTTGATTTCATATGAAGATATTCCCGTTTCCAACGAAACCTTCAAAGCTATCCAAATATCCACTTGCAGATTCTACAAAAAGAGTGTTTCCAAAATGTTGTATCAAAAGAAAGGTTCAACTCTGTTAGTTGAGGACACACATCGCAAATAAGTTTCTGAGAATGCTTCTGTCTAGTTTTTATTTGAAGATATTGCCTTTTTCACCACAGGCCTGAAAGCGCTTCAAACGTCCGCTTGCAGATACTACAGAAAGAGTGTTTCAAACCTGCTCTATGAAAGGGAATGTTCAGTTCTGTGACTTGAATGCAAACATCACAAAGAAGTTCCTGAGAATGCTTCTCCCTAGATTTTATATGTAATCCCGTTTCCAAAGAAATCCTCAAAGCAATCCAAATATCCACTTTCGGATTCCACAAAAAGAATGTTTCAAAACTACTCTGTAAAAAGAAAGGTTCATCTCTGTTAGTTGAATACACACATCACAAACAAGTTTCTGAGAATGCTTCTGTCTAGTTTTTATGGGAAGATATTTCCTTTTTCATCATAGGCCTCAAAGCGCTCCAAATGTCCACTTCCAGATAGTGCAGAAAGAGTGTCTCAAACCTGGTATATAAAAGGGAACATTCTACTCTGTGACTTCAATGAAAACATCACAAAGCAGTTTCTGAGAATGCTTCCGTCTAGATTTTATATGAAGATATTCCCGTTTCCAACGAAACCTTCAAAGCTATCCGAATATCCACCTGCAGATTCTACAAAAAGAGTGTTTCCAAAATGCCATATCAAAACAAAGGTTCAACTCTGTTAGTTGAGAACACACATCGCAAATAAGTTTCTGAGAATGCTTCTGTCTAGTTTTTATTTGAAGATATTTCCTTTTTCACCACAGGCCTGAAAGCGCTTCAAAAGTTCGCTTGCAGATACTACAGAAAGAGTGTTTCAAACCTGCTCTATGAAAGGGAATGTTCAGTTCTGTGACGTGAATGCAAACATCACAAAGAAGTTCCTGAGAATGTTTCTCTCTAGATTTTATATGTAATCCCGTTTCCAACGAAATCCTCAAAGCTATCCAAATATCCACTCTCAGATTCCACAAAAAGAGTGTTTCAAAACTGCTCTGTAAAAAGAAAGGTTCATCTCTGTTAGTTGAATACACACATCACAAACAAGTTTCTGAGAATGCTTGTGTCTAGTTTTTTGGGAAGATATTTCCTTTTTCATCATAGGCCTCAAAGCGCTCCAAATGTCCACTTCCAGGTAGTGCAGAAAGAGTGTCTCAAACCTGGTATATAACAGGGAACATTCTACTCTGTGACTTGAATGAAAACATCACAAAGCAGTTTCTGAGAATGCTTCCGTCTAGATTTTATATGAAGATATTCCCGTTTCCAACGAAACCTTCAAAGCTATCCGAATATCCACCTGCAGATTCTACAAAAAGAGTGTTTCCAAAATGCCGTACCAAAACAAAGGTTCAACTCTGTTAGTTGAGAACACACATGGCAAATAAGTTTCTGAGAATGCTTCTGTCTAGTTTTTATTTGAAGATATTTCCTTTCTCACCATAGGCCTGAAAGCGTTTGAAATGTCCGTTTGCAGATACTACAGAAAGAGTGTTTCAAACATGCTCTATGAAAGGGAATGTTCAGTTCTGTGACGTGAATGCAAACATCACAAAGAAGTTCCTGAGAATGCTTCTCTCTAGATTTTATATGTAATCCCGTTTCCAACGAAATCCTCAAAGCTATCCAAATATGCACTTTCAGATTCCACAAAAAGAGTGTTTCAAAACTGCTCTGTAAAAAGAAAGGTTCATCTCTGTTAGTTGAATACACACATCACAACCAAGTTTCTGAGAATGCTTCTGTCTAGTTTTTATGGGAAGATATTTCCTTTTCCAACATAGGCCTCAAAGCGCTCCAAATGTCCACTTACAGGTAGTGCACAGAGTGTTTCAAACCTGCTCTATGAAAGGAAGTATTCAACTCTATGAGTTGAATGCAAACATCACAGAGAAGTTTCTGAGAATGCTTCTGTCTTGATTTTATATGATGATATTCCCGTTTCCAACGAAACCTTCAAAGCTATCCAAATATCCACCTGCAGATCCTACAAAAAGAGTGTTTCCAAAATGCTGTATCAAAACAAAGGTTCAACTCTGTTAGTTGAGAACACACATCGCAAATAAGTTTCTGAGAATGCTTCTGTCTAGTTTTTATTTGAAGATATTTCCTTTTTCACCACAGGCCTGAAAGCGCTTGCAACGTCCGCTTGCAGATACCACAGAAAGAGTGTTTCAAACCTGCTCTATGAAAGGGAATGTTCAGTTCTGTGACTTGAATGCAAACATCACAAAGAAGTTCCTGAGAATGCTTCTGTCTAGATTTTATATGAAGATATCCCGTGTCCAACGAAATCCTCAAAGGTATCAAAATATCCACTTGCAGATTCTACAAAAAGAGTGCTTCAAAACTGCTCTGTCAAAAGGAAGGTTCAACTCTGTTACTTGAGTACACACATCACAATGAAGTTTCTGAGAATGCTTCTGTCTGGTTTTTAGGAGAAGATATTTCCTTTTTCAACATAGGCCTCAAAGCGCTGCAAATGTCCACTTCCAAATATTAGAAAAAGAGTGTTTCAAACCTGCTGTATGAAGGGAAGTGTTCAACTCTATGAGTTGAATGCAAACATCACAGAGAAGTTTCTGAGAATGCTTCTGTCTTGATTTCATATGAAGATATTCCCGTTTCCAACGAAACCTTCAAAGCTATCCAAATATCCACTTGCAGATTCTACAAAAAGAGTGTTTCCAAAATCTTGTATCAAAAGAAAGGTTCAACTCTGTTAGTTGAGGACACACATCGCAAATAAGTTTCTGAGAATGCTTCTGTCTAGTTTTTATTTGAAGATATTTCCTTTCTCACCACAGGCCTGAAAGCGCTTAAAACGTCCGCTTGCAGATACTACAGAAAGAGTGTTTCAAACCTGCTCTATGAAAGGGAATGTTCAGTTCTGTGACTTGAATGCAAACATCACAAAGAAGTTCCTGAGAATGCTTCTCTCTAGATTTTATATGTAATCCCGTTTCCAACGAAATCCTCAAAGCTATCCAAATATCCACTTTCAGATTCCACAAAAAGAGTGTTTCAAAACTGCTCTGTAAAAAGAAAGGTTCATCACTGTTAGTTGAATACACACATCACAAACAAGTTTCTGAGAATGCTTCTGTCTAGTTTTTATGGGAAGATATTTCCTTTTTCATCATAGGCCTCAAAGCGCTCCAAATGTCCACTTCCAGATAGTGCAGAAAGAGTGTCTCAAACCTGGTATATAAAAGGGAACATTCTACTCTGTGGCTTGAATGAAAACATCACAAAGCAGTTTCTGAGAATGCTTCCGTCTCGATTTTATATGAAGATATTCCCGTTTCCAACGAAACCTTCAAAGCTATCCGAATATCCACCTGCAGATTCTACAAAAAGAGTGTTTCCAAAATGCCGTATCAAAACAAAGGTTCAACTCTGTTAGTTGAGAACACACATGGCAAATAAGTTTCTGAGAATGCTTCTGTCTAGTTTTTATGGGAAGATATTACCTTTTTCATCATAGGCCTCAAAGCGCTGCAAATGTCCACTTCCAAATATTACAAAAAGAGTGTTTCAAACCTGCTGTATGAAGGGAAGTGTTCAACTCTATGAGTTGAATGCAAACATCACAGAGAAGTTTCTGAGAATGCTTCTGTCTTGATTTTATATGAAGATATTCCCGTTTCCAACGAAACCTTCAAAGCTATTCAAATATCCACTTGCAGATTCTACAAAAAGAGTGTTTCCAAAATGTTGTATCAAAAGAAAGGTTCAACTCTGTTAGTTGAGGACACACATCGCAAATAAGTTTCTGAGAATGCTTCTGTCTAGTTTTTACTTGAAGATATTTCCTTTCTCACCATAGGCCTGAAAGCGTTTGAAATGTCCGTTTGCAGATACTACAGAAAGAGTGTTTCAAACATGCTCTATGAAAGGGAATGTTCAGTTCTGTGACGTGAATGCAAACATCACAAAGAAGTTCCTGAGAATGCTTCTCTCTAGATTTTATATGTAATCCCGTTTCCAACGAAATCCGCAAAGCTATCCAAATATCCACTTTCAGATTCCACAAAAAGAGTGTTTCAAAACTACTCTGTAAAAAGAAAGGTTCATCTCTGTTAGTTGAATACACACATCAGAAACAAGTTTCTGAGAATGCTTCTGTCTAGTTTTTATGGGAAGATATTTCCTTTTTCAACATAGGCCTCAAAGCGCTCCAAACGTCCACTTCCAGGTAGTGCAGAAAGAGTGTCTCAAACCTGGTATATAACAGGGAACATTCTACACTGTGACTTGAATGAAAACATCACAAAGCAGTTTCTGAGAATGCTTCCGTCTAGATTTTATATGAAGATATTCCCGTTTCCAACGAAACCTTCAAAGCTATCCGAATATCCACCTGCAGATTCTACAAAAAGAGTGTTTCCAAAATGCCGTATCAAAACAAAGGTTCAACTCTGTTAGTTGAGAACACACATGGCAAATAAGTTTCTGAGAATGCTTCTGTCTAGTTTTTACTTGAAGATATTTCCTTTCTCACCATAGGCCTGAAAGCGCTTGAAACGTCAGCTTGCAGATACTACAGAAAGACTGTTTCAAACCTGCTCTATGAAAGGGAATGTTCAGTCCTGTGACTAGAAGGCAAACATCACAAAGAAGTTCCTGAGAATGCTTCTCTCTAGGTTTTATATGTAATCCCGTTTCCAACGAAATCCTCCAAGCTATCCAAATATCCACTTTCAGATTCCACAAAAAGAGTGTTTCAAAACTGCTCTGTAAAAAGAAAGGTTCATCCCTGTTAGTTGAATACACACATCACAAACAAGTTTCTGAGAATGCTTCTGTCTAGTTTTTATGGGAAGATATTTCCTTTTTCAACATAGGCCTCAAAGCGCTCCAAATGTCCACTTCCAGGTAGTGCAGAAAGAGTGTTTCAAACCTGCTCTATAAAAGGGAATATTCAACTCTGTGACTTGAATGCAAACATCACAAAGCACTTTCTGAGAATGCTTCCGTCTAGATTTTATATGAAGATATTCCCGTTTCCAAGGAAATCTTCCTAGCTATCTAAATATCAACTTGCAGATTCTACTAAAGGAATGTTTCCAAAATGCTGTATCCACACAAAGGTTCAACTCTGTTAATTGAGGACATACAGCACAAAGAAGTTTCTGAGAATGCTTCTGTCTAGTTTTTACTTGAAGATATTTCCTTTCTCACCATAGGCCTGAAAGCGCTTGAAACGTCAGCTTGCAGATACTACAGAAAGAGTGTTTCAAACCTGCTCTATGAAAGGGAATGTTCAGTCCTGTGACTTGAAGGCAAACATCACAAAGAAGTTCCTGAGAATGCTTCTCCCTAGATTTTATATGTAATCCCGTTTCCAACGAAATCCGCAAAGCTATCCAAATATCCACTTTCAGATTCCACAAAAAGAGTGTTTCAAAACTGCTCTGTAAAAAGAAAGGTTCATCTCTGTTAGTTGAATACACACATCACAAACAAGTTTACTGAGAATGCTTCTGTCTAGTTTTTATGGGATGATATTTCCTTTTTCAACATAGGCCTCAAAGCACTCCAAACGTCCACTTCCATGTAGTGCAGAAAGAGTGTTTCAAACCTGGTATATAACAGGGAACATTCTACTCTGTGACTTGAATGAAAACATCACAAAGCAGTTTCTGAGAATGCTTCCGTCTAGATTTTATATGAAGATATTCCCGTTTCCAACGAAACCTTCAAAGCTATCCGAATATCCACCTGCAGATTCTACAAAAAGAGTGTTTCCAAAATGCCATATCAAAACAAAGGTTCAACTCTGTTAGTTGAGAACACACATCGCAAATAAGTTTCTGAGAATGCTTCTGTCTAGTTTTTATTGGAAGATATTTCCTTTTTCATCATAGGCCTCAAAGCGCTGCAAATGTCCACTTCCAAATATTACAAAAAGAGTGTTTCAAACCTGCTGTATGAAGGGAAGTGTTCAACTCTATGAGTTGAATGCAAACATCACAGAGAAGTTTCTGAGAATGCTTCTGTCTTGATTTTATATGAAGATATTCCCGTTTCCAACGAAACCTTCAAAGCTATTCAAATATCCACTTGCAGATTCTACAAAAAGAGTGTTTCCAAAATGTTGTATCAAAAGAAAGGTTCAACTCTGTTAGTTGAGGACACACATCGCAAATAAGTTTCTGAGAATGCTTCTGTCTAGTTTTTACTTGAAGATATTTCCTTTCTCACCATAGGCCTGAAAGCGTTTGAAATGTCCGTTTGCAGATACTACAGAAAGAGTGTTTCAAACATGCTCTATGAAAGGGAATGTTCAGTTCTGTGACGTGAATGCAAACATCACAAAGAAGTTCCTGAGAATGCTTCTCTCTAGATTTTATATGTAATCCCGTTTCCAACGAAATCCTCAAAGCTATCCAAATATCCACTTTCAGATTCCACAAAAAGAGTGTTTCAAAACTGCTCTGTAAAAAGAAAGGTTCATCTCTGTTAGTTGAATACACACATCACAAACAAGTTTCTGAGAATGCTTCTGTCTAGTTTTTATGGGAAGATATTTCCTTTTTCAACATAGGCCTCAAAGCGCTCCAAATGTCCACTTCCAGGTAGTGCAGAAAGAGTGTTTCAAACCTGCTCTATAAAAGGGAATATTCAACTCTGTGACTTGAATGCAAACATCACAAAGCACTTTCTGAGAATGCTTCTGTCTTGATTTTATATGAAGATATTCCCGTTTCCAATGAAACCTTCAAAGCTATCCAAATATCCACTTGCAGATTCCACAAAAAGAGTGTTTCCAAAATGTTGTATCAAAAGAAAGGTTCAACTCTGTTAGTTGAGGATACACATCGCAAATAAGTTTCTGAGAATGCTTCTGTCTAGTTTTTATTTGAAGATATTTCCTTTCTCACCATAGGCCTGAAAGCGTTTGAAATGTCCGTTTGCAGATACTACAGAAAGAGTGTTTCAAACATGATCTATGAAAGGGAATGTTCAGTTCTGTGACGTGAATGCAAACATCACAAAGAAGTTCCTGAGAATGCTTCTCTCTAGATTTTATATGTAATCCCGTTTCCAACGAATTCCTCAAAGCTATCCAAATATCCACTTTCAGATTCCACAAAAAGAGTGTTTCAAAACTACTCTGTAAAAAGAAAGGTTCATCTCTGTTAGTTGAATACACACATCACAAACAAGTTTCTGAGAATGCTTCTGTCTAGTTTTTATGGGAAGATATTTCCTTTTTCAACATAGGCCTCAAAGCGCTCCAAACGTCCACTTCCAGGTAGTGCAGAAAGAGTGTCTCAAACCTGGTATATAACAGGGAACATTCTACTCTGTGACTTGAATGAAAACATCACAAAGCAGTTTCTGAGAATGCTTCTGTCTTGATTTCATATGAAGATATTCCCGTTTCCAACGAAACCTTCAAAGCTTTCCAAATATCCACTTGCAGATTCTACAAAAAGAGTGTTTCCAAAATGTTGTATCAAAAGAAAGGTTCAACTCTGTTAGTTGAGGACACACATCGCAAATAAGTTTCTGAGAATGCTTCTGTCTAGTTTTTATTTGAAGATATTTCCTTTCTCACCACAGGCCTGAAAGCGCTTAAAACGTCCGCTTGCAGATACTACAGAAAGAGTGTTTCAAACCTGCTCTATGAAAGGGAATGTTCAGTTCTGTGACTTGAATGCAAACATCACAAAGAAGTTCCTGAGAATGCTTCTGTCTAGATTTTATATGAAGATATCCCGTGTCCAACGAAATCCTCAATGGTATCAAAATATCCACTTGCAGATTCTACAAAAAGAGTGCTTCAAAACTGCTCTGTAAAAAGAAAGGTTCATCTCTGTTAGTTGAATACACACATCACAAACAAGTTTCTGAGAATGCTTCTGTCTAGTTTTTATGGGAAGATATTTCGTTTTTCAACATAGGCCTCAAAGCGCTCCAAATGTCCACTTCCAGGTAGTGCAGAAAGAGTGTTTCAAACCTGCTCTATAAAAGGGAATATTCAACTCTGTGACTTGAATGCAAACATCACAAAGCACTTTCTGAGAATGCTTCTGTCTTGATTTCATATGAAGATATTCCCGTTTCCAACGAAACCTTCAAAGCTATCCAAATATCCACTTGCAGATTCTACAAAAAGAGTGTTTCCAAAATGTTGTATCAAAAGAAAGGTTCAACTCTGTTAGTTGAGGACACACATCGCAAATAAGTTTCTGAGAATGCTTCTGTCTAGTTTTTACTTGAAGATATTTCCTTTCTCACCATAGACCTGAAAGCGCTTGAAACGTCAGCTTGCAGATACTACAGAAAGAGTGTTTCAAACCTGCTCTATGAAAGGGAATGTTCAGTCCTGTGACTAGAAGGCAAACATCACAAAGAAGTTCCTGAGAATGCTTCTCTCTAGGTTTTATATGTAATCCCGTTTCCAACGAAATCCTCAAAGCTATCCAAATATCCACTTTCAGATTCCACAAAAAGAGTGTTTCAAAACTGCTCTGTAAAAAGAAAGGTTCATCTCTGTTAGTTGAATACACACATCACAAACAAGTTTCTGAGAATGCTTCTGTCTAGTTTTTATGGGAAGATATTACCTTTTTCATCATAGGCCTCAAAGCGCTGCAAATGTCCACTTCCAAATATTACAAAAAGAGTGTTTCAAACCTGCTGTATGAAGGGAAGTGTTCAACTCTATGAGTTGAATGCAAACATCACAGAGAAGTTTCTGAGAATGCTTCTGTCTTGATTTTATATGAAGATATTCCCGTTTCCAACGAAACCTTCAAAGCTATCCAAATGTCCACTTGCAGATTCTACAAAAAGAGTGTTTCCAAAATGTTGTATCAAAAGAAAGGTTCAACTCTGTTAGTTGAGGACACACATCGCAAATAAGTTTCTGAGAATGCTTCTGTCTAGTTTTTACTTGAAGATATTTCCTTTCTCACCATAGGCCTGAAAGCGTTTGAAATGTCCGTTTGCAGATACTACAGAAAGAGTGTTTCAAACATGCTCTATGAAAGGGAATGTTCAGTTCTGTGACGTGAATGCAAACATCACAAAGAAGTTCCTGAGAATGCTTCTCCCTAGATTTTATAAGTAATCCCGTTTCCAACGAAATCCTCAAAGCTATCCAAATATCCACTTTCAGATTCCACAAAAAGAGTGTTTCAAAACTGCTCTGTAAAAAGAAAGGTTCATCTCTGTTAGTTGAATACACACATCACAAACAAGTTTCTGAGAATGTTTCTGTCTAGTTTTTATGGGAAGATATTTCCTTTTTCAACATAGGCCTCAAAGCGCTCCAAATGTCCACTTCCAGGTAGTGCACAGAGTGTTTCAAACATGCTCTATGAAAGGAAGTGTTCAACTCTATGAGTTGAATGCAAACATCACAGAGAAGTTTCTGAGAATGCTTCTGTCTTGATTTTATATGGGGATATTCCCGTTTCCAACGAAACGTTCAAAGCTATCCAAATATCAACCTGCAGATCCTACAACAAGAGTGTTTCCAAAATGCTGTATCAAAACAAAGGTTCAACTCTGTTAGTTGAGAACACACATCGCAAATAAGTTTCTGAGAATGCTTCTGTCTAGTTTTTACGTGAAGATATTTCCTTTCTCACCATAGGCCTGAAAGCGCTTGAAACTTCCGCTTGTAGATACTACAGACAGAGTGTTTCAAACATGCTCTATGAAAGGGAATGTTCAGTTCTGTGACTTGAATGCAAACATCACAAAGAAGTTCCTGAGAATGCTTCTGTCTAGATTTTATATGAAGATATCCCGTTTCCAAAGAAATCCTCAAAGGTGTCCAAATATCTACTTCCAGATTCTACAAAAAGACTGTTTCAAAACGGCTCTGTCAAAAGTAAGGTTCAACTCTGTTACTTGAGTACACACATCACAAGGAAGTTTCTGAGAATGCTTCTGTCTAGTTTTTATGGGAAGATATTTCCTTTTTCAACATAGGCCTCAAAGCGCTCCAAACGTCCACTTCCAGGTAGTGCAGAAAGAGTGTCTCAAACCTGGTATATAACAGGGAACATTCTACTCTGTGACTTGAATGAAAACATCACAAAGCAGTTTCTGAGAATGCTTCTGTCTTGATTTCATATGAAGATATTCCCGTTTCCAACGAAACCTTCAAAGCTATCCAAATATCCACTTGCAGATTCTACAAAAAGAGTGTTTCCAAAATGTTGTATCAAAAGAAAGGTTCAACTCTGTTAGTTGAGGACACACATCGCAAATAAGTTTCTGAGAATGCTTCTGTCTAGTTTTTATTTGAAGATATTTCCTTTCTCACCACAGGCCTGAAAGCGCTTAAAACGTCCGCTTGCAGATACTACAGAAAGAGTGTTTCAAACCTGCTCTATGAAAGGGAATGTTCAGTTCTGTGACTTGAATGCAAACATCACAAAGAAGTTCCTGAGAGTGCTTCTCTCTGGATTTTATATGTAATCCCGTTTCCAACGAAATCCTCAAAGCTATCCAAATATCCACTTTCAGATTCCACAAAAAGAGTGTTTCAAAACTGCTCTGTAAAAAGAAAGGTTCATCTCTGTTAGTTGAATACACACATCACAAACAAGTTTCTGAGAATGCTTCTGTCTAGTTTTTATGGGAAGATATTTCCTTTTTCAACATAGGCCTCAAAGCGCTCCAAATGTCCACTTCCAGGTAGTGCAGAAAGAGTGTTTCAAACCTGCTCTGTAAAAGGGAATATTCAACTCTGTGACTTGAATGCAAACATCACAAAGCACTTTCTGAGAATGCTTCCGTCTAGATTTTATATGAAGATATTCCCGTTTCCAAGGAAATCTTCCTAGCTATCTAAATATCAACTTGCAGATTCTACTAAAGGTATGTTTCCAAAATGCTGTATCCACACAAAGGTTCAACTCTGTTAATTGAGGACATACAGCAGAAAGAAGTTTCTGAGAATGCTTCTGTCTAGTTTTTACTTGAAGATATTTCCTTTCTCACCATAGGCCTGAAAGCGCTTGAAACGTCAGCTTGCAGATACTACAGAAAGAGTGTTTCAAACCTGCTCTATGAAAGGGAATGTTCAGTCCTGTGACTTGAAGGCCAACATCACAAAGAAGTTCCTGAGAATGCTTCTCTCTAGGTTTTATATGTAATCCCGTTTCCAACGAAATCCTCAAAGCTATCCAAATATCCACTTTCAGATTCCACAAAAAGAGTGTTTCAAAACTGCTCTGTAAAAAGAAAGGTTCATCTCTGTTAGTTGAATACACACATCACAAACAAGTTTCTGAGAATGCTTCTGTCTAGTTTTTATGGGAAGATATTTCCTTTTTCATCATAGGCCTCAAAGCGCTGCAAATGTCCACTTCCAAATATTACAAAAAGAGTGTTTCAAACCTGCTGTATGAAGGGAAGTGTTCAACTCTATGAGTTGAATGCAAACATCACAGAGAAGTTTCTGAGAATGCTTCTGTCTTGATTTTATATCAAGATATTCCCGTTTCCAACGAAACCTTCAAAGCTATCCAAATATCCACTTGCAGATTCTACAAAAAGAGTGTTTCCAAAATGTTGTATCCAAACAAAGGTTCAACTCTGTTAGTTGAGAACTCACATCGCAAATAAGTTTCTGAGAATGCTTCTGTCTAGTTTTTATTTGAAGATATTTCCTTTTTCACCACAGGCCTGAAAGCGCTTGAAACGTCAGCTTGCAGATACTACAGAAAGAGTGTTTCAAACCTGCACTATGAAAGGGAATGTTCAGTTCTGTGACTTGAATGCAAACATCACGAAGAAGTTACCTGAGAATGCTTCTCTCTAGATTTTATATGTAATCCCGTTTCCAACGAAATCCTCAAAGCTATCCAAATATCCACTTTCAGATTCCACAAAAAGAGTGTTTCAAAACTGCTCTGTAAAAAGAAAGGTTCATCTCTGTTAGTTGAATACACACATCACAAACAAGTTTCTGAGAATGCTTCTGTCTAGTTTTTATGGGAAGATATTTCCTTCTTCATCATAGGCCTCAAAGCGCTCCAAATGTCCACTTCCAGGTAGTGCAGAAAGAGTGTCTCAAACCTGGTATATAACAGGGAACATTCTACTCTGTGACTTGAATGAAAACATCACAAAGCAGTTTCTGAGAATGCTTCCGTCTAGATTTTATATGAAGATATTCCCGTTTCCAACGAAACCTTCAAAGCTATCCGAATATCCACCTGCAGATTCTACAAAAAGAGTGTTTCCAAAATGCCATATCAAAACAAAGGTTCAACTCTGTTAGTTGAGAACACACATCGCAAATAAGTTTCTGAGAATGCTTCTGTCTAGTTTTTACTTGAAGATATTTCCTTTCTCACCATAGGCCTGAAAGCGCTTGAAACGTCAGCTTGCAGATACTACAGAAAGAGTGTTTCAAACCTGCTCTATGAAAGGGAATGTTCAGTTCTGTGACTTGAATGCAAACATCACAAAGAAGTTCCTGAGAATGCTTCTCTCTAGGTTTTATATGTAATCCCGTTTCCAACGAAATCCTCAAAGCTATCCAAATATCCACTTTCAGATTCCACAAAAAGAGTGTTTCAAAACTGCTCTGTAAAAAGAAAGGTTCATCTCTGTTAGTTGAATACACACATCACAAACAAGTTTCTGAGAATGCTTCTGTCTAGTTTTTATGGGAAGATATTTCCTTTTTCAACATAGGCCTCAAAGCGCTCCAAACGTCCACTTCCAGGTAGTGCAGAAAGAGTGTCTCAAACCTGGTATATAACAGGGAACATTCTACTCTGTGACTTGAATGCAAACATCACAAAGCAGTTTCTGAGAATGCTTCCGTCTAGATTTTATATGAAGATATTCCCGTTTCCAACGAAACCTTCAAAGCTATCCGAATATCCACCTGCAGATTCTACAAAAAGAGTGTTTCCAAAATGCCGTATCAAAACAAAGGTTCAACTCTGTTAGTTGAGAACACACATGGCAAATAAGTTTCTGAGAATGCTTCTGTCTAGTTTTTATTTGAAGATATTTCCTTTTTCACCACAGGCCTGAAAGCGCTTGAAACGTCCGCTTGCAGATACTACAGAAAGAGTGTTTCAAACCTGCTCTATGAAAGGGAATGTTCAGTTCTGTGACTTGAATGCAAACATCACAAAGAAGTTCCTGAGAATGCTTCTCCCTAGATTTTATATGTCATCCCGTTTCCAACGAAATCCTCAAAGCTATCCAAATATCCACTTTCAGATTCCACAAAAAGAGTGTTTCAAAACTGCTCTGTAAAAAGAAAGGTTCATCTGTGTTAGTTGAATACACACATCACAAACAAGTTTCTGAGAATGCTTCTGTCTAGTTTCTATGGGAAGATATTTCCTTTTTCAACATAGGCCTCAAAGCGCTCCAAATGTCCACTTCCAGGTAGTGCACAGAGTGTTTCAAACCTGCTCTATAAAAGGGAACATTCTACTCTGTGACTTGAATGAAGACATCACAAAGCAGTTTCTGAGAATGCTTCCGTCGAGATTTTATATGAAGATATTCCCGTTTCCAAGGAAATCTTCCTAGCTATCTAAATATCAACATGCAGATTCTACTAAAGGAATGTTTCCAAAATGCTGTATCCACACAAAGGTTCAACTCTGTTAATTGAGGACATACAGCACAAAGAAGTTTCTGAGAATGCTTCTGTCTAGTTTTTACTTGAAGATATTTCCTTTCTCACCATAGGCCTGAAAGCGCTTGAAACGTCAGCTTGCAGATACTACAGAAAGAGTGTTTCAAACCTGCTCTATGAAAGGGAATGTTCAGTCCTGTGACTTGAAGGCAAACATCACAAAGAAGTTCCTGAGAATGCTTCTCTCTAGATTTTATATGTAATCCCGTTTCCAACGAAATCCTCAAAGCTATCCAAATATCCACTTTCAGATTCCACAAAAAGAGTGTTTCAAAACTGCTCTGTAAAAAGAAAGGTTCATCTCTGTTAGTTGAATACACACATCACAAACAAGTTTCTTAGAATGCTTCTGTCTAGTTTTTATGGGAAGATATTTCCTTTTTCAACATAGGCCTCAAAGCGCTCCAAACGTCCACTTCCGGGTAGTGCAGAAAGAGTGTCTCAAACCTGGTATATAACAGGGAACATTCTACTCTGTGACTTGAATGAAAACATCACAAAGCAGTTTCTGAGAATGCTTCCGTCTAGATTTTATATGAAGATATTCCCGTTTCCAACGAAACCTTCAAAGCTATCCGAATATCCACCTGCAGATTCTACAAAAAGAGTGTTTCCAAAATGCCATATCAAAACAAAGGTTCAACTCTGTTAGTTGAGAACACACATGGCAAATAAGTTTCTGAGAATGCTTCTGTCTAGTTTTTACTTGAAGATATTTCCTTTCTCACCATACGCCTGAAAGCGCTTGAAACGTCAGCTTGCAGATACTACAGAAAGAGTGTTTCAAACCTGCTCTATGAAAGGGAATGTTCAGTCCTGTGACTTGAAGGCAAACATCAAAAAGAAGTTCCTGAGAATGCTTCTCTCTAGGTTTTATATGTAATCCCGTTTCCAACGAAATCCTCAAAGCTATCCAAATATCCACTTTCAGATTCCACAAAAAGAGTGTTTCAAAACTGCTCTGTAAAAAGAAAGGTTCATCTCTGTTAGTTGAATACACACATCACAAACAAGTTTCTGAGAATGCTTCTGTCTGGTTTTTAGGAGAAGATATTTCCTTTTTCAACATAGGCCTCAAAGCGCTGCAAATGTCCACTTCCAAATATTAGAAAAAGAGTGTTTCAAACCTGCTGTATGAAGGGAAGTGTTCAACTCTATGAGTTGAATGCAAACATCACAGAGAAGTTTCTGAGAATGCTTCTGTCTTGATTTCATATGAAGATATTCCCGTTTCCAACGAAACCTTCAAAGCTATCCAAATATCCACTTGCAGATTCTACAAAAAGAGTGTTTCCAAAATGTTGTATCAAAAGAAAGGTTCAACTCTGTTAGTTGAGGACACACATCGCAAATAAGTTTCTGAGAATGCTTCTGTCTAGTTTTTATTTGAAGATATTTCCTTTCTCACCACAGGCCTGAAAGCGCTTAAAACGTCCGCTTGCAGATACTACAGAAAGAGTGTTTCAAACCTGCTCTATGAAAGGGAATGTTCAGTTCTGTGACTTGAATGCAAACATCACAAAGAAGTTCCTGAGAATGCTTCTCCCTAGATTTTATATGTAATCCCGTTTCCAACGAAATCCGCAAAGCTATCCAAATATCCACTTTCAGATTCCACAAAAAGAGTGTTTCAAAACTGCTCTGTAAAAAGAAAGGTTCATCTCTGTTAGTTGAATACACACATCACAAACAAGTTTCTGAGAATGCTTCTGTCTAGTTTTTATGGGAAGATATTTCCTTTTTCATCATAGGCCTCAAAGCGCTCCAAACGTCCACTTCCAGGTAGTGCAGAAAGAGTGTCTCAAACCTGGTATATAACAGGGAACATTCTACTCTGTGACTTGAATGAAGACATCACAAAGCAGTTTCTGAGAATGCTTCCGTCTAGATTTTATATGAAGATATTCCCGTTTCCAACGAAACCTTCAAAGCTATCCGAATATCCACCTGCAGATTCTACAAAAAGAGTGTTTCCAAAATGCCGTATCAAAACAAAGGTTCAACTCTGTTAGTTGAGAACACACATGGCAAATAAGTTTCTGAGAATGCTTCTGTCTAGTTTTTATTTGAAGATATTTCCTTTCTCACCACAGGCCTGAAAGCGCTTAAAACGTCCCCTTGCAGATACTACAGAAAGAGTGTTTCAAACCTGCTCTATGAAAGGGAATGTTCAGTTCTGTGACTTGAATGCAAACATCACAAAGAAGTTCCTGAGAATGCTTCTCTCTAGATTTTATATGTAATCCCGTTTCCAACGAAATCCTCAAAGCTATCCAAATATCCACTTTCAGATTCCACAAAAAGAGTGTTTCAAAACTGCTCTGTAAAAAGAAAGGTTCATCTCTGTTAGTTGAATACACACATCACAAACAAGTTTCTGAGAATGCTTCTGTCTAGTTTTTATGGGAAGATATTTCCTTTTTCATCATAGGCCTCAAAGCGCTGCAAATGTCCACTTCCAAATATTACAAAAAGAGTGTTTCAAACCTGCTGTATGAAGGGAAGTGTTCAACTCTATGAGTTGAATGCAAACATCACAGAGAAGTTTCTGAGAATGCTTCCGTCTAGATTTTATATGAAGATATTCCCGTTTCCAAGGAAATCTTCCTAGCTATCTAAATATCAACTTGCAGATTCTACTAAAGGAATGTTTCCAAAATGCTGTATCCACACAAAGGTTCCACTCTGTTAATTGAGGACATACAGCACAAAGAAGTTTCTGAGAATGCTTCTGTCTAGATTTTATATGAAGATATCCCGTTTCCAAAGAAATCCTCAAATGTATCCAAATATCTACTTCCAGATTCTACAAAAAGACTGTTTCAAAACTGCGCTGTAAAAAGAAAGGTTCATCTCTGTTAGTTGAATACACACATCACAAACAAGTTTCTGAGAATGCTTCTGTCTAGTTTTTATGGGAAGATATTTCCTTTTTCATCATAGGCCTCAAAGCGCTCCAAATGTCCACTTCCAGATAGTGCAGAAAGAGTGTCTCAAACCTGGTATATAAAAGGGAACATTCTACTCTGTGACTTCAACGAAAACATCACAAAGCAGTTTCTGAGAATGCTTCCGTCTAGATTTTATATGAAGATATTCCCGTTTCCAACGAAACCTTCAAAGCTATCCGAATATCCACCTGCAGATTCTACAAAAAGAGTGTTTCCAAAATGCCGTATCAAAACATAGGTTCAACTCTGTTAGTTGAGAACACACATGGCAAATAAGTTTCTGAGAATGCTTCTGTCTAGTTTTTACTTGAAGATATTTCCTTTCTCACCATAGGCCTGAAAGCGCTTGAAACGTCCGCTTGCAGATACTACAGAAAGAGTGTTTCAAACATGCTCTATGAAAGGGAATGTTCAGTTCTGTGACTTGAATGCAAACATCACAAAGAAGTTCCTTTGAATGCTTCTCTCTAGGTTTTATATGTAATCCCGTTTCCAACGAAATCCTCAAAGCTATCCAAATATCCACTTTCAGATTCCACAAAAAGAGTGTTTCAAAACTGCTCTGTAAAAGGAAAGGTTCATCTCTGTTAGTTGAATACACACATCACAAACAAGTTTCTGAGAATGCTTCTGTCTAGTTTTTATGGGAAGATATTTCCTTTTTCAACATAGGCCTCAAAGCGCTCCAAACGTCCACTTCCGGGTAGTACAGAAAGAGTGTCTCAAACCTGGTATATAACAGGGAACATTCTACTCTGTGACTTGAATGAAAACATCACAAAGCAGTTTCTGAGAATGCTTCCGTCTAGATTTTATATGAAGATATTCCCGTTTCCAACGAAACCTTCAAAGCTATCCGAATATCCACCTGCAGATTCTACAAAAAGAGTGTTTCCAAAATGCCGTATCAAAACAAAGGTTCAACTCTGTTAGTTGAGAACACACATGGCAAATAAGTTTCTGAGAATGCTTCTGTCTAGTTTTTACTTGAAGATATTTCCTTTCTCACCATAGGCCTGAAAGCGCTTGAAACGTCAGCTTGCAGATACTACAGAAAGAGTGTTTCAAACCTGCTCTATGAAAGGGAATGTTCAGTTCTGTGACTTGAATGCAAACATCACAAAGAAGTTCCTGAGAATGCTTCTGTCTAGATTTTATATGAAGATATCCCGTGTCCAACGAAATCCTCAATGGTATCAAAATATCCACTTGCAGATTCTACAAAAAGAGTGCTTCAAAACTGCTCTGTAAAAAGAAAGGTTCATCTCTGTTAGTTGAATACACACATCACAAACAAGTTTCTGAGAATGCTTCTGTCTGGTTTTTAGGAGAAGATATTTCCTTTTTCAACATAGGCCTCAAAGCGCTGCAAATGTCCACTTCCAAATATTAGAAAAAGAGTGTTTCAAACCTGCTGTATGAAGGGAAGTGTTCAACTCTATGAGTTGAATGCAAACATCACAGAGAAGTTTCTGAGAATGCTTCTGTCTTGATTTCATATGAAGATATTCCCGTTTCCAACGAAACCTTCAAAGCTATCCAAATATCCACTTGCAGATTCTACAAAAAGAGTGTTTCCAAAATGTTGTATCAAAAGAAAGGTTCAACTCTGTTAGTTGAGGACACACATCGCAAATAAGTTTCTGAGAATGCTTCTGTCTAGTTTTTATTTGAAGATATTTCCTTTCTCACCACAGGCCTGAAAGCGCTTAAAACGTCCGCTTGCAGATACTACAGAAAGAGTGTTTCAAACCTGCTCTATGAAAGGGAATGTTCAGTTCTGTGACTTGAATGCAAACATCACAAAGAAGTTCCTGAGAATGCTTCTCCCTAGATTTTATATGTAATCCCGTTTCCAACGAAATCCGCAAAGCTATCCAAATATCCACTTTCAGATTCCACAAAAAGAGTGTTTCAAAACTGCTCTGTAAAAAGAAAGGTTCATCTCTGTTAGTTGAATACACACATCACAAACAAGTTTCTGAGAATGCTTCTGTCTAGTTTTTATGGGAAGATATTACCTTTTTCATCATAGGCCTCAAAGCGCTGCAAATGTCCACTTCCAAATATTACAAAAAGAGTGTTTCAAACCTGCTGTATGAAGGGAAGTGTTCAACTCTATGAGTTGAATGCAAACATCACAGAGAAGTTTCTGAGAATGCTTCCGTCTTGATTTTATATGAAGATATTCCCGTTTCCAACGAAACCTTCAAAGCTATTCAAATATCCACTTGCAGATTCTACAAAAAGAGTGTTTCCAAAATGTTGTATCAAAAGAAAGGTTCAACTCTGTTAGTTGAGGACACACATCGCAAATAAGTTTCTGAGAATGCTTCTGTCTAGTTTTTACTTGAAGATATTTCCTTTCTCACCATAGGCCTGAAAGCGTTTGAAATGTCCGTTTGCAGATACTACAGAAAGAGTGTTTCAAACATGCTCTATGAAAGGGAATGTTCAGTTCTGTGACGTGAATGCAAACATCACAAAGAAGTTCCTGAGAATGGTTTCTGTCTAGATTTTATATGAAGATATCCCGTTTCCAAAGAAATCCTCAAAGGTGTCCAAATATCTACTTCCAGATTCTACAAAAAGACTGTTTCCAAACGGCTCTGTCAAAAGTGAGGTTCAACTCTGTTACCTGAGTACACACATCACAAGGAAGTTTCTGAGAATGCTTCTGTCTGGTTTTTAGGAGAAGATATTTCCTTTTTCAACATAGGCCTCAAAGCGCTGCAAATGTCCACTTCCAAATATTAGAAAAAGAGTGTTTCAAACCTGCTGTATGAAGGGAAGTGTTCAACTCTATGAGTTGAATGCAAACATCACAGAGAAGTTTCTGAGAATGCTTCTGTCTTGATTTCATATGAAGATATTCCCGTTTCCAACGAAACCTTCAAAGTTATCCAAATATCCACTTGCAGATTCTACAAAAAGAGTGTTTCCAAAATGTTGTATCAAAAGAAAGGTTCAACTCTGTTAGTTGAGGACACACATCGCAAATAAGTCTCTGAGAATGCTTCTGTCTAGTTTTTATTTGAAGATATTTCCTTTCTCACCACAGGCCTGAAAGCGCTTAAAACGTCCGCTTGCAGATACTACAGAAAGAGTGTTTCAAACCTGCTCTATGAAAGGGAATGTTCAGTTCTGTGACTTGAATGCAAACATCACAAAGAAGTTCCTGAGAATGCTTCTCTCTAGATTTTATATGTAATCCCGTTTCCAACGAAATCCTCAAAGCTATCCAAATATCCACTTTCAGATTCCACAAAAAGAGTGTTTCAAAACTGCTCTGTAAAAAGAAAGGTTCATCTCTGTTAGTTGAATACACACATCACAAACAAGTTTCTGAGAATGCTTCTGTCTAGTTTTTATGGGAAGATATTTCCTTTTTCATCATAGGCCTCAAAGCGCTCCAAATGTCCACTTCCAGGTAGTGCAGAAATAGTGTCTCAAACCTGGTATATAACAGGGAACATTCTACTCTGTGACTTGAATGAAAACATCACAAAGCAGTTTCTGAGAATGCTTCCGTCTAGATTTTATATGAAGATATTCCCGTTTCCAACGAAACCTTCAAAGCTATCCGAATATCCACCTGCAGATTCTACAAAAAGAGTGTTTCCAAAATGCCGTATCAAAACAAAGGTTCAACTCTGTTAGTTGAGAACACACATGGCAAATAAGTTTCTGAGAATGCTTCTGTCTAGTTTTTACTTGAAGATATTTCCTTTCTCACCATAGGCCTGAAAGCGTTTGAAACGTCCGTTTGCAGATACTACAGAAAGAGTGTTTCAAACATGCTCTATGAAAGGGAATGTTCAGTTCTGTGACTTGAATGCAAACATCACAAAGAAGTTTCCTGAGAGTGCTTCTCTCTAGATTTTATATGTAATCCCGTTTCCAACGAAATCCTCAAAGCTATCCAAATATCCACTTTCAGATTCCACAAAAAGAGTGTTTCAAAACTGCTCTGTAAAAAGAAAGGTTCATCTCTGTTAGTTGAATACACACATCACAAACAAGTTTCTGAGAATGCTTCTGTCTAGTTTTTATGGGAAGATATTTCCTTTTTCAACATAGGCCTCAAAGCGCTCCAAACGTCCACTTCCAGGTAGTGCAGAAAGAGTGTCTCAAACCTGGTATATAACAGGGAACATTCTACTCTGTGACTTGAATGAAAACATCACAAAGCAGTTTCTGGGAATACTTCCGTCTAGATTTTATATGAAGATATTCCCGTTTCCAACGAAACCTTCAAAGCTATCCGAATATCCACCTGCAGATTCTACAAAAAGAGTGTTTCCAAAATGCCGTATCCAAACAAAGGTTCAACTCTGTTAGTTGAGAACACACATGGCAAATAAGTTTCTGAGAATGCTTCTGTCTAGTTTTTACTTGAAGATATTTCCTTTCTCACCATAGGCCTGAAAGCGCTTGAAACGTCCGCTTGCAGATACTACAGAAAGAGTGTTTCAAACATGCTCTATGAAAGGGAATGTTCAGTTCTGTGACTTGAATGCAAACATCACAAAGAAGTTCCTGAGAATGCTTCTCTCTAGGTTTTATATGTAATCCCGTTTCCAACGAAATCCTCAAAGCTATCCAAATATCCACTTTCAGATTCCACAAAAAGAGTGTTTCAAAACTGCTCTGTAAAAAGAAAGGTTCATCTCTGTTAGTTGAATACACACATCACAAACAAGTTTCTGAGAATGCTTCTGTCTGGTTTTTAGGAGAAGATATTTCCTTTTTCAACATAGGCCTCAAAGCGCTGCAAATGTCCACTTCCAAATATTAGAAAAAGAGTGTTTCAAACCTGCTGTATGAAGAGAAGTGTTCAACTCTATGAGTTGAATGCAAACATCACAGAGAAGTTTCTGAGAATGCTTCTGTCTTGATTTCATATGAAGATATTCCCGTTTCCAACGAAACCTTCAAAGCTATCCAAATATCCACTTGCAGATTCTACAAAAAGAGTGTTTCCAAAATGTTGTATCAAAAGAAAGGTTCAACTCTGTTAGTTGAGGACACACATCGCAAATAAGTTTCTGAGAATGCTTCTGTCTAGTTTTTATTTGAAGATATTTCCTTTCTCACCACAGGCCTGAAAGCGCTTAAAACGTCCGCTGGCAGATACTACAGAAAGAGTGTTTCAAACCTGCTCTATGAAAGGGAAGGTTCAGTTCTGTGACTTGAATGCAAACATCACAAAGAAGTTCCTGAGAATGCTTCTCCCTAGATTTTATATGTAATCCCGTTTCCAACGAAATCCGCAAAGCTATCCAAATATCCACTTTCAGATTCCACAAAAAGAGTGTTTCAAAACTGCTCTGTAAAAAGAAAGGTTCATCTCTGTTAGTTGAATACACACATCACAAACAAGTTTCTGAGAATGCTTCTGTCTAGTTTTTATGGGAAGATATTTCCTTCTTCATCATAGGCCTCAAAGCGCTCCAAATGTCCACTTCCAGGTAGTGCAGAAAGAGTGTCTCAAACCTGGTATATAACGGGGAACATTCTACTCTGTGACTTGAATGAAAACATCACAAAGCAGTTTCTGAGAATGCTTCCGTCTAGATTTTATATGAAGATATTCCCGTTTCCAACGAAACGTTCAAAGCTATCCGAATATCCACCTGCAGATTCTACAAAAAGAGTGTTTCCAAAATGCCATATCAAAACAAAGGTTCAACTCTGTTAGTTGAGAACACACATCGCAAATAAGTTTCTGAGAATGCTTCTGTCCAGTTTTTACTTGAAGATATTTCCTTTCTCACCATAGGCCTGAAAGCGCTTGAAACGTCAGCTTGCAGATACTACAGAAAGAGTGTTTCAAACCTGCTCTATGAAAGGGAATGTTCAGTTCTGTGACTTGAATGCAAACATCACAAAGAAGTTCCTGAGAATGCTTCTCTCTAGGTTTTATATGTAATCCCGTTTCCAACGAAATCCTCAAAGCTATCCAAATATCCACTTTCAGATTCCACAAAAAGAGTGTTTCAAAACTGCTCTGTAAAAAGAAAGGTTCATCTCTGTTAGTTGAATACACACATCACAAACAAGTTTCTGAGAATGCTTCTGTCTAGTTTTTATGGGAAGATATTTCCTTTTTCAACATAGGCCTCAAAGCGCTCCAAACGTCCACTTCCAGGTAGTGCAGAAAGAGTGTCTCAAACCTGGTATATAACAGGGAACATTCTACTCTGTGACTTGAATGAAAACATCACAAAGCAGTTTCTGAGAATGCTTCCGTCTAGATTTTATATGAAGATATTCCCGTTTCCAACGAAACCTTCAAAGCTATCCGAATATCCACCTGCAGATTCTACAAAAAGAGTGTTTCCAAAATGCCGTATCAAAACAAAGGTTCAACTCTGTTAGTTGAGAACACACATGGCAAATAAGTTTCGGAGAATGCTTCTGTCTAGTTTTTATTTGAAGATATTTCCTTTCTCACCATAGGCCTGAAAGCGTTTGAAATGTCCATTTGCAGATACTACAGAAAGAGTGTTTCAAACATGCTCTATGAAAGGGAATGTTCAGTTCTGTGACGTGAATGCAAACATCACAAAGAAGTTCCTGAGAATGCTTCTCTCTAGATTTTATATGTAATCCCGTTTCCAACGAAATCCTCAAAGCTATCCAAATATCCACTTTCAGATTCCACAAAAAGAGTGATTCAAAACTGCTCTGTAAAAAGAAAGGTTCATCTCTGTTAGTTGAATACACACATCACAAACAAGTTTCTGAGAATGCTTCTGTCTAGTTTTTATGGGAAGATATTTCCTTTTTCATCATAGGCCTCAAAGCGCTGCAAATGTCCACTTCCAGGTAGTGCAGAAAGAGTGTCTCAAACCTGGTATATAACAGGGAACATTCTACTCTGTGACTTGAATGAAAACATCACAAAGCAGTTTCTGAGAATGCTTCCGTCTAGATTTTATATGAAGATATTCCCGTTTCCAACGAAACCTTCAAAGCTATCCGAATATCCACCTGCAGATTCTACAAAAAGAGTGTTTCCAAAATGCCATATCAAAACAAAGGTTCAACTCTGTTAGTTGAGAACACACATCGCAAATAAGTTTCTGAGAATGCTTCTGTCTAGTTTTTACTTGAAGATATTTCCTTTCTCACCATAGGCCTGAAAGCGCTTGAAACGTCAGCTTGCAGATACTACAGAAAGAGTGTTTCAAACCTGCTCTATGAAAGGGAATGTTCAGTTCTGTGACTTGAATGCAAACATCACAAAGAAGTTCCTGAGAATGCTTCTCTCTAGGTTTTATATGTAATCCCGTTTCCAACGAAATCCTCAAAGCTATCCAAATATCCACTTTCAGATTCCACAAAATGAGTGTTTCAAAACTGCTCTGTAAAAAGAAAGGTTCATCTCTGTTAGTTGAATACACACATCACAAACAAGTTTCTGAGAATGCTTCTGTCTAGTGTTTATGGGAAGATATTTCCTTTTTCAACATAGGCCTCAAAGCGCTCCAAACGTCCACTTCCAGGTAGTGCAGAAAGAGTGTCTCAAACCTGGTATATAACAGGGAACATTCTACTCTGTGACTTGAATGAAAACATCACAAAGCAGTTTCTGAGAATGCTTCCGTCTAGATTTTATATGAAGATATTCCCGTTTCCAACGAAACCTTCAAAGCTATCCGAATATCCACCTGCAGATTCTACAAAAAGAGTGTTTCCAAAATGCCGTATCAAAACAAAGGTTCAACTCTGTTAGTTGAGAACACACATCGCAAATAAGTTTCTGAGAATGCTTCTGTCTAGTTTTTACTTGAAGATATTTCCTTTCTCACCATAGGCCTGAAAGCGCTTGAAACGTCAGCTTGCAGATACTACAGAAAGAGTGTTTCAAACCTGCTCTATGAAAGGGAATGTTCAGTGCTGTGACTTGAAGGCAAACATCACAAAGAAGTTCCTGAGAATGCTTCTCTCTAGGTTTTATATGTAATCCCGTTTCCAACGAAATCCTCAAAGCTATCCAAATATCCACTTTCAGATTCCACAAAAAGAGTGTTTCAAAACTGCTCTGTAAAAAGAAAGGTTCATCTCTGTTAGTTGAATACACACATCACAAACAAGTTTCTGAGAATGCTTCTGTCTGGTTTTTAGGAGAAGATATTTCCTTTTTCATCATAGGCCTCAAAGCGCTGCAAATGTCCACTTCCAGGTAGTGCAGAAAGAGTGTCTCAAACCTGGTATATAACAGGGAACATTCTACTCTGTGACTTGAATGAAAACATCACAAAGCAGTTTCTGAGAATGCTTCCGTCTAGATTTTATATGAAGATATTCCCGTTTCCAACGAAACCTTCAAAGCTATCCGAATATCCACCTGCAGATTCTACAAAAAGAGTGTTTCCAAAATGCCATATCAAAACAAAGGTTCAACTCTGTTAGTTGAGAACACACATGGCAAATAAGTTTCTGAGAATGCTTCTGTCTAGTTTTTACTTGAAGATATTTCCTTTCTCACCATAGGCCTGAAAGCGCTTGAAACGTCAGCTTGCAGATACTACAGAAAGAGTGTTTCAAACCTGCTCTATGAAAGGGAATGTTCAGTTCTGTGACTTGAATGCAAACATCACAAAGAAGTTCCTGAGAATTCTTCTCTCTAGGTTTTATATGTAATCCCGTTTCCAACGAAATCCTCAAAGCTATCCAAATATCCACTTTCAGATTCCAAAAAAAGAGTGTTTCAAAACTGCTCTGTAAAAAGAAAGGTTCATCTCTGTTAGTTGAATACACACATCACAAACAAGTTTCTGAGAATGCTTCTGTCTAGTTTTTATGGGAAGATATTTCCTTTTTCAACATAGGCCTCAAAGCGCTCCAAATGTCCACTTCCAGGTAGTGCAGAAAGAGTGTTTCAAACCTGCTCTATAAAAGGGAATATTCAACTCTGTGACTTGAATGCAAACATCACAAAGCACTTTCTGAGAATGCTTCTGTCTAGTTTTTATTTGAAGATATTCCCGTTTCCAACGAAACCTTCAAAGCTATTCAAATATCCACTTGCAGATTCTACAAAAAGAGTGTTTCCAAAATGTTGTATCAAAAGAAAGGTTCAACTCTGTTAGTTGAGGACACACATCGCAAATAAGTTTCTGAGAATGCTTCTGTCTAGTTTTTATTTGAAGATATTTCCTTTCTCACCATACGCCTGAAAGCGTTTGAAATGTCCGTTTGCAGATACTACAGAAAGAGTGTTTCAAACATGCTCTATGAAAGGGAATGTTCAGTTCTGTGACGTGAATGCAAACATCACAAAGAAGTTCCTGAGAATGCTTCTCTCTAGGTTTTATATGTAATCCCGTTTCCAACGAAATCCTCAAAGCTATCCAAATATCCACTTTCAGATTCCACAAAAAGAGTGTTTCAAAACTGCTCTGTAAAAAGAAAGGTTCATCTCTGTTAGTTGAATACACACATCACAAACAAGTTTCTGAGAATGCTTCTGTCTAGTTTCTATGGGAAGATATTTCCTTTTTCAACATAGGCCTCAAAGCGCTCCAAATGTCCACTTCCAGGTAGTGCACAGAGTGTTTCAAACCTGCTCTATAAAAGGGAACATTCTACTCTGTGACTTGAATGAAGACATCACAAAGCAGTTTCTGGGAATGCTTCTGTCTTGATTTTATATGAAGATATTCCCGTTTCCAACGAAACCTTAAAAGCTATCCGAATATCCACCTGCAGATTCTACAAAAAGAGTGTTTCCAAAATGTTGTATCAATAGAAAGGTTCAACTCTGTTAGTTGAGGACACACATCGCAAATAAGTTTCTGAGAATGCTTCTGTCTGGTTTTTATTTGAAGATATTTCCTTTCTCACCATAGGCCTGAAAGCGCTTGGAATGTCCGTTTGCAGATACTACAGAAAGAGTGTTTCAAACCTGCTCTATGAAAGGGAATGTTCAGTTCTGTGACGAGAATGCAAACATCACAAAAAAATTCCTGAGAGTGCTCTTCTCTCTAGAATTTTATATGTAATCCCGTTTCCAACGAAATCCTCAAAGCTATCCAAATATCCACTTTCAGATTCCACAAAAAGAGTGTTTCAAAACTGCTCTGTAAAAAGAAAGGTTCATCTCTGTTAGTTGAATACACACATCACAAACAAGTTTCTGAGAATGCTTCTGTCTAGTTTTTATGGGAAGATATTTCCTTTTTCATCATAGGCCTCAAAGCGCTCCAAATGTCCACTTCCAGGTAGTGCAGAAAGAGTGTCTCAAACCTGGTATATAACAGGAAACATTCTACTCTGTGACTTGAATGAAAACATCACAAAGCACTTTCTGAAAATGCTTCCTGTCTAGATTTTATATGAAGATATTCCCGTTTCCAACGAAACCTTCAAAGCTATCCGAATATCCACCTGCAGATTCTACAAAAAGAGTGTTTCCAAAATGCCGTATCAAAACAAAGGTTCAACTCTGTTAATTGAGAACACACATGGCAAATAAGTTTCTGAGAATGCTTCTGTCTAGTTTTTACTTGAAGATATTTCCTTTGTCACCATAGGCCTGAAAGCGCTTGAAACGTCAGCTTGCAGATACTACAGAAAGAGTGTTTCAAACCTGCTCTATGAAAGGGAATGTTCAGTCCTGTGACTTGAAGGCAAACATCACAAAGAAGTTCCTGAGAATGCTTCTCTCTAGGTTTTATATGTAATCCCGTTTCCAACGAAATCCTCAAAGCTATCCAAATATCCACTTTCAGATTCCACAAAAAGTGTGTTTCAAAACTGCTCTGTAAAAAGAAAGGTTCATCTCTGTTAGTTGAATACACACATCACAAACAAGTTTCTGAGAATGCTTCTGTCTAGTTTTTATGGGAAGATATTTCCTTTTTCAACATAGGCCTCAAAGCGCTCCAAATGTCCACTTCCAGGTAGTGCAGAAAGAGTGTTTCAAACCTGCTCTATAAAAGGGAATATTCAACTCTGTGACTTGAATGCAAACATCACAAAGCACTTTCTGAGAATGCTTCTGTCTTGATTTTATATGAAGATATTCCCGTTTCCAAAGAAACCTTCAAAGCTATCCAAATATCCACTTGCAGATTCTACAAAAAGAGTGTTTCCAAAATGTTGTATCAAAAGAAAGGTTCAACTCTGTTAGTTGAGGAAACACATCGCAAACAAGTTTCTGAGAATGCTTCTGTCTAGTTTTTATTTGAAGATATTTCCTTTTTCACCACAGGCCTGAAAGCGCTTGAAACGTCAGCTTGCAGATACTACAGAAAGAGTGTTTCAAACCTGCTCCAAGAAAGGGAATGTTCAGTTCTGTGACTTGAATGCAAACATCACAAAGAAGTTCCTGAGAATGCTTCTCCCTAGATTTTATATGTAATCCCGTTTCCAACGAAATCCTCAAAGCTATCCAAATATCCACTTTCGGATTCCACAAAAAGAGTGTTTCAAAACTACTCTGTAAAAAGAAAGGTTCATCTCTGTTAGTTGAATACACACATCACAAACAAGTTTCTGAGAATGCTTCTGTCTAGTTTTTATGGGAAGATATTTCCTTTTTCATCATAGGCCTCAAAGCGCTGCAAATGTCCACTTCCAAATATTACAAAAAGAGTGTTTCAAACCTGCAGTATGAAGGGAAGTGTTCAACTCTGTGAGTTGAATGCAAACATCACAGAGAAGTTTCTGAGGATGCTTCTGTCTTGATTTCATATGAAGATATTCCCGTTTCCAACGAAACCTTCAAAGCTATCCAAATATCCACTTGCAGATTCTACAAAAAGAGTGTTTCCAAAATGTTGTATCAAAAGAAAGGTTCAACTCTGTTAGTTGAGGACACACATCGCAAATAAGTTTCTGAGAATGCTTCTGTCTAGTTTTTATTTGAAGATATTTCCTTTCTCACCACAGGCCTGAAAGCGCTTAAAACGTCCGCTTGCAGATACTACAGAAAGAGTGTTTCAAACATGCTCTATGAAAGGGAATGTTCAGTTCTGTGACTTGAATGCAAACATCACAAAGAAGTTCCTGAGAATGCTTCTCCCTAGATTTTATATGTAATCCCGTTTCCAACGAAATCAGCAAAGCTATCCAAATATCCACTTTCAGATTCCACAAAAAGAGTGTTTCAAAACTGCTCTGTAAAAAGAAAGGTTCATCTCTGTTAGTTGAATACACACATCACAAACAAGTTTCTGAGAATGCTTCTGTCTAGTTTTTATGGGAAGATATTTCCTTTTTCAACATAGGCCTCAAAGCGCTCCAAACGTCCACTTCCAGGTAGTGCAGAAAGAGTGTCTCAAACCTGGTATATAACAGGGAACATTCTACTCTGTGACTTGAATGAAAACATCACAAAGCAGTTTCTGAGAATGCTTCTGTCTTGATTTCATATGAAGATATTCCCGTTTCCAACGAAACCTTCAAAGCTATCCAAATATCCACTTGCAGATTCTACAAAAAGAGTGTTTCCAAAATGTTGTATCAAAAGAAAGGTTCAACTCTGTTAGTTGAGGACACACATCGCAAATAAGTTTCTGAGAATGCTTCTGTCTAGTTTTTATTTGAAGATATTTCCTTTCTCACCACAGGCCTGAAAGCGCTTAAAACGTCCGCTTGCAGATACTACAGAAAGAGTGTTTCAAACCTGCTCTATGAAAGGGAATGTTCAGTTCTGTGACTTGAATGCAAACATCACAAAGAAAGTTCCTGAGAATGCTTCTCTCTAGATTTTATATGTAATCCCGTTTCCAACGAAATCCTCAAAGCTATCCAAATATCCACTTTCAGATTCCACAAAAAGAGTGTTTCAAAACTGCTCTGTAAAAAGAAAGGTTCATCTCTGTTAGTTGAATACACACATCACAAACAAGTTTCTGAGAATGCTTCTGTCTAGTTTTTATGGGAAGATATTTCCTTTTTCATCATAGGCCTCAAAGCGCTGCAAATGTCCACTTCCAGGTAGTGCAGAAAGAGTGTCTCAAACCTCGTATATAACAGGGAACATTCTACTCTGTGACTTGAATGAAAACATCACAAAGCAGTTTCTGAGAATGCTTCCGTCTAGATTTTATATGAAGATATTCCCGTTTCCAACGAAACCTTCAAAGCTATCCGAATATCCACCTGCAGATTCTACAAAAAGAGTGTTTCCAAAATGCCATATCAAAACAAAGGTTCAACTCTGTTAGTTGAGAACACACATCGCAAATAAGTTTCTGAGAATGCTTCTGTCTAGTTTTTACTTGAAGAAATTTCCTTTCTCACCATAGGCCTGAAAGCGCTTGAAACGTCAGCTTGCAGATACTACAGAAAGAGTGTTTCAAACCTGCTCTATGAAAGGGAATGTTCAGTTCTGTGACTTGAATGCAAACATCGCAAAGAAGTTCCTGAGAATGCTTCTCTCTAGGTTTTATATGTAATCCCGTTTCCAACGAAATCCGCAAAGCTATCCAAAAATCCACTTTCAGATTCCACAAAAAGAGTGTTTCAAAACTGCTCTGTAAAAAGAAAGGTTCATCTCTGTTAGTTGAATACACACATCACAAACAAGTTTCTGAGAATGCTTCTGTCTAGTTTTTATGGGAAGATATTTCCTTTTTCAACATAGGCCTCAAAGCGCTCCAAATGTCCACTTCCAGGTAGTGCAGAAAGAGTGTTTCAAACCTGCTCTATAAAAGGGAATATTCAACTCTGTGACTTGAATGCAAACATCACAAAGCACTTTCTGAGAATGCTTCCGTCTAGATTTTATATGAAGATATTCCCGTTTCCAAGGAAATCTTCCTAGCTATCTAAATATCAACTTGCAGATTCTACTAAAGGAATGTTTCCAAAATGCTGTATCCACACAAAGGTTCAACTCTGTTAATTGAGGACATACAGCACAAAGAAGTTTCTGAGAATGCTTCTGTCTGGTTTTTAGGAGAAGATATTTCCTTTTTCAACATAGGCCTCAAAGCGCTGCAAATGTCCACTTCCAAATATTACAAAAAGAGTGTTTCAAACCTGCTCTATGAAGGGAAGTGTTCACCTCTATGAGTTGAATGCAAACATCACAGAGAAGTTTCTGAGAATGCTTCTCTCTAGATTTTATATGTAATCCCGTTTCCAACGAAATCCTCAAAGCTATCCAAATATGCACTTTCAGATTCCACAAAAAGAGTGTTTCAAAACTGCTCTGTAAAAAGAAAGGTTCATCTCTGTTAGTTGAATACACACATCACAACCAAGTTTCTGAGAATGCTTCTGTCTAGTTTTTATGGGAAGATATTTCCTTTTTCATCATAGGCCTCAAAGCGCTCCAAATGTCCACTTCCAGATAGTGCAGAAAGAGTGTCTCAAACCTGGTATATAAAAGAGAACATTCTACTCTGTGACTTGAATGAAAACATCACAAAGCAGTTTCTGAGAATGCTTCCGTCTAGATTTTATATGAAGATATTCCCGTTTCCAACGAAACCTTCAAAGCTATCCGAATATCCACCTGCAGATTCTACAAAAAGAGTGTTTCCAAAATGCCGTATCAAAACAAAGGTTCAACTCTGTTAGTTGAGAACACACATGGCAAATAAGTTTCTGAGAATGCTTCTGTCTAGTTTTTAATTGAAGATATTTCCTTTCTCACCATAGGCCTGAAAGCGCTTGAAACGTCAGCTTGCAGATACTACAGAAAGAGTGTTTCAAACCTGCTCTATGAAAGGGAATGTTCAGTCCTGTGACTTGAAGGCAAACATCACAAAGAAGTTCCTGAGAATGCTTCTCTCTAGGTTTTATATGTAATCCCGTTTCCAACGAAATCCTCAAAGCTATCCAAATATCCACTTTCAGATTCCACAAAAAGAGTGTTTCAAAACTGCTCTGTAAAAAGAAAGGTTCATCTCTGTTAGTTGAATACACACATCACAAACAAGTTTCTGAGAATGCTTCTGTCTAGTTTTTATGGGAAGATATTTCCTTTTTCAACATAGGCCTCAAAGCGCTCCAAATGTCCACTTCCAGGTAGTGCAGAAAGAGTGTTTCAAACCTGCTCTATAAAAGGGAATATTCAACTCTGTGACTTGAATGCAAACATCACAAAGCACTTTCTGAGAATGCTTCCGTCTAGATTTTATATGAAGATATTCCCGTTTCCAAGGAACTCTTCCTAGCTATCTAAATATCAACTTGCAGATTCTACTAAAGGAATGTTTCCAAAATGCTGTATCCACACAAAGGTTCAACTCTGTTAATTGAGGACATACAGCACAAAGAAGTTTCTGAGAATGCTTCCGTCAAGGTTTTATATGAAGATATTCCCGTTTCCAACGAAACCTTCAAAGCTATCCGAATATCCACCTGCAGATTCTACAAAAAGAGTGTTTCCAAAATGCCGTATCAAAACAAAGGTTCAACTCTGTTAGTTGAGAACACACATGGCAAATAAGTTTCTGAGAATGCTTCTGTCTAGTTTTTACTTGAAGATATTTCCTTTCTCACCATAGGCCTGAAAGCGCTTGAAACGTCAGCTTGCAGATACTACAGAAAGACTGTTTCAAACCTGCTCTATGAAAGGGAATGTTCAGTTCTGTGACTTGAATGCAAACATCACAAAGAAGTTCCTGAGAATGCTTCTCTCTAGATTTTATATGTAATCCCGTTTCCAACAAAATCCTCAAAGCTATCCAAATATCCACTTTCAGATTCCACAAAAAGAGTGTTTCAAAACTGCTCTGTAAAAACAAAGGTTCATCTCTGTTAGTTGAATACACACATCACAAACAAGTTTCTGAGAATGCTTCTGTCTAGTTTTTATGGGAAGATATTTCCTTTTTCAACATAGGCCTCAAAGCGCTCCAAACGTCCACTTCCAGGTAGTGCAGAAAGAGTGTCTCAAACCTGGTATATAACAGGGAACATTCTACTCTGTGACTTGAATGAAAACATCACAAAGCAGTTTCTGAGAATGCTTCCGTCTAGATTTTATATGAAGATATTCCCGTTTCCAACGAAACCTTCAAAGCTATCCGAATATCCACCTGCAGATTCTACAAAAAGAGTGTTTCCAAAATGCCATATCAAAACAAAGGTTCAACTCTGTTAGTTGAAAACACACATGGCAAATAAGTTTCTGAGAATGCTTCTGTCTAGTTTTTACTTGAAGATATTTCCTTTGTCACCATAGGCCTGAAAGCGCTTGAAACGTCAGCTTGCAGATACTACAGAAAGAGTGTCTCAAACCTGCTCTATGAAAGGGAATGTTCAGTCCTGTGACTTGAAGGCAAACATCACAAAGAAGTTCCTGAGAATGCTTCTCTCTAGGTTTTATATGTAATCCCGTTTCCAACGAAATCCTCAAAGCTATCCAAATATCCACTTTCAGATTCCACAAAAAGAGTGTTTCAAAACTGCTCTGTAAAAAGAAAGGTTCATCTCTGTTAGTTGAATACACACATCACAAACAAGTTTCTGAGAATGCTTCTGTCTAGTTTTTATGGGAAGATATTTCCTTTTTCAACATAGGCCTCAAAGCGCTCCAAATGTCCACTTCCAGGTAGTGCAGAAAGAGTGTTTCAAACCTGCTCTATAAAAGGGAATATTCAACTCTGTGACTTGAATGCAAACATCACAAAGCACTTTCTGAGAATGCTTCCGTCTAGATTTTATATGAAGATATTCCCGTTTCCAACGAAACCTTCAAAGCTATCCGAATATCCACCTGCAGATTCTACAAAAAGAGTGTTTCCAAAATGCCAGTATCCAAACAAAGGTTCAACTCTGTTAGTTGAGAACACACATGGCAAATAAGTTTCTGAGAATGCTTCTGTCTAGTTTTTACTTGAAGATATTTCCTTTCTCACCATAGGCCTGAAAGCGCTTGAAACGTCCGCTTGCGGATACTACAGAAAGAGTGTTTCAAACATGCTCTATGAAAGGGAATGTTCAGTTCTGTGACTTGAATGCAAACATCACAAAGCACTTTCTGAGAATGCTTCTCTCTAGGTTTTATATGTAATCCCGTTTCCAACGAAATCCTCAAAGCTATCCAAATATCCACTTTCAGATTCCACAAAAAGAGTGTTTCAAAACTGCTCTGTAAAAAGAAAGGTTCATCTCTGTTAGTTGAATACACACATCACAAACAAGTTTCTGAGAATGCTTCTGTCTGGTTTTTAGGAGAAGATATTTCCTTTTTCAACATAGGCCTCAAAGCGCTGCAAATGTCCACTTCCAAATATTAGAAAAAGAGTGTTTCAAACCTGCTGTATGAAGGGAAGTGTTCAACTCTATGAGTTGAATGCAAACATCACAGAGAAGTTTCTGAGAATGCTTCTGTCTTGATTTCATATGAAGATATTCCCGTTTCCAACGAAACCTTCAAAGCTATCCAAATATCCACTTGCAGATTCTACAAAAAGAGTGTTTCCAAAATGTTGTATCAAAAGAAAGGTTCAACTCTGTTAGTTGAGGACACACATCGCAAATAAGTTTCTGAGAATGCTTCTGTCTAGTTTTTATTTGAAGATATTTCCTTTCTCACCACAGGCCTGAAAGCGCTTAAAACGTCCGCTTGCAGATACTACAGAAAGAGTGTTTCAAACCTGCTCTATGAAAGGGAATGTTCAGTTCTGTGACTTGAATGCAAACATCACAAAGAAGTTCCTGAGAATGCTTCTCCCTAGATTTTATATGTAATCCCGTTTCCAACGAAATCCGCAAAGCTATCCAAATATCCACTTTCAGATTCCACAAAAAGAGTGTTTCAAAACTGCTCTGTAAAAAGAAAGGTTCATCTCTGTTAGTTGAATACACACATCACAAACAAGTTTCTGAGAATGCTTCTGTCTAATTTTTATGGGAAGATATTTCCTTTTTCAACATACGCCTCAAAGCGCTCCAAACGTCCACTTCCAGGTAGTGCAGAAAGAGTGTCTCAAACCTGGTATATAACAGGGAACATTCTACTCTGTGACTTGAATGAAAACATCACAAAGCAGTTTCTGAGAATGCTTCCGTCTAGATTTTATATGAAGATATTCCCGTTTCCAACGAAACCTTCAAAGCTATCCGAATATCCACCTGCAGATTCTACAAAAAGAGTGTTTCCAAAATGCCGTATCAAAACAAAGGTTCAACTCTGTTAGTTGAGAACACACATGGCAAATAAGTTTCTGACAATGCTTCTGTCTAGTTTTTACTTGAAGATATTTCCTTTCTCACCATAGGCCTGAAAGCGCTTGAAACGTCAGCTTGCAGATACTACAGAAAGAGTGTTTCAAACCTGCTCTATGAAAGGGAATGTTCAGTTCTGTGACTTGAATGCAAACATCACAAAGAAGTTCCTGAGAATTCTTCTCTCTAGGTTTTATATGTAATCCCGTTTCCAACGAAATCCTCAAATCTATCCAAATATCCACTTTCAGATTCCACAAAAAGAGTGTTTCAAAACTGCTCTGTAAAAAGAAAGGTTCATCTCTGTTAGTTGAATACACACATCACAAACAAGTTTCTGAGAATGCTTCTGTCTAGTTTTTATGGGAAGATATTTCCTTTTTCAACATAGGCCTCAAAGCGCTCCAAATGTCCACTTCCAGGTAGTGCAGAAAGAGTGTTTCAAACCTGCTCTATAAAAGGGAATATTCAACTCTGTGACTTGAATGCAAACATCACAAAGCACTTTCTGAGAATGCTTCCGTCTAGATTTTATATGAAGATATTCCCGTTTCCAAGGAAATCTTCCTAGCTATCTAAATATCAACTTGCATATCCTACTAAAGGAGTGTTTCCAAAATGCTGTATCCACACAAAGGTTCAACTCTGTTAATTGAGGACATACAGCACAAAGAAGTTTCTGAGAATGCTTCTGTCTAGTTTTTATTTGAAGATATTTCCTTTTTCACCACAGGCCTGAAAGCGCTTGAAACGTCCGCTTGCAGATACTACAGAAAGAGTGTTTCAAAGCTGCTCTATGAAAGGGAATGTTCAGTTTTGTGACTTGAATGCAAACATCACAAAGAAGTTCCTGAGAATGCTTCTCCCTAGATTTTATATGTAATCCCGTTTCCAACGAAATCCTCAAAGCTATCCAAATATCCACTTTCAGATTCCACAAAAAGAGTGTTTCAAAACTGCTCTGTAAAAAGAAAGGTTCATCTCTGTTAGTTGAATACACACATCACAAACAAGTTTCTGAGAATGCTTCTGTCTAGTTTTTATTGGAAGATATTTCCTTTTTCAACATAGGCCTCAAAGCGCTCCAAACGTCCACTTCCAGGTAGTGCACAGAGTGTTTCAAACCTGCTCTATGAAAGGTAGTGTTCAACTCTATGAGTTGAATGCAAACATCACAGAGAAGTTTCTGAGAATGCTTCTGTCTTGATTTTATATGAAGATATTCCCGTTTCCAACGAAACCTTCAAAGCTATCCAAATATCCACTTGCAGATTCTACAAAAAGAGTGTTTCCAAAATGTTGTATCAAAAGAAAGGTTCAACTCTGTTAGTTGAGGACACACATCGCAAATAAGTTTCTGAGAATGCTTCTGTCTAGTTTTTATTTGAAGATATTTCCTTTCTCACCATAGGCCTGAAAGCGTTTGAAATGTCCGTTTGCAGATACTACAGAAAGAGTGTTTCAAACATGCTCTATGAAAGGGAATGTTCAGTTCTGTGACTTCAATGCAAACATCACAAAGAAGTTCCTGAGAATGCTTCTCTCTAGGTTTTATATGTAATCCCGTTTCCAACGAAATCCTCAAAGCTATCCAAATATCCACTTTCAGATTCCACAAAAAGAGTGTTTCAAAACTGCTCTGTAAAAAGAAAGGTTCATCTCTGTTAGTTGAATACACACATCACAAACAAGTTTCTGAGAATGCTTCTGTCTGGTTTTTAGGAGAAGATATTTCCTTTTTCAACATAGGCCTCAAAGCGCTGCAAATGTCCACTTCCAAATATTAGAAAAAGAGTGTTTCAAACCTGCTGTATGAAGGGAAGTGTTCAACTCTATGAGTTGAATGCAAACATCACAGAGAAGTTTCTGAGAATGCTTCTGTCTTGATTTCATATGAAGATATTCCCGTTTCCAACGAAACCTTCAAAGCTATCCAAATATCCACTTGCAGATTCTACAAAAAGAGTGTTTCCAAAATGTTGTATCAAAAGAAAGGTTCAACTCTGTTAGTTGAGGACACACATCGCAAATAAGTTTCTGAGAATGCTTCTGTCTAGTTTTTATTTGAAGATATTTCCTTTCTCACCACAGGCCTGAAAGCGCTTAAAACGTCCGCTTGCAGATACTACAGAAAGAGTGTTTCAAACCTGCTCTATGAAAGGGAATGTTCAGTTCTGTGACTTGAATGCAAACATCACAAAGAAGTTCCTGAGAATGCTTCTCCCTAGATTTTATATGTAATCCCGTTTCCAACGAAATCCGTAAAGCTATCCAAATATCCACTTTCAGATTCCACAAAAAGAGTGTTTCAAAACTGCTCTGTAAAAAGAAAGGTTCATCTCCGTTAGTTGAATACACACATCACAAACAAGTTTCTGAGAATGCTTCTGTCTGGTTTTTAGGAGAAGATATTTCCTTTTTCAACATAGGCCTCAAAGCGCTGCAAATGTCCACTTCCAAATATTACAAAAAGAGTGTTTCAAACCTGCTGTATGAAGGGAAGTGTTCAACTCTATGAGTTGAATGCAAACATCACAGAGAAGTTTCTGAGAATGCTTCTGTCTTGATTTTATATGAAGATATTCCCGTTTCCAACGAAACCTTCAAAGCTATTCAAATATCCACTTGCAGATTCTACAAAAAGAGTGTTTCCAAAATGTTGTATCAAAAGAAAGGTTCAACTCTGTTAGTTGAGGACACACATCGCAAATAAGTTTCTGAGAATGCTTCTGTCTAGTTTTTATTTGAAGATATTTCCTTTCTCACCACAGGCCTGAAAGCGCTTAAAACGTCCGCTTGCAGATACTACAGAAAGAGTGTTTCAAACATGCTCTATGAAAGGGAATGTTCAGTTCTGTGACTTGAATGCAAACATCACAAAGAAGTTCCTGAGAATGCTTCTCTCTAGGTTTTATATGTAATCCCGTTTCCAACGAAATCCTCAAAGCTATCCAAATATCCACTTTCAGATTCCACAAAAAGAGTGTTTCAAAACTGCTCTGTAAAAAGAAAGGTTCATCTCTGTTAGTTGAATACACACATCACAAACAAGTTTCTGAGAATGCTTCTGTCTAGTTTTTATGGGAAGATATTTCCTTTTTCAACATAGGCCTCAAAGCGCTCCAAACGTCCACTTCCAGGTAGTGCAGAAAGAGTGTCTCAAACCTGGTATATAACAGGGAACATTCTACTCTGTGACTTGAATGCAAACATCACAAAGCAGTTTCTGAGAATGCTTCCGTCTAGATTTTATATGAAGATATTCCCGTTTCCAACGAAACCTTCAAAGCTATCCGAATATCCACCTGCAGATTCTACAAAAAGAGTGTTTCCAAAATGCCGTATCAAAACAAAGGTTCAACTCTGTTAGTTGAGAACACACATGGCAAATAAGTTTCTGAGAATGCTTCTGTCTAGTTTTTACTTGAAGATATTTCCTTTCTCACCATAGGCCTGAAAGCGCTTGAAACGTCAGCTTGCAGATACTACAGAAAGAGTGTTTCAAACCTGCTCTATGAAAGGGAATGTTCAGTCCTGTGACTTGAAGGCAAACATCACAAAGGAGTTCCTGAGAATGCTTCTCTCTAGGTTTTATATGTAATCCCGTTTCCAACGAAATCCTCAAAGCTATCCAAATATCCACTTTCAGATTCCACAAAAAGAGTGTTTCAAAACTGCTCTGTAAAAAGAAAGGTTCATCTCTGTTAGTTGAATACACACATCACAAACAAGTTTCTGAGAATGCTTCTGTCTAGTTTTTATGGGAAGATATTTCCTTTTTCAACATAGGCCTCAAAGAGCTCCAAATGTCCACTTCCAGGTAGTGCAGAAAGAGTGTTTCAAACCCGCTCTATAAAAGGGAATATTCAACTCTGTGACTTGAATGCAAACATCACAAAGCACTTTCTGAGAATGCTTCTGTCTTGATTTTATATGAAGATATTCCCGTTTCCAACGAAACCTTCAAAGCTATTCAAATATCCACTTGCAGATTCTACAAAAAGAGTGTTTCCAAAATGTTGTATCAAAAGAAAGGTTCAACTGTGTTAGTTGAGGACACACATCGCAAATAAGTTTCTGAGAATGCTTCTGTCTAGTTTTTATTTGAAGATATTTCCTTTCTCACCACAGGCCTGAAAGCGCTTAAAACGTCCGCTTGGAGATACTACAGAAAGAGTGTTTCAAAACCTGCTCTATGAAAGGGAATGTTCAGTTCTGTGACTTGAATGCAAACATCACAAAGAAGTTCCTGAGAATGCTTCTCTCTAGATTTTATATGTAATCCCGTTTCCAACGAAATCCTCAAAGCTATCCAAATATCCACTTTCAGATTCCACAAAAAGAGTGTTTCAAAACTGCTCTGTAAAAAGAAAGGTTCATCTCTGTTAGTTGAATACACACATCACAAACAAGTTTCTGAGAATGCTTCTGTCTAGTTTTTATGGGAAGATATTTCCTTTTTCAACATAGGCCTCAAGCGCTCCAAACGTCCACTTCCAGGTAGTGCAGAAAGAGTGTCTCAAACCTGGTATATAACAGGGAACATTCTACTCTGTGACTTGAATGAAAACATCACAAAGCAGTTTCTGAGAATGCTTCCGTCTAGATTTTATATGAAGATATTCCCGTTTCCAACGAAACCTTCAAAGCTATCCGAATATCCACCTGCAGATTCTACAAAAAGAGTGTTTCCAAAATGCCGTATCAAAACAAAGGTTCAACTCTGTTAGTTGAGAACACACATGGCAAATAAGTTTCTGAGAATGCTTCTGTCTAGTTTTTACTTGAAGATATTTCCTTTCTCACCATAGGCCTGAAAGCGCTTGAAACGTCAGCTTGCAGATACTACAGAAAGAGTGTTTCAAACCTGCTCTATGAAAGGGAATGTTCAGTCCTGTGACTTGAAGGCAAACATCACAAAGAAGTTCCTGAGAATGCTTCTCTCTAGATCTTATATGTAATCCCGTTTCCTACGAAATCCTCAAAGCTATCCAAATATCCACTTTCAGATTCCACAAAAAGAGTGTTTCAAAACTGCTCTGTAAAAAGAAAGGTTCATCTCTGTTAGTTGAATACACACATCACAAACAAGTTTCTGAGAATGCTTCTGTCTGGTTTTTAGGAGAAGATATTTCCTTTTTCAACATACGCCTCAAAGCGCTGCAAATGTCCACTTCCAAATATTACAAAAAGAGTGTTTCAAACCTGCTGTATGAAGGGAAGTGTTCAACTCTATGAGTTGAATGCAAACTTCACAGAGAAGTTTCTGAGAATGCTTCCGTCTAGATTTTATATGAAGATATTCCCGTTTCCAAGGAAATCTTCCTAGCTATCTAAATATCAACTTGCAGATTCTACTCAAGGAATGTTTCCAAAATGCTGTATCGAAACAAAGGTTCAACTCTGTTAATTGAGGACATACAGCACAAAGAAGTTTCTGAGAATGCTTCTGTCTGGTTTTTAGGAGAAGATATCTCCTTTTTCACCATAGGCTTCAAAGCGCTGCCAATGTCCACTTCCAAATATTACAAAAAGAGTATTTCAAACCAGCTCTATGAAAGGAAGTGTTCAACTCTATGAGTTGAATGCAAACATCACAGAGAAGTTTCTGAGAATGCTTCTCTCTAGATTTTATATGTAATCCCGTTTCCAACGAAATCCTCAAAGCTATCCAAATATCCACTTTCAGATTCCACAAAAAGAGTGTTTCAAAACTGCTCTGTAAAAAGAAAGGTTCATCTCTGTTAGTTGAATACACACATCACAAACAAGTTTCTGAGAATGCTTCTGTCTAGTTTTTATGGGAAGATATTTCCTTTTTCAACATACGCCTCAAAGCGCTCCAAACGTCCACTTCCGGGTAGTGCAGAAAGAGTGTCTCAAACCTGGTATATAACAGGGAACATTCTACTCTGTGACTTGAATGAAAACATCACAAAGCAGTTTCTGAGAATGCTTCCGTCTAGATTTTATATGAAGATATTCCCGTTTCCAACGAAACCTTCAAAGCTATCCGAATATCCACCTGCAGATTCTACAAAAAGAGTGTTTCCAAAATGCCATATCAAAACAAAGGTTCAACTCTGTTAGTTGAGAACACACATCGCAAATAAGTTTCTGAGAATGCTTCTGTCTAGTTTTTACTTGAAGATATTTCCTTTCTCACAATAGGCCTGAAAGCGTTTGAAATGTCCGTTTGCAGATACTACAGAAAGAGTGTTTCAAACATGCTCTATGAAAGGGAATGTTCAGTTCTGTGACTTGAATGCAAACATCACAAAGAAGTTCCTGAGAGTGCTTCTCCCTAGATTTTATATGTAATCCCGTTTCCAACGAAATCCGCAAAGCTATCCAAATATCCACTTTCAGATTCCACAAAAAGAGTGTTTCAAAACTGCTCTGTAAAAAGAAAGGTTCATCTCTGTTAGTTGAATACACACATCACAAACAAGTTTCTGAGAATGCTTCTGTCTAGTTTTTATGGGAAGATATTTCCTTTTTCATCATAGGCCTCAAAGCGCTGCAAATGTCCACTTCCAGGTAGTGTAGAAAGAGTGTCTGAAACCTGGTATATAACAGGGAAGATTCTACTCTGTGACTTGAATGAAAACATCACAAAGCAGTTTCTGAGAATGCTTCCGTCTAGATTTTATATGAAGATATTCCCGTTTCCAACGAAACCTTCAAAGCTATCCGAATATCCACCTGCAGATTCTAGAAAAAGAGTGTTTCCAAAATGCCGTATCAAAACAAAGGTTCAACTCTGTTAGTTGAGAACACACATGGCAAATAAGTTTCTGAGAATGCTTCTGTCTAGTTTTTACTTGAAGATATTTCCTTTCTCACCATAGGCCTGAAAGCGCTTGAAACGTCAGCTTGCAGATACTACAGAAAGAGTGTTTCAAACCTGCTCTATGAAAGGGAATGTTCAGTCCTGTGACTTGAAGGCAAACATCACAAAGAAGTTCCTGAGAATGCTTCTCTCTAGGTTTTATATGTAATCCCGTTTCCAACGAAATCCTCAAAGCTATCCAAATATCCACTTTCAGATTCCACAAAAAGAGTGTTTCAAAACTGCTCTGTAAAAAGAAAGGTTCATCTCTGTTAGTTGAATACACACATCACAAACAAGTTTCTGAGAATGCTTCTGTCTAGTTTTTATGGGAAGATATTTCCTTTTTCAACATAGGCCTCAAAGCGCTCCAAATGTCCACTTCCAGGTAGTGCAGAAAGAGTGTTTCAAACCTGCTCTATAAAAGGGAATATTCAACTCTGTGACTTGAATGCAAACATCACAAAGCACTTTCTGAGAATGCTTCTGTCTTGATTTCATATGAAGATATTCCCGTTTCCAACGAAACCTTCAAAGCTATCCAAATATCCACTTGCAGATTCTACAAAAAGAGTGTTTCCAAAATGTTGTATCAAAAGAAAGGTTCAACTCTGTTAGTTGAGGACACACATCGCAAATAAGTTTCTGAGAATGCTTCTGTCTAGTTTTTATGGGAAGATATTTCCTTTTTCATCATAGGCCTCAAAGCGCTGAAAATGTCCACTTCCAAATATTACAAAGAGAGTGTTTCAATCCTGCTGTATGAAGGGAAGTGTTCAACTCTATGAGTTGAATGCAAACATCACAGAGAAGTTTCTGAGAATGCTTCTCTCTAGATTTTATATGTAATCCCGTTTCCAACGAAATCCTCAAAGCTATCCAAATATCCACTTTCAGATTCCACAAAAAGAGTGTTTCAAAACTGCTCTGTAAAAAGAAAGGTTCATCTCTGTTAGTTGAATACACACATCACAAACAAGTTTCTGAGAATGCTTCTGTCTAGTTTTTATGGGAAGATATTTCCTTTTTCATCATAGGCCTCAAAGCGCTCCAAATGTCCACTTCCAGGTAGTGCAGAAAGAGTGTCTCAAACCTGGTATATAACAGGGAACATTCTACTCTGTGACTTGAATGAAAACATCACAAAGCAGTTTCTGAGAATGCTTCCGTCTAGATTTTATATGAAGATATTCCCGTTTCCAACGAAACCTTCAAAGCTATCCGAATATCCACCTGCAGATTCTACAAAAAGAGTGTTTCCAAAATGCCGTATCAAAACAAAGGTTCAACTCTGTTAGTTGAGAACACACATGGCAAATAAGTTTCTGAGAATGCTTCTGTCTAGTTTTTACTTGAAGATATTTCCTTTCTCACCATAGGCCTGAAAGCGCTTGAAACGTCAGCTTGCAGATACTACAGAAAGAGTGTTTCAAACCTGCTCTATGAAAGGGAATGTTCAGTCCTGTGACTTGAAGGCAAACATCACAAAGAAGTTCCTGAGAATGCTTCTCTCTAGGTTTTATATGTAATCCCGTTTCCAACGAAATCCTCAAAGCTATCCAAATATCCACTTTCAGATTCCACAAAAAGAGTGTTTCAAAACTGCTCTGTAAAAAGAAAGGTTCATCTCTGTTAGTTGAATACACACATCACAAACAAGTTTCTGAGAATGCTTCTGTCTAGTTTTTATGGGATGATATTTCGTTTTTCAACATAGGCCTCAAAGCGCTCCAAATGTCCACTTCCAGGTAGTGCAGAAAGAGTGTTTCAAACCTGCTCTATAAAAGGGAATATTCAACTCTGTGACTTGAATGCAAACATCACAAAGCACTTTCTGAGAATGCTTCCGTCTAGATTTTATATGAAGATATTCCCGTTTCCAAGGAAATCTTCCTAGCTATCTAAATATCAACTTGCAGATTCTACTAAAGGAATGTTTCCAAAATGCTGTATCCACACAAAGGTTCAACTCTGTTAATTGAGGACATACAGCACAAAGAAGTTTCTGAGAATGCTTCTGTCTAGTTTTTACTTGCAGAAATTTCCTTTCTCACCGTAGGCCTGAAAGCGCTTGAAACGTCAGCTTGCAGATACTACAGAAAGAGTGTTTCAAACCTGCTCTATGAAAGGGAATGTTCAGTTCTGTGACTTGAATGCAAACATCGCAAAGTAGTTCCTGAGAATGCTTCTCCCTAGATTTTATATGTAATACCGTTTCCAACGAAATCCTCAAAGCTATCCAAATATCCACTTTCAGATTCCACAAAAAGAGTGTTTCAAAACTGCTCTGTAAAAGGAAAGGTTCATCTCTGTTAGCTGAATACACACATCACAAACAAGTTTCTGAGAATGCTTCTGTCTGGTTTTTAGGAGAAGATATTTCCTTTTTCAACATAGGCCTCAAAGCGCTGCAAATGTCCACTTCCAAATATTAGAAAAAGAGTGTTTCAAACCTGCTGTATGAAGGGAAGTGTTCAACTCTATGAGTTGAATGCAAACATCACAGAGAAGTTTCTGAGAATGCTTCTGTCTTGATTTCATATGAAGATATTCCCGTTTCCAACGAAACCTTCAAAGCTATCCAAATATCCACTTGCAGATTCTACAAAAAGAGTGTTTCCAAAATGTTGTATCAAAAGAAAGGTTCAACTCTGTTAGTTGAGGACACACATCGCAAATAAGTTTCTGAGAATGCTTCTGTCTAGTTTTCATTTGAAGATATTTCCTTTCTCACCACAGGCCTGAAAGCGCTTAAAACGTCCGCTTGCAGATACTACAGAAAGAGTGTTTCAAACCTGCTCTATGAAAGGGAATGTTCAGTTCTGTGACTTGAATGCAAACATCACAAAGAAGTTCCTGAGAATGCTTCTCCCTAGATTTTATATGTAATCCCGTTTCCAACGAAATCCGCAAAGCTATCCAAATATCCACTTTCAGATTCCACAAAAAGAGTGTTTCAAAACTGCTCTGTAAAAAGAAAGGTTCATCTCTGTTAGTTGAATACACACATCACAAACAAGTTTCTGAGAATGCTTCTGTCTAGTTTTTATGGGAAGATATTACCTTTTTCATCATAGGCCTCAAAGCGCTGCAAATGTCCACTTCCAAATATTACAAAAAGAGTGTTTCAAACCTGCTGTATGAAGGGAAGTGTTCAACTCTATGAGTTGAATGCAAACATCAAAGAGAAGTTTCTGAGAATGCTTCTGTCTTGATTTTATATGAAGATATTCCCGTTTCCAACGAAACCTTCAAAGCTATTCAAATATCCACTTGCAGATTCTACAAAAAGAGTGTTTCCAAAATGTTGTATCAAAAGAAAGGTTCAACTCTGTTAGTTGAGGACACACATCGCAAATAAGTTTCTGAGAATGCTTCTGTCTAGTTTTTATTTGAAGATATTTCCTTTTTCACCACAGGCCTGAAAGCGCTTGAAACGTCCGCATGCAGATACTACAGAAAGAGTGTTTCAAAGCTGCTCTATGAAAGGGAATGTTCAGTTCTGTGACTTGAATGCAAATATCACAAAGAAGTTCCTGAGAATGCTTCTCCCTAGATTTTATATGTAATCCCGTTTCCAACGAAACCCTCAAAGCTATCCAAATATCCACTTTCAGATTCCACAAAAAGAGTGTTTCAAAACTGCTCTGTAAAAAGAAAGGTTCATCTCTGTTAGTTGAATACACACATCACAAACAAGTTTCTGAGAATGCTTCTGTCTAGTTTTTATGGGAAGATATTTCCTTTTTCAACATAGGCCTCAAAGCGCTCCCAATGTCCACTTCCACGTAGTGCACAGAGTGTTTCAAACCTGCTCTATAAAAAGGAACATTCTACTCTGTGACTTGAATGAAGACATCACAAAGCAGTTTCTGAGAATGCTTCCGTCTAGATTTTATATGAAGATATTCCCGTTTGCAAGGATATCTTCCTAGCTATCTAAATATCAACTTGCAGATTCTACTAAAGGAATGTTTCCAAAATGCTGTATCCACACAAAGGTTCAACTCTGTTAATGGAGGACACACAGCAAGAAGAAGTTTCTGAGAATGCTTCTGTCTGGTTTTTAGGAGAAGATATCTCGTTTTTCACCATAAGCTTCAAAGCGCTGCCAATGTCCACTTCCAAATATTACAAAAAGAGTATTTCAAACCAGCTCTATGAAAGGAAGTGTTCAACTCTATGAGTTGAATGCAAACATCACAGAGAAGTTTCTGAGAATGCTTCTGTCTTGATTTTATATGAAGTTATTCCCGTTTCCAACGAAACCTTCAAAGCTATCCAAATATCCACCTGCAGATCCTACAAAAAGAGTGTTTCCAAAATGCTGTATCAAAACAAAGGTTCAACTCTGTTAGTTGAGAACACACATCACAAATAAGTTTCTGAGAATGCTTCTGTCTACTGTTTATGGGAAGATATTTCCTTTTTCAACATAGGCCTCAAAGCGCTCCAAACGTCCACTTCCAGGTAGTGCAGAAAGAGTGTCTCAAACCTGGTATATAACAGGGAACATTCTACTCTGTGACTTGAATGAAAACATCACAAAGCAGTTTCTGAGAATGCTTCCGTCTAGATTTTATATGAAGATATTCCCGTTTCCAACGAAACCTTCAAAGCTATCCGAATATCCACCTGCAGATTCTACAAAAAGAGTGTTTCCAAAATGCCGTATCAAAACAAAGGTTCATCTCTGTTAGTTGAGAACACACATGACAAATAAGTTTCTGAGAATGCTTCTGTCTAGTTTTTACTTGAAGATATTTCCTTTCTCACCATAGGCCTGAAAGCGCTTGAAACGTCAGCTTGCAGATACTACAGAAAGAGTGTTTCAAACCTGCTCTATGAAAGGGAATGTTCAGTCCTGTGACATCAAGGCAAACATCACAAAGAAGTTCCTGAGAATGCTTCTCTCTAGGTTTTATATGTAATCCCGTTTCCAACGAAATCCTCAAAGCTATCCAAATATGCACTTTCAGATTCCACAAAAAGAGTGTTTCAAAACTGCTCTGTAAAAAGAAAGGTTCATCTCTGTTAGTTGAATACACACATCACAAACAAGTTTCTGAGAATGCTTCTGTCTAGTTTTTATGGGAAGATATTTCCCTTTTCATCATAGGCCTCAAAGCGCTGCAAATGTCCACTTCCAGGTAGTGCAGAAAGAGTGTCTGAGACCTGGTATATAACAGGGAAGATTCTACTCTGTGACTTGAATGAAAACATCACAAAGCAGTTTCTGAGAATGCTTCCGTCTAGATTTTATATGAAGATATTCCCGTTTCCAACGAAACCTTCAAAGCTATCCGAATATCCACCTGCAGATTCTACAAAAAGAGTGTTTCCAAAATGCCGTATCAAAACAAAGGTTCAACTCTGTTAGTTGAGAACACACATGGCAAATAAGTTTCTGAGAATGCTTCTGTCTAGTTTTTACTTGAAGATATTTCCTTTCTCACCATAGGCCTGAAAGCGCTTGAAACGTCAGCTTGCAGATACTACAGAAGGAGTGTTTCAAACCTGCTCTATGAAAGGGAATGTTCAGTCCTGTGACTTGAAGGCAAACATCACAAAGAAGTTCCTGAGAATGCTTCTCTCTAGGTTTTATATGTAATCCCGTTTCCAACGAAATCCTCAAAGCTATCCAAATATCCACTTTCAGATTCCACAAAAAGAGTGTTTCAAAACTGCTCTGTAAAAAGAAAGGTTCATCTCTGTTAGTTGAATACACACATCACAAACAAGTTTCTGAGAATGCTTCTGTCTAGTTTTTATGGGAAGATATTTCGTTTTTCAACATAGGCCTCAAAGCGCTCCAAACGTCCACTTCCGGGTAGTGCAGAAAGAGTGTCTCAAACCTGGTATATAACAGGGAACATTCTACTCTGTGACTTGAATGAAAACATCACAAAGCAGTTTCTGAGAATGCTTCCGTCTAGATTTTATATGAAGATATTCCCGTTTCCAACGAAACCTTCAAAGCTATCCGAATATCCACCTGCAGATTCTACAAAAAGAGTGTTTCCAAAATGCCGTATCAAAACAAAGGTTCAACTCTGTTAGTTGAGAACACACATGGCAAATAAGTTTCTGAGAATGCTTCTGTCTAGTTTTTATTTGAAGATATTTCCTTTCTCACCATAGGCCTGAAAGCGTTTGAAATGTCCGTTTGCAGATACTACAGAAAGAGTGTTTCAAACATGCTCTATGAAAGGGAATGTTCAGTTCTGTGACGTGAATGCAAACATCACAAAGAAGTTCCTGAGAATGCTTCTCTCTATATTTTATATGTAATCCCGTTTCCAACGAAATCCTCAAAGCTATCCAAATATCCACTTTCAGATTCCACAAAAAGAGTGTTTCAAAACTGCTCTGTAAAAAGAAAGGTTCATCTCTGTTAGTTGAATACACACATCACAAACAAGTTTCTGAGAATGCTTCTGTCTAGTTTTTATGGGAAGATATTTCCTTTTTCATCATAGGCCTCAAAGCGCTCCAAATGTCCACTTCCAGATAGTGCAGAAAGAGTGTCTCAAACCTGGTATATAAAAGAGAACATTCTACTCTGTGACTTGAATGAAAACATCACAAAGCAGTTTCTGAGAATGCTTCCGTCTAGATTTTCTATGAAGATATTCCCGTTTCCAACGAAACCTTCAAAGCTATCCGAATATCCGCCAGCAGAATCTACAAAAAGAGTGTTTCCAAAATGCCGTATCAAAACAAAGGTTCAACTCTGTTAGTTGAGAACACACATGTTAAATAAGTTTCTGAGAATGCTTCTGTCTAGTTTTTACTTGAAGATATTTCCTTTCTCACCATAGGCCTGAAAGCGCTTGAAACGTCCGCTTGCAGATACTACAGAAAGAGTGTTTCAAACATGCTCTATGAAAGGGAATGTTCAGTTCTGTGACTTGAATGCAAACATCACAAAGAAGTTCCTGAGAATGCTTCTCTCTAGGTTTTATATGTAATCCTGTTTCCAACGAAATCCTCAAAGCTATCCAAATATCCACTTTCAGATTCCACAAAAAGAGTGTTTCAAAACTGCTCTGTAAAAAGAAAGGTTCATCTCTGTTAGTTGAATACACACATCACAAACAAGTTTCTGAGAATGCTTCTGTCTAGTTTTTATGGGAAGATATTTCCTTTTTCATCATAGGCCTCAAAGCGCTGCAAATGTCCACTTCCAGGTAGTGCAGAAAGAGTGTCTCAAACCTGGTATATAACAGGGAACATTCTACTCTGTGACTTGAATGAAAACATCACAAAGCAGTTTCTGAGAATGCTTCTGTCTTGATTTCATATGAAGATATTCCCGTTTCCAACGAAACCTTCAAAGCTATCCAAATATCCACTTGCAGATTCTACAAAAAGAGTGTTTCCAAAATGTTGTATCAAAAGAAAGGTTCAACTCTGTTAGTTGAGGACACACATCGCAAATAAGTTTCTGAGAATGCTTCTGTCTAGTTTTTATTTGAAGATATTTCCTTTCTCAACCACAGGCCTGAAAGCGCTTAAAACGTCCGCTTGCAGATACTACAGAAAGAGTGTTTCAAACCTGCTCTATGAAAGGGAATATTCAGTTCTGTGACTTGAATGCAAACATCACAAAGAAGTTCCTGAGAATGCTTCTCTCTAGATTTTATATGTAATCCCGTTTCCAACGAAATCCTCAAAGCTATCCAAATATCCACTTTCAGATTCCACAAAAAGAGTGTTTCAAAACTGCTCTGTAAAAAGAAAGGTTCATCTCTGTTAGTTGAATACACACATCACAAACAAGTTTCTGAGAATGCTTCTGTCTAGTTTTTATGGGAAGATATTTCCTTTTTCAACATAGGCCTCAAAGCGCTCCAAATGTCCACTTCCAGATAGTGCAGAAAGAGTGTCTCAAACCTGGAATATAAAAGAGAACATTGTACTCTGTGACTTGAATGAAAACATCACAAAGCTGTTTCTGAGAATGCTTCTGTCTTGATTTTATATGAAGATATTCCCGTTTCCAACGAAACCTTCAAAGCTATTCAAATATCCACTTGCAGATTCTACAAAAAGAGTGTTTCCAAAATGTTGTATCAAAAGAAAGGTTCAACTCTGTTAGTTGAGGACACACATCGCAAATAAGTTTCTGAGAATGCTTTCTGTCTAGTTTTTATTTGAAGATATTTCCTTTTTCACCACAGGCCTGAAAGCGCTTGAAACGTCCGCTTGCAGATACTACAGAAAGAGTGTTTCAAACCTGCTCTATGAAAGGGAATGTTCAGTTCTGTGACTTGAATGCAAACATCACAAAGAAGTTCCTGAGAATGCTTCTCCCTAGATTTTATATGTAATCCCGTTTCCAACGAAATCCGCAAAGCTATCCAAATATCCACTTTCAGATTCCACAAAAAGAGTGTTTCAAAACTGCTCTGTAAAAAGAAAGGTTCATCTCTGTTAGTTGAATACACACATCACAAACAAGTTTCTGAGAATGCTTCTGTCTAGTTTTTATGGGAAGATATTTCCTTTTTCATCATAGGCCTCAAAGCGCTGCAAATGTCCACTTCCAAATATTACAAAAAGAGTGTTTCAAACCTGCTGTATGAAGGGAAGTGTTCAACTCTATGAGTTGAATGCAAACATCACAGAGAAGTTTCTGAGAATGCTTCTGTCTTGATTTTATATAAAGATATTCCCGTTTCCAACGAAACCTTCAAAGCTATTCAAATATCCACTTGCAGATTCTACAAAAAGAGTGTTTCCAAAATGTTGTATCAAAAGAAAGGTTCAACTCTGTTAGTTGAGGACACACATCGCAAATAAGTTTCTGAGAATGCTTCTGTCTAATTTTTACTTGAAGATATTTCCTTTCTCACCATAGGCCTGAAAGCGTTTGAAATGTCCGTTTGCAGATACTACAGAAAGAGTGTTTCAAACATGCTCTATGAAAGGGAATGTTCAGTTCTGTGACGTGAATGCAAACATCACAAAGAAGTTCCTGAGAATGCTTCTCTCTAGGTTTTATATGTAATCCCGTTTCCAACGAAATCCTCAAAGCTATCCAAATATCCACTTTCAGATTCCACAAAAAGAGTGTTTCAAAACTGCTCTGTAAAAAGAAAGGTTCATCTCTGTTAGTTGAATACACACATCACAAACAAGTTTCTGAGAATGCTTCTGTCTAGTTTTTATGGGAAGATATTTCCTTTTTCAACATAGGCCTCAAAGCGCTCCAAATGTCCACTTCCAGGTAGTGCAGAAACAGTGTTTCAAACCTGCTCTTTTAAAGGGAATATTCAACTCTGTGACTTGAATGCAAACATCACAAAGCACTTTCTGAGAATGCTTCCGTCTAGATTTTATATGAAGATATTCCCGTTTCCAAGGAAATCTTCCTAGCTATCTAAATATCAACTTGCAGATTCTACTAAAGGAATGTTTCCAAAATGCTGTATCCACACAAAGGTTCAACTCTGTTAATTGAGGACATACAGCACAAAGAAGTTTCTGAGAATGCTTCTGTCTAGTTTTTACTTGAAGATATTTCCTTTCTCACCATAGGCCTGAAAACGCATGAAACGTCAGCTTGCAGATACTACAGAAAGAGTGTTTCAAACCTGCTCTATGAAAGGGAACGTTCAGTCCTGTGACTTGAATGCAAACATCACAAAAAAGTTCCTGAGAATGCTTCTCTCTAGGTTTTATATGTAATCCCGTTTCCAACGAAATCCTCCAAGCTATCCAAATATCCACTTTCAGATTCCACAAAAAGAGTGTTTCAAAACTGCTCTGTAAAAAGAAAGGTTCATCTCTGTTAGTTGAATACACACATCACAAACAAGTTTCTGAGAATGCTTCTGTCTAGTTTTTATGGGAAGATATTTCCTTTTTCATCATAGGCCTCAAAGCGCTCCAAATGTCCACTTCCAGGTAGTGCAGAAATAGTGTCTCAAACCTGGTTTATAACAGGGAACATTCTACTCTGTGACTTGAATGAAAACATCACAAAGCAGTTTCTGAGAATGCTTCTGTCTTGATTTTATATGAAGATATTCCCGTTAACAACGAAACCTTCAAAGCTATCCAAATATCCACTTGCAGATTCTACAAAAAGAGTGTTTCCAAAATGTTGTATCCAAACAAAGGTTCAACTCTGTTAGTTGAGAACACACATCGCAAATAAGTTTCTGAGAGTGCTTCTGTCTAGTTTTTATTTGAAGATATTTCCTTTTTCACCACAGGCCTGAAAGCGCTTGAAACGTCAGCTTGCAGATACTACAGAAAGAGTGTTTCAAACCTGCACTATGAAAGGGAATGTTCAGTTCTGTGACTTGAATGCAAACATCACAAAGAAGTTCCTGAGAATGCTTCTCCCTAGATTTTATATGTAATACCGTTTCCAACGAAATCCTCAAAGCTATCCAAATATCCACTTTCAGATTCCACAAAAAGAGTGTTTCAAAACTGCTCTGTAAAAAGAAAGGTTCATCTCTGTAAGTTGAAGACACACATCACAAACAAGTTTCTGAGAATGCTTCTGTCTAGTTTTTATGGGAAGATATTACCTTTTTCATCATAGGCCTCAAAGCGCTGCAAATGTCCACTTCCAAATATTACAAAAAGAGTGTTTCAAACCTGCTGTATGAAGGGAAGTGTTCAACTCTATGAGTTGAATGCAAACATCACAGAGAAGTTTCTGAGAATGCTTCTGTCTAGTTTTTATTTGAAGATATTCCCGTTTCCAACGAAACCTTCAAAGCTATTCAAATATCCACTTGCAGATTCTACAAAAAGAGTGTTTCCAAAATGTTGTATCAAAAGAAAGGTTCAACTCTGTTAGTTGAGGACACACATCGCAAATAAGTTTCTGAGAATGCTTCTGTCTAGTTTTTATTTGAAGATATTTCCTTTCTCACCATAGGCCTGAAAGCGTTTGAAATGTCCGTTTGCAGATACTACAGAAAGAGTGTTTCAAACATGCTCTATGAAAGGGAATGTTCAGTTCTGTGACGTGAATGCAAACATCACAAAGAAGTTCCTGAGAATGCTTCTCCCTAGATTTTATATGTAATCCCGTTTCCAACGAAATCTGCAAAGCTATCCAAATATCCACTTTCAGATTCCACAAAAAGAGTGTTTCAAAACTGCTCTGTAAAAAGAAAGGTTCATCTCTGTTAGTTGAATACACACATCACAAACAAGTTTCTGAGAATGCTTCTGTCTAGTTTTTATGGGAAGATATTACCTTTTTCATCATAGGCCTCAAAGCGCTGCAAATGTCCACTTCCAAATATTAGAAAAAGAGTGTTTCAAACCTGCTGTATGAATTGAAGTGTTCAACTCTATGAGTTGAATGCAAACATCACAGAGAAGTTTCTGAGAATGCTTCTGTCTTGATTTTATATGAAGATATTCCCGTTTCCAACGAAACCTTCAAAGCTATTCAAATATCCACTTGCAGATTCTACAAAAAGAGTGTTTCCAAAATGTTGTATCAAAAGAAAGGTTCAACTCTGTTAGTTGAGGACACACATCGCAAATAAGTTTCTGAGAATGCTTCTGTCTAGTTTTTATTTGAAGATATTTCCTTTCTCACCATGGGCCTGAAAGCGTTTGAAATGTCCGTTTGCAGATACTACAGAAAGAGTGTTTCAAACATGCTCTATGAAAGGGAATGTTCAGTTCTGTGACGTGAATGCAAACATCACAAAGAAGTTCCTGAGAATTCTTCTCTCTAGATTTTATATGTAATCCCGTTTCCAACGAAATCCTCAAATCTATCCAAATATCCTCTTTCAGATTCCACAAAAAGAGTGTTTCAAAACTGCTCTGTAAAAAGAAAGGTTCATCTCTGTTAGTTGAATACACACATCACAAACAAGTTTCTGAGAATGCTTCTGTCTAGTTTTTATGGGAAGATATTTCCTTTTTCATCATAGGCCTCAAAGCGCTCCAAATGTCCAATTCCAGGTAGTGCAGAAAGAGTGTCTCAAACCTGGTATATAACAGGGAACATTCTACTCTGTGACTTGAATGAAAACATCACAAAGCAGTTTCTGAGAATGCTTCCGTCAAGATTTTATATGAAGATATTCCCGTTTCCAACGAAACCTTCAAAGCTATCCGAATATCCACCTGCAGATTCTACAAAAAGAGTGTTTCCAAAATGCCGTATCAAAACAAAGGTTCAACTCTGTTAGTTGAGAACACACATGGCAAATAAGTTTCTGAGAATGCTTCTGTCTAGTTTTTACTTGAAGATATTTCCTTTCTCACCATAGGCCTGAAAGCGCTTGAAACGTCAGCTTGCAGATACTACAGAAAGAGAGTTTCAAACCTGCTCTATGAAAGGGAATGTTCAGTCCTGTGACTTGAATGCAAACATCACAAAGAAGTTCCTGAGAATGCTTCTCTCTAGATTTTATATGTAATCCCGTTTCCAACGAAATCCTCAAAGCTATCCAAATATCCACTTTCAGATTCCACAAAAAGAGTGTTTCAAAACTGCTCTGTAAAAAGAAAGGTTCATCTCTGTTAGTTGAATACACACATCACAAACAAGTTTCTGAGAATGCTTCTGTCTAGTTTCTATGGGAAGATATTTCCTTTTTCAACATAGGCCTCAAAGCGCTCCAAATGTCCACTTCCAGGTAGTGCACTGAGTGTTTCAAACCTGCTCTATAAAAGGGAACATTCTACTCTGTGACTTGAATGAAGACATCACAAAGCAGTTTCTGAGAATGCTTCCGTCTAGATTTTATATGAAGATATTCCCGTTCCCAAGGAAATCTTCCTAGCTATCTAAATATCAACTTGCAGATTCTACTAAAGGAATGTTTCCAAAATGCTGTATCCACACAAAGCTTCAACTCTGTTAATTGAGGACATACAGCACAAAGAAGTTTCTGAGAATGCTTCTGTCTAGATTTTGTATGAAGATATCCCGTTTCCAAAGAAATCCTCAAAGGTATCCAAATATCTACTTCCAGATTCTACAAAAAGACTTTTTCAAAACGGCTCTGTCAAAAGTAAGGTTCAACTCTGTTACTTGAGTACACACATCACAAGGAACTTTCTGAGAATGCTTCTGTCTGGTTTTTAGGAGAAGATATTTCCTTTTCCAACATAGGCCTCAAAGCGCTGCAAATGTCCACTTACAAATATTACAAAAAGAGTGTTTCAAACCTGCTCTGTGAAGGGAAGTGTTCAACTCTATGAGTTGAATGCAAACATCACAGAGAAGTTTCTGAGAATGCTTCTGTCTTGATTTTATATGAAGATATTCCCGTTTCCAACGAAACCTTCAAAGCTATCCAAATATCCACCTGCAGATCCTACAAAAAGAGTGTTTCCAAAATGCTGTATCAAAACAAAGGTTCAACACTGTTAGTTGAGAACACACATCGCAAATAAGTTTCTGAGAATGCTTCCGTCTAGACTTTATATGAAGATATTCCCGTTTCCAACGAAACCTTCAAAGCTATCCGTATATCCACCTGCAGATTCTACAAAAAGAGTGTTTCCAAAATGCCGCATCAAAACAAAGGTTCAACTCTGTTAGTTGAGAACACACATGGCAAATAAGTTTCTGAGAATGCTTCTGTCTAGTTTTTATTTGAAGATATTTCCTTTCTCACCATAGGCCTGAAAGCGTTTGAAATGTCCGTTTGCAGATACTACAGAAAGAGTGTTTCAAACATGCTCTATGAAAGGGAATGTTCAGTTCTGTGACGTGAATGCAAACATCACAAAGAAGTTCCTGAGAATGCTTCTCTCTAGATTTTATATGTAATCCCGTTTCCAACGAAATCCTCAAAGCTATCCAAATAACCACTTTCAGATTCCACAAAAAGAGTGTTTCAAAACTGCTCTGTAAAAAGAAAGGTTCAGCGTCTGTTAGTTGAATACACACATCACAAACAAGTTTCTGAGAATGCTTCTGTCTAGTTTTTATGGGAAGATATTTCCTTTTTCATCATAGGCCTCAAAGCGCTGCAAATGTCCACTTCCAGGTAGTGCAGAAAGAGTGTCTCAAACCTGGTATATAACAGGGAACATTCTACTCTGTGACTTGAATGAAAACATCACAAAGCAGTTTCTGAGAATGCTTCCGTCTAGATTTTATATGAAGATATTCCCGTTTCCAACGAAACCTTCAAAGCTATCCGAATATGCACCTGCAGATTCTACAAAAAGAGTGTTTCCAAAATGCCGTATCACAACAAAGAATTCAATTCTGTTAGTTGAGAACACACATGGCAAATAAGTTTCTGAGAATGCTTCTGTCTAGTTTTTACTTGAAGATATTTCCTTTCGCACCATAGGCCTGAAAGCGCTTGAAACGTCCGCTTGCAGATACTACAGAAAGAGTGTTTCAAACATGCTCTATGAAAGGGAATGTTCAGTTCTGTGACTTGAATGCAAACATCACAAAGAAGTTCCTGAGAATGCTTCTCTCTAGGTTTTATATGTAATCCCGTTTCCAACGAAATCCTCAAAGCTATCCAAATATCCACTTTCAGATTCCACAAAAAGAGTGTTTCAAAACTGCTCTGTAAAAAGAAAGGTTCATCTCTGTTAGTTGAATACACACATCACAAACAAGTTTCTGAGAATGCTTCTGTCTGGTTTTTAGGAGAAGATATTTCCTTTTTCAACATAGGCCTCAAAGCGCTGCAAATGTCCACTTCCAAATATTAGAAAAAGAGTGTTTCAAACCTGCTGTATGAAGGGAAGTGTTCAACTCTATGAGTTGAATGCAAACATCACAGAGAAGTTTCTGAGAATGCTTCTGTCTTGATTTCATATGAAGATATTCCCGTTTCCAACGAAACCTTCAAAGCTATCCAAATATCCACTTGCAGATTCTACAAAAAGAGTGTTTCCAAAATGTTGTATCAAAAGAAAGGTTCAACTCTGTTAGTTGAGGACACACATCGCAAATAAGTTTCTGAGAATGCTTCTGTCTAGTTTTTATTTGAAGATATTTCCTTTCTCACCACAGGCCTGAAAGCGCTTAAAACGTCCGCTTGCAGATACTACAGAAAGAGTGTTTCAAACCTGCTCTATGAAAGGGAATGTTCAGTTCTGTGACTTGAATGCAAACATCACAAAGAAGTTCCTGAGAATGCTTCTCCCTAGATTTTATATGTAATCCCGTTTCCAACGAAATCCGCAAAGCTATCCAAATATCCACTTTCAGATTCCACAAAAAGAGTGTTTCAAAACTGCTCTGTAAAAAGAAAGGTTCATCTCTGTTAGTTGAATACACACATCACAAACAAGTTTCTGAGAATGCTTCTGTCTAGTTTTTATGGGAAGATATTTCCTTTTTCAACACAGGCCTCAAAGCGCTCCAAATGTCCACTTCCAGGTAGTGCAGAAAGAGTGTTTCAAACCTGCTCTATAAAAGGGAATATTCAACTCTGTGACTTGAATGCAAACATCACAAAGCACTTTCTGAGAATGCTTCCGTCTAGATTTTATATGAAGATATTCCCGTTTCCAACGAAACCTTCATAGCTATCTGAATATCCACCTGCAGATTCTACAAATAGAGTGTTTCCAAAATGCCGTATGAAAACAAAGGTTCAACTCTGTTAGTTGAGAACACACATGGCAAATAAGTTTCTGAGAATGCTTCTGTCTGGTTTTTAGGAGAAGATATATCCTTTTTCAACATAGGCCTCAAAGCGCTGAAAATGTCCACTTCCAAATATTAGAAAAAGAGTGTTTCAAACCTGCTGTATGAAGGGAAGTGTTCAACTCTATGAGTTGAATGCAAACATCACAGAGAAGTTTCTGAGAATGCTTCTGTCTTGATTTCATATGAAGATATTCCCGTTTCCAACGAAACCTTCAAAGCTATCCAAATATCCACTTGCAGATTCTACAAAAAGAGTGTTTCCAAAATGTTGTATCAAAAGAAAGGTTCAACTCTGTTAGTTGAGGACACACATCGCAAATAAGTTTCTGAGAATGCTTCTGTCTAGTTTTTATTTGAAGATATTTCCTTTCTCACCACAGGCCTGAAAGCGCTTAAAACGTCCGCTTGCAGATACTACAGAAAGAGTGTTTCAAACCTGCTCTATGAAAGGGAATGTTCAGTTCTGTGACTTGAATGCAAACATCACAAAGAAGTTCCTGAGAATGCTTCTCCCTAGATTTTATATGTAATCCCGTTTCCAACGAAATCCGCAAAGCAATCCAAATATCCACTTTCAGATTCCACAAAAAGAGTGTTTCAAAACTGCTCTGTAAAAAGAAAGGCTCATCTCTGTTAGTTGAATACACACATCACAAACAAGTTTCTGAGAATGCTTCTGTCTAGTTTTTATGGGAAGATATTTCCTTTTTCAACATAGGTCTCAAAGCGCTCCAAATGTCCACTTCCAGGTAGTGCAGAAAGAGTGTTTCAAACCTGCTCTATAAAAGGGAACATTCTACTCTGTGACTTGAATGAAGACATCACAAAGCACTTTCTGAGAATGCTTCCGTCTAGATTTTATATGAAGATATTCCCGTTTCCAAGGAAATCTTCCTAGCTATCTAAATATCAACTTGCAGATTCTACTAAAGGAATGTTTCCAAAATGCTGTATCCACACAAAGGTTCAACTCTGTTAATTGAGGACATACAGCACAAAGAAGTTTCTGAGAATGCTTCTGTCTAGTTTTTATTTGAAGATATTTCCTTTCTCACCATAGGCCTGAAAGCGTTTGAAATGTCCGTTTGCAGATACTACAGAAAGAGTGTTTCAAACATGCTCTATGAAAGGGAATGTTCAGTTCTGTGACGTGAATGCAAACATCACAAAGAAGTTCCTGAGAATGCTTCTGTCTAGATTTTATATGAAGATATCCCGTGTCTAACGAAATCCTCAAAGATATCAAAATATCCACTTGCAGATTCTACAAAAAGAGTGCTTCAAAACTGCTCTGTCAAAATGAAGGTTCACCTCTGTTACTTGAGTACACACATCACAAGAAAGATTCTGAGAATGCTTCTGTCTTGTTTTTAGGAGAAGATATCTCCTTTTTCACCATAGGCTTCAAAGCGCTGCCAATGTCCACTTCCAAATATTACAAAAAGAGTATTTCAAACCAGCTCTATGAAAGGAAGTGTTCAACTCTATGAGTTGAATGCAAACATCACAGAGAAGTTTCTGAGAATGCTTCTCTCTAGATTTTATATGTAATCCCGTTTCCAACGAAATCCTCAAAGCTATCCAAATATCCACTTTCAGATTCCACAAAAAGAGTGTTTCAAAACTGCTCTGTAAAAAGAAAGGTTCATCTCTGTTAGTTGAATACACACATCACAAACAAGTTTCTGAGAATGCTTCTGTCTGGTTTTTAGGAGAAGATATTTCCTTTTTCAACATAGGCCTCAAAGCGCTGCAAATGTCCACTTCCAAATATTAGAAAAAGAGTGTTTCAAACCTGCTGTATGAAGGGAAGTGTTCAACTCTATGAGTTGAATGCAAACATCACAGAGAAGTTTCTGAGAATGCTTCTGTCTTGATTTCATATGAAGATATTCCCGTTTCCAACGAAACCTTCAAAGCTATCCAAATATCCACTTGCAGATTCTACAAAAAGAGTGTTTCCAAAATGTTGTATCAAAAGAAAGGTTCAACTCTGTTAGTTGAGGACACACATCGCAAATAAGTTTCTGAGAATGCTTCTGTCTAGTTTTTATTTGAAGATATTTCCTTTCTCACCACAGGCCTGAAAGCGCTTAAAACGTCCGCTTGCAGATACTACAGAAAGAGTGTTTCAAACCTGCTCTATGAAAGGGAATGTTCAGTTCTGTGACTTGAATGCAAACATCACAAAGAAGTTCCTGAGAATGCTTCTCCCTAGATTTTATATGTAATCCCGTTTCCAACGAAATCCGCAAAGCTATCCAAATATCCACTTTCAGATTCCACAAAAAGAGTGTTTCAAAACTGCTCTGTAAAAAGAAAGGTTCATCTCTGTTAGTTGAATACACACATCACAAACAAGTTTCTGAGAATGCTTCTGTCTAGTTTTTATGGGAAGATATTACCTTTTTCATCATAGGCCTCAAATCGCTGCAAATGTCCACTTCCAAATATTACAAAAAGAGTGTTTCAAACCTGCTGTATGAAGGGAAGTGTTCAACTCTATGAGTTGAATGCAAACATCACAGAGAAGTTTCTGAGAATGCTTCTGTCTTGATTTTATATGAAGATATTCCCGTTTCCAACGAAACCTTCAAAGCTATTCAAATATCCACTTGCAGATTCTACAAAAAGAGTGTTTCCAAAATGTTGTATCAAAAGAAAGGTTCAACTCTGTTAGTTGAGGACACACATCGCAAATAAGTTTCTGAGAATGCTTCTGTCTAGTTTTTATGTGAAGATATTTCCTTTCTCACCATAGGCCTGAAAGCGTTTGAAATGTCCGTTTGCAGATACTACAGAAAGAGTGTTTCAAACATGCTCTATGAAAGGGAATGTTCAGTTCTGTGACGTGAATGCAAACATCACAAAGAAGTTCCTGAGAATGCTTCTGTCTAGATTTTATATGAAGATATCCCGTTTCCAAAGAAATCCTCAAAGGTATCCAAATATCTACTTCCAGATTCTACAAAAAGACTGTTTCAAAACTGCTCTGTAAAAAGAAAGGTTCATCTCTGTTAGTTGAATACACACATCACAAACAAGTTTCTGAGAATGCTTCTGTCTAGTTTTTATGGGAAGATATTTCCTTTTTCATCATAGGCCTCAAAGCGCTCCAAATGTCCACTTCCAGATAGTGCAGAAAGAGTGTCTCAAACCTGGTATATAAAAGGGAACATTCTACTCTGTGACTTCAATGAAAACATCACAAAGCAGTTTCTGAGAATGCTTCCGTCTAGATTTTATATGAAGATATTCCCGTTTCCAACGAAACCTTCAAAGCTATCCGAATATCCACCTGCAGATTCTACAAAAAGAGTGTTTCCAAAATGCCGTATCAAAACAAAGGTTCAACTCTGTTAGTTGAGAACACACATCGCAAATAAGTTTCTGAGAATGCTTCTGTCTAGTTTTTACTTGAAGATATTTCCTTTCTCACCATAGGCCTGAAAGCGCTTGAAACGTCAGCTTGCAGATACTACAGAAAGAGTGTTTCAAACCTGCTCTATGAAAGGGAATGTTCAGTTCTGTGACTTGAATGCAAACATCACAAAGAAGTTCCTGAGAATGCTTCTCTCTAGATTTTATATGTAATCCCGTTTCCAACGAAATCCTCAAAGCTATCCAAATATCCACTTTCAGATTCCACAAAAAGAGTGTTTCAAAACTGCTCTGTAAAAAGAAAGGTTCATCTCTGTTAGTTGAATACACACATCACAAACAAGTTTCTGAGAATGCTTCTGTCTAGTTTTTATGGGAAGATATTTCCTTTTTCAACATAGGCCTCAAAGCGCTCCAAATGTCCCCTTCCAGGTAGTGCAGAAAGAGTGTTTCAAACCTGCTCTATAAAAGGGAATATTCAACTCTGTGACTTGAATGCAAACATCACAAAGCACTTTCTGAGAATGCTTCTGTCTAGATTTTATATGAAGATATCCCGTTTCCAAAGAAATCCTCAAAGGTATCCAAATATCTACGTCCAGATTCTACAAAAAGACTCTTTCAAAACGGGTCTGTCAAAAGTAAGGTTCAACTCTGTTACTTGAGTACACACATCACAAGGAAGTTTCTGAGAATGCTTCTGTCTGGTTTTTAGTAGAAGATATTCCCTTTTTCAACATAGGCCTCAAAGCGCTGCAAATGGCCACTTCCAAATATTACAAAAAGAGTGTTTCAAACCTGCTGTATGAAGGGAAGTGTTCAACTCTATGAGTTGAATGCAAACATCACAAAGAAGTTTCTGAGAATGCTTCTGTCTTGATTTTATATGAAGATATTCCCGTTTCCAACGAAACCTTCAAAGCTATCCAAATATCCACCTGCAGATCCTACAAAAAGAGTGTTTCCAAAATGCTGTATCAAAACAAAGGTTCAACTCTGTTAGTTGAGAACACACATCGCAAATAAGTTTCTGAGAATGCTTCTGTCTAGTTTTTATTTGAAGATATTTCCTTTTTCACCACAGGCCTGAAAGCGCTTGAAACGTCCGGTTGCAGATACTACAGAAAGAGTGTTTCAAACCTGCTCTATGAAAGGGAATGTTCAGTTCTGTGACTTGAATGCAAACATCACAAAGAAGTTCCTGAGAATGCTTCTCCCTAGATTTTATATGTAATCCCGTTTCCAACGAAATCCTCAAAGCTATCCAAATATCCACTTTCAGATTCCACAAAAAGAGTGTTTCAAAACTGCTCTGTAAAAAGAAAGGTTCATCTCTGTTAGTTGAATACACACATCACAAACAAGTTTCTGAGAATGCTTCTGTCTAGTTTTTATGGGAAGATATTTCCTTTTTCAACATAGGCCTCAAAGCGCTCCAAATGTCCACTTCCAGGTAGTGCACAGAGTGTTTCAAACCTGCTCTATGAAAGGTAGTGTTCAACTCTATGAGTTGAATGCAAACATCACAGAGAAGTTTCTGAGAATGCTTCTGTCTTGATTTTATATGAAGATATTCCCGTTTCCAACGAAACCTTCAAAGCTATCCAAATATCCACTTGCAGATTCTACAAAAAGAGTGTTTCCAAAATGTTGTATCCAAACAAAGGTTCAACACTGTTAGTTGAGAACACACATCGCAAATAAGTTTCTGAGAATGCTTCTGTCTAGTTTTTATTTGAAGATATTTCCTTTTTCACCACAGGCCTGAAAGCGCTTGAAACGTCAGCTTGCAGATACTACAGAAAGAGTGTTTCAAACCTGCTCTATGAAAGGGAATGTTCAGTTCTGTGACGTGAATGCAAACATCACAAAGAAGTTCCTGAGAATGCTTCTCTCTAGATTTTATATGTAATCCCGTTTCCAACGAAATCCTCAAAGCTATCCAAATATCCACTTTCAGATTCCACAAAAAGAGTGTTTCAAAACTGCTCTGTAAAAAGAAAGGTTCATCTCTGTTAGTTGAATACACACATCACAAACAAGTTTCTGAGAATGCTTCTGTCTAGTTTTTATGGGAAGATATTTCCTTTTTCAACATAGGCCTCAAAGCGCTCCAAACGTCCACTTCCAGGTAGTGCAGAAAGAGTGTCTCAAACCTGGTGTATAACAGGGAACATTCTACTCTGTGACTTGAATGAAAACATCACAAAGCAGTTTCTGAGAATGCTTCCGTCTAGATTTTATATGAAGATATTCCCGTTTCCAACGAAACCTTCAAAGCTATCCGAATATCCACCTGCAGATTCTACAAAAAGAGTGTTTCCAAAATGCCGTATCAAAACAAAGGTTCAACTCTGTTAGTTGAGAACACACATGGCAAATAAGCTTCTGAGAATGCTTCTGTCTAGTTTTTATTTGAAGATATTTCCTTTTTCACCACAGGCCTGAAAGCGCTTGAAACGTCAGCTTGCAGATACTACAGAAAGAGTGTTTCAAACCTGCACTATGAAAGGGAATGTTCAGTTCTGTGACTTGAATGCAAACATCACGAAGAAGTTCCTGAGAATGCTTCTAGTCTAGATTTTATATGAAGATATCCCGTGTCCAACGAAATCCTCAAAGGTATCAAAATATCCACTTGCAGATTCTACAAAAAGAGTGCTTCAAAACTGCTCTGTCAAAAGGAAGGTTCAACTCTGTTACTTGAGTACACACATCACAAGGAAGTTTCTGAGAATGCTTCTGTCTGGTTTTTAGGAGAAGATATTTCCTTTTTCAACATAGGCCTCAAAGCGCTGCAAATGTCCACTTCCAAATATTACAAAAAGAGTGTTTCAAACCTGCTGTATGAAGGGAAGTGTTCAACTCTATGAGTTGAATGCAAACATCACAGAGAAGTTTCTGAGAATGCTTCTGTCTTGATTTCATATGAAGATATTCCCGTTTCCAACGAAACCTTCAAAGCTATCCAAATATCCACTTGCAGATTCTACAAAAAGAGTGTTTCCAAAATGTTGTATCAAAAGAAAGGTTCAACTCTGTTAGTTGAGGACACACATCGCAAATACGTTTCTGAGAATGCTTCTGTCTAGTTTTTATTTGAAGATATTTCCTTTCTCACCACAGGCCTGAAAGCGCTTAAAACGTCCGCTTGCAGATACTACAGAAAGAGTGTTTCAAACCTGCTCTATGAAAGGGAATGTTCAGTTCTGTGACTTGAATGCAAACATCACAAAGAAGTTCCTGAGAATGCTTCTCCCTAGATTTTATATGTAATCCCGTTTCCAACGAAATCCGCAAAGCTATCCAAATATCCACTTTCAGATTCCACAAAAAGAGTGTTTCAAAACTGCTCTGTAAAAAGAAAGGTTCATCTCTGTTAGTTGAATACACACATCACAAACAAGTTTCTGAGAATGCTTCTGTCTAGTTTTTATGGGAAGATATTACCTTTTTCATCATAGGCCTCAAAGCGCTGCAAATGTCCACTTCCAAATATTACAAAAAGAGTGTTTCAAACCTGCTGTATGAAGGGAAGTGTTCAACTCTATGAGTTGAATGCAAACATCACAGAGAAGTTTCTGAGAATGCTTCTGTCTTGATTTTATTTGAAGATATTCCCGTTTCCAACGAAACCTTCAAAGCTATTCAAATATCCACTTGCAGATTCTACAAAAAGAGTGTTTCCAAAATGTTGTATCAAAAGAAAGGTTCAACTCTGTTAGTTGAGGACACACATCGCAAATAAGTTTCTGAGAATGCTTCTGTCTAGTTTTTACTTGAAGATATTTCCTTTCTCACCATAGGCCTGAAAGCGTTTGAAATGTCCGTTTGCAGATACTACAGAAAGAGTGTTTCAAACATGCTCTATGAAAGGGAATGTTCAGTTCTGTGACGTGAATGCAAACATCACAAAGAAGTTCCTGAGAATGCTTCTCTCTAGATTTTATATGTAATCCCGTTTCCAACGAAATCCTCAAAGCTATCCAAATATCCACTTTCAGATTCCACAAAAAGAGTGTTTCAAAACTGCTCTGTAAAAAGAAAGGTTCATCTCTGTTAGTTGAATACACACATCACAAACAAGTTTCTGAGAATGCTTCTGTCTAGTTTTTATGGGAAGATATTTCGTTTTTCAACATAGGCCTCAAAGCGCTCCAAATGTCCACTTCCAGGTAGTGCAGAAAGAGTGTTTCAAACCTGCTCTATAAAAGGGAATATTCAACTCTGTGGCTTGAATGCAAACATCACAAAGCACTTTCTGAGAATGCTTCCGTCTAGATTTTATATGAAGATATTCCCGTTTCCAAGGAAATCTTCCTAGCTATCTAAATATCAACTTGCAGATTCTACTAAAGGAATGTTTCCAAAATGCTGTATCCACACAAAGGTTCAACTCTGTTAATTGAGGACATACAGCACAAAGAAGTTTCTGAGAATGCTTCTGTCTAGTTTTTACTTGAAGATATTTCCTTTCTCACAATAGGCCTGAAAGCGTTTGAAATGTCCGTTTGCAGATACTACAGAAAGAGTGTTTCAAACATGCTCTATGAAAGGGAATGTTCAGTTCTGTGACTTGAATGCAAACATCACAAAGAAGTTCCTGAGAGTGCTTCTCTCTAGGTTTTATATGTAATCCCGTTTCCAACGAAATCCTCAAAGCTATCCAAATAACCACTTTCAGATTCCACAAAAAAAGTGTTTCAAAACTGCTCTGTAAAAAGAAAGGTTCATCTCTGTTAGTTGAATACACACATCACAAACAAGTTTCTGAGAATGCTTCTGTCTAGTTTTTATGGGAAGATATTTCCTTTTTCAACATAGGCCTCAAAGTGCTCCAAATGTCCACTTCCAGGTAGTGCAGAAACAGTGTTTCAAACCTGCTCTATAAAAGGGAATATTCAACTCTGTGACTTGAATGCAAACATCACAAAGCACTTTCTGAGAATGCTTCCGTCTAGATTTTATATGAAGATATTCCCGTTTCCAAGGAAATCTTCCTAGCTATCTAAATACCAACTTGCAGATTCTACTAAAGGAATGTTTCCAAAATGCTGTATCCACACAAAGGTTCAACTCTGTTAATTGAGGACATACAGCACAAAGAAGTTTCTGAGAATGCTTCTGTCTAGTTTTTCCTTGAAGATATTTCCTTTCTCACCATAGGCCTGAAAGCGTTTGAAATGTCCGTTTGCAGATACTACAGAAAGAGTGTTTCAAACATGCTCTATGAAAGGGAATGTTCAGTTCTGTGACGTGAATGCAAACATCACAAAGAAGTTCCTGAGAATGCTTCTCTCTAGATTTTATATGTAATCCCGTTTCCAACGAAATCCTCAAAGCTATCCAAATATCCACTTTCAGATTCCACAAAAAGAGTGTTTCAAAACTGCTCTGTAAAAAGAAAGGTTCATCTCTGTTAGTTGAATACACACATCACAAACAAGTTTCTGAGAATGCTTCTGTCTAGTTTTTATGGGAAGATATTTCCTTTTTCAACATAGGCCTCAAAGCGCTCCAAATGTCCACTTCCAGGTAGTGCAGAAAGAGTGTTTCAAACCTGCTCTATAAAAGGGAAGATTCTACTCTGTGACTTGAATGCAAACATCACAAAGCACTTTCTGAGAATGCTTCCGTCTAGATTTTATATGAAGATATTCCCGTTTCCAAGGAACTCTTCCTAGCTATCTAAATATCAACTTGCAGATTCTACTAAAGGAATGTTTCCAAAATGCTGTATCCACACAAAGGTTCAACTCTGTTAATTGAGGACATACAGCACAAAGAAGTTTCTGAGAATGCTTCTGTCTAGATTTTATATGAAGATATCCCGTGTCCAACGAAATCCTCAATGGTATCAAAATATCCACTTGCAGATTCTACAAAAAGAGTGCTTCAAAACTGCTCTGTAAAAAGAAAGGTTCATCTCTGTTAGTTGAATACACACATCACAAACAAGTTTCTGAGAATGCTTCTTTCTAGTTTTTATGGGAAGATATTACCTTTTTCATCATAGGCTTCAAAGCGCTGCAAAAGTCCACTTCCAAATATTAGAAAAAGAGTGTTTCAAACCTGCTGTATGAAGGGAAGTGTTCAACTCTATGAGTTGAATGCAAACATCACAGAGAAGTTTCTGAGAATGCTTCTGTCTTGATTTTATATGAAGATATTCCCGTTTCCAATGAAACCTTCAAAGCTATCCAAATATCCACTTGCAGATTCCACAAAAAGAGTGTTTCCAAAATGTTGTATCAAAAGAAAGGTTCAACTCTGTTAGTTGAGGACACACATCGCAAATAAGTTTCTGAGAATGCTTCTGTCTAGTTTTTATTTGAAGATATTTCCTTTCTCACCATAGGCCTGAAAGCGTTTGAAATGTCCGTTTGCAGATACTACAGAAAGAGTGTTTCAAACATGCTCTATGAAAGGGAATGTTCAGTTCTGTGACTTGAATGCAAACATCACAAAGAAGTTCCTGAGAATGCTTCTCCCTAGGTTTTATATGTAATCCCGTTTCCAACGAAATCCTCAAAGCTATCCAAATATCCACTTTCAGATTCCACAAAAAGAGTGTTTCAAAACTGCTCTGTAAAAAGAAAGGTTCATCTCTGTTAGTTGAATACACACATCACAAACAAGTTTCTGAGAATGCTTCTGTCTAGTTTTTATGGGAAGATATTTCCTTTTTCAACATAGGCCTCAAAGCGCTCCAAATGTCCACTTCCAGGTAGTGCAGAAAGAGTGTTTCAAACCTGCTCTATAAAAGGGAATATTCAACTCTGTGACTTGAATGCAAACATCACAAAGCACTTTCTGAGAATGCTTCCGTCCAGATTTTATATGAAGATATTCCCGTTTCCAACGAAACCTTCAAAGCTATCCGAATATCCACCAGCAGATTCTACAAAAAGAGTGTTTCCAAAATGCCGTATCAAAACAAATGTTCAACTCTGTTAGTTGAGAACACACATGGCAAATAAGTTTCTGAGAATGCTTCTGTCTAGTTTTTACTTGAAGATATTTCCTTTCTCACCATAGGGCTGAAAGCGCTTGAGACGTCCGCTTGCAGATACTACAGAAAGAGTGTTTCAAAGCTGCTCTATGAAAGGGAATGTTCAGTTCTGTGACTTGAATGCAAACATCACAAAGAAGTTCCTGAGAATGCTTCTCTCTAGGTTTTATATGTAATCCCGTTTCCAACGAAATCCTCAAAGCTATCCAAATATCCACTTTCAGATTCCACAAAAAGAGTGTTTCAAAACTGCTCTGTAAAAAGAAAGGTTCATCTCTGTTAGTTGAATACACACATCACAAACAAGTTTCTGAGAATGCTTCTGTCTAGTTTTTATGGGAAGATATTTCCTTTTTCAACATAGGCCTCAAAGCGCTCCAAACGTCCACTTCCAGGTAGTGCAGAAAGAGTGTCTCAAACGTGGTATATAACAGGGAACATTCTACTCTGTGACTTGAATGAAAACATCACAAAGCAGTTTCTGAGAATGCTTCCGTCTAGATTTTATATGAAGATATTCCCGTTTCCAACGAAACCTTCAAAGCTATCCGAATATCCACCTGCAGATTCTACAAAAAGAGTGTTTCCAAAATGCCATATCAAAACAAAGGTTCAACTCTGTTAGTTGAGAACACACATGGCAAATAAGTTTCTGAGAATGCTTTTGTCTAGTTTTTACTTGAAGATATTTCCTTTGTCACCATAGGCCTGAAAGCGCTTGAAACGTCAGCTTGCAGATACTACAGAAAGAGTGTTTCAAACCTGCTCTATGAAAGGGAATGTTCAGTCCTGTGACTTGAAGGCAAACATCACAAAGAAGTTCCTGAGAATGCTTCTCTCTAGGTTTTATATGTAATCCCGTTTCCAACGAAATCCTCAAAGCTATCCAAATATCCACTTTCAGATTCCACAAAAAGAGTGTTTCAAAACTGCTCTGTAAAAAGAAAGGTTCATCTCTGTTAGTTGAATACACACATCACAAACAAGTTTCTGAGAATGCTTCTGTCTAGTTTTTATGGGAAGATATTTCCTTTTTCATCATAGGCCTCAAAGCGCTCCAAACGTCCACTTCCAGGTAGTGCAGAAAGAGTGTCTCAAACCTGGTATATAACAGGGAACATTCTACTCTGTGACTTGAATGAAGACATCACAAAGCAGTTTCTGAGAATGCTTCCGTCTAGATTTTATATGAAGATATTCCCGTTTCCAACGAAACCTTCAAAGCTATCCGAATATCCACCTGCAGATTCTACAAAAAGAGTGTTTCCAAAATGCCGTATCAAAACAAAGGTTCAACTCTGTTAGTTGAGAACACACATGGCAAATAAGTTTCTGAGAATGCTTCTGTCTAGTTTTTACTTGAAGATATTTCCTTTCTCACCATAGGCCTGAAAGCGCTTGAAACGTCAGCTTGCAGATACTACAGAAAGAGTGTTTCAAACCTGCTCTATGAAAGGGAATGTTCAGTCCTGTAACTTGAAGGGAAACATCAAAAAGAAGTTCCTGAGAATGCTTCTCTCTAGGTTTTATATGTAATCCCGTTTCCAACGAAATCCTCAAAGCTATCCAAATATCCACTTTCAGATTCCACAAAAAGAGTGTTTCAAAACTGCTCTGTAAAAAGAAAGGTTCATCTCTGTTAGTTGAATACACACATCACAAACAAGTTTCTGAGAATGCTTCTGTCTAGTTTTTATGGGAAGATATTTCCTTTTTCAACATTGGCCTCAAAGCGCTCCAAACGTCCACTTCCGGGTAGTGCAGAAAGAGTGTCTCAAACCTGGTATATAACAGGGAACATTCTACTGCTGTGACTTGAATGAAAACATCACAAAGCAGTTTCTGAGAATGCTTCCGTCTAGATTTTATATGAAGATATTCCCGTTTCCAACGAAACCTTCAAAGCTATCCGAATATCCACCTGCAGATTCTACAAAAAGAGTGTTTCCAAAATGCCGTATCAAAACAAAGGTTCAACTCTGTTAGTTGAGAACACACATGGCAAATAAGTTTCTGAGAATGCTTCTGTCTAGTTTTTACTTGAAGATATTTCCTTTCTCACCATAGGCCTGAAAGCGCTTGAAACGTCAGCTTGCAGATACTACAGAAAGAGTGTTTCAAACCTGCTCTATGAAAGGGAATGTTCAGTTCTGTGACTTGAATGCAAACATCACAAAGAAGTTCCTGAGAATGCTTCTGTCTAGATTTTATATGAAGATATCCCGTGTCTAACGAAATCCTCAAAGATATCAAAATATCCACTTGCAGATTCTACAAAAAGAGTGCTTCAAAACTGCTCTGTCAAAATGAAGGTTCACCTCTGTTACTTGAGTACACACATCACAAGAAAGATTCTGAGAATGCTTCTGTCTGGTTTTTAGGAGAAGATATCTCCTTTTTCACCATAGGCTTCAAAGCGCTGCCAATGTCCACTTCCAAATATTACAAAAAGAGAATTTCAAACCAGCTCTATGAAAGGAAGTGTTCAACTCTATGAGTTGAATGCAAACATCACAGAGAAGTTTCTGAGAATGCTTCTGTCTTGATTTTATATGAAGATATTCCCGTTTCCAAAGAAACCTTCAAAGCTATCCAAATATCCACCTGCAGATCCTACAAAAAGAGTGTTTCCAAAATGCTGTATCAAAACACAGGTTCAACTCTGTTAGCTGAGAACACACATCGCAAATAAGTTTCTGAGAATGCTTCTGTCTAGTTTTTATTTGAAGATATTTCCTTTTTCACCACAGGCCTGAAAGCGCTTGAAACGTCCACTTGCAGATACTACAGAAAGAGTGTTTCAAACCTGCTCTATGAAAGGGAATGTTCAGTTCTGTGACTTGAATGCAAACATCACAAAGAAGTTCCTGAGAATGCTTCTCCCTAGATTTTATATGTAATCCCGTTTCCAACGAAATCCTCAAAGCTATCCAAATATCCACTTTCAGATTCCACAAAAAGAGTGTTTCAAAACTGCTCTGTTAAAAGAAAGGTTCATCTCTGTTAGTTGAATACACACATCACAAACAAGTTTCTGAGAATGCTTCTGTCTGGTTTTTAGGAGAAGATATTTCCTTTTTCAACATAGGCCTCAAAGCGCTGCAAATGTCCACTTCCAAATATTACAAAAAGAGTGTTTCAAACCTGCTCTATGAAGGGAAGTGTTCAACTCTATGAGTTGAATGCAAACATCACAGAGAAGTTTCTGAGAATGCTTCTGTCTTGATTTTATATGAAGATATTCCCGTTTCCAACGAAACCTTCAAAGCTATCCAAATATCCACTTGCAGATTCTACAAAAAGAGTTTTTCCAAAATGTTGTATCAAAAGAAAGGTTCAACTCTGTTAGTTGAGGACACACATCGCAAATAAGTTTGCTGAGAATGCTTTCTGTCTAGTTTTTATTTGAAGATATTTCCTTTCTCACCATAGGCCTGAAAGCGCTTGAAATGTCCGTTTGCAGATACTACAGAAAGAGTGTTTCAAACATGACTCTATGAAAGGGAATGTTCAGTTCTGTGACTTGAATGCAAACATCACAAAGAAGTTCCTGAGAATGCTTCTCTCTAGATTTTATATGTAATCCCGTTTCCAACGAAATCCTCAAAGCTATCCAAATATCCACTTTCAGATTCCACAAAAAGAGTGTTTCAAAACTGCTCTGTAAAAAGAAAGGTTCATCTCTGTTAGTTGAATACACACATCACAAACAAGTTTCTGAGAATGCTTCTGTCTAGTTTTTATGGGAAGATATTTCCTTTTTCAACATAGGCCTCAAAGCGCTCCAAACGTCCACTTCCGGGTAGTGCAGAAAGAGTGTCTCAAACCTGGTATATAACAGGGAACATTCTACTCTGTGACTTGAATGAAAACATCACAAAGCAGTTTCTGAGAATGCTTCCGTCTAGATTTTATATGAAGATATTCCCGTTTCCAAGGAAATCTTCCTAGCTATCTAAATATCAACTTGCAGATTCTACTAAAGGAATGTTTCCAAAATGCTGTATCCACACAAAGGTTCAACTCTGTTCATTGAGGACATACAGCACAAAGAAGTTTCTGAGAATGCTTCTGTCTAGATTTTATATGAAGATATCCCGTTTCCAAAGAAATCCTCAAAGGTATCCAAATATCTACTTCCAGATTCTACAAAAAGACTGTTTCAAAACGGCTCTGTCAAAAGGAAGGTTCAACTCTGTTACTTGAGTACACACATCACAAGGAAGTTTCTGAGAATACTTCTGTCTAGATTTTATATGAAGATATCCCGTGTCCAACGAAATCCTCAAAGGTATCAAAATATCCACTTGCAGATTCTACAAAAAGAGTGCTTCAAAACTGCTCTGTCAAAAGGAAGGTTCAACTCTGTTACTTGAATACACACATCACAAGGAAGTTTCTGAGAATGCTTCTGTCTAGTTTTTATGGGAAGATATTTCCTTTTTCATCATAGGCCTCAAAGCGCTGCAAATGTCCACTTCCAGGTAGTGCAGAAAGAGTGTCTGAAACCTGGTATATAACAGGGAAGATTCTACTCTGTGACTTGAATGAAAACATCACAAAGCAGTTTCTGAGAACGCTTCTGTCTTGATTTCATATGAAGATATTCCCGTTTCCAACGAAACCTTCAAAGCTATCCAAATATCCACTTGCAGATTCTACAAAAAGAGTGTTTCCAAAATGTTGTATCAAAAGAAAGGTTCAACTCTGTTAGTTGAGGACACACATCGCAAATAAGTTTCTGAGAATGCTTCTGTCTAGTTTTTATTTGAAGATATTTCCTTTCTCACCACAGGCCTGAAAGCGCTTAAAACGTCCGCTTGCAGATACTACAGAAAAGAGTGTTTCAAACCTGCTCTATGAAAGGGAATGTTCAGTTCTGTGACTTGAATGCAAACATCACAAAGAAGTTCCTGAGAATGCTTCTCCCTAGATTTTATATGTAATCCCGTTTCCAACGAAATCCGCAAAGCTATCCAAATATCCACTTTCAGATTCCACAAAAAGAGTGTTTCAAAACTGCTCTGTAAAAAGAAAGGTTCATCTCTGTTAGTTGAATACACACATCACAAACAAGTTTCTGAGAATGCTTCTGTCTGGTTTTTAGGAGAAGATATTTCCTTTTTCAACATAGGCCTCAAAGCGCTGCAAATGTCCACTTCCAAATATTAGAAAAAGAGTGTTTCAAACCTGCTGTATGAAGGGAAGTGTTCAACTCTATGAGTTGAATGCAAACATCACAGAGAAGTTTCTGAGAATGCTTCTGTCTTGATTTCATATGAAGATATTCCCGTTTCCAACGAAACCTTCAAAGCTATCCAAATATCCACTTGCAGATTCTACAAAAAGAGTGTTTCCAAAATGTTGTATCAAAAGAAAGGTTCAACTCTGTTAGTTGAGGACACACATCGCAAATAAGTTTCTGAGAATGCTTCTGTCTAGTTTTTATTTGAAGATATTTCCTTTCTCACCACAGGCCTGAAAGCGCTTAAAACGTCCGCTTGCAGATACTACAGAAAGAGTGTTTCAAACCTGCTCTATGAAAGGGAATGTTCAGTTCTGTGACTTGAATGCAAACATCATAAAGAAGTTCCTGAGAATGCTTCTCCCTAGATTTTATATGTAATCCCGTTTCCAACGAAATCCGCAAAGCTATCCAAATATCCACTTTCAGATTCCACAAAAAGAGTGTTTCAAAACTGCTCTGTAAAAAGAAAGGTTCATCTCTGTTAGTTGAATACACACATCACAAACAAGTTTCTGAGAATGCTTCTGTCTAGTTTTTATGGGAAGATATTACCTTTTTCATCATAGGCATCAAAGCGCTGCAAATGTCCACTTCCAAATATTACAAAAAGAGTGTTTCAAGCCTGCTGTATGAAGGGAAGTGTTCAACTCTATGAGTTGAATGCAAACATCACAGAGAAGTTTCTGAGAATGCTTCTGTCTTGATTTTATATGAAGATATTCCCGTTTCCAACGAAACCTTCAAAGCTATTCAAATATCCACTTGCAGATTCTACAAAAAGAGTGTTTCCAAAATGTTGTATCAAAAGAAAGGTTCAACTCTGTTAGTTGAGGACACACATCGCAAATAAGTTTCTGAGAATGCTTCTGTCTAGTTTTTACTTGAAGATATTTCCTTTCTCACCATAGGCCTGAAAGCGCTTGAAACGTCCGTTTGCAGATACTACAGAAAGAGTGTTTCAAACATGCTCTATGAAAGGGAATGTTCAGTCCTGTGACTTGAAGGCAAACATCACAAAGAAGTTCCTGAGAATGCTTCTCTCTAGGTTTTATATGTAATCCCGTTTCCAACGAAATCCTGAAAGCTATCCAAATATCCACTTTCAGATTCCACAAAAAGAGTGTTTCAAAACTGCTCTGTAAAAAGAAAGGTTCATCTCTGTTAGTTGAATACACACATCACAAACAAGTTTCTGAGAATGCTTCTGTCTAGTTTTTATGCGAAGATATTTCCTTTTTCATCATAGGCCTCAAAGCGCTCCAAATGTCCACTTCCAGATAGTGCAGAAAGAGTGTCTCAAACCTGGTATATAAAAGGGAACATTCTACTCTGTGACTTGAATGAAAACATCACAAAGCAGTTTCTGAGAATGCTTCCGTCTAGATTTTCTATGAAGATATTCCCGTTTCCAACGAAACCTTCAAAGCTATCCGAATATCCACCTGCAGATTCTACAAAAAGAGTGTTTCCAAAATGCCGTATCAAAACAAAGGTTCAACTCTGTTAGTTGAGAACACACATGGGAAATAAGTATCTGAGAATGCTTCTGTCTAGTTTTTACTTGAAGATATTTCCTTTCTCACCATAGGCCTGAAAGCGCTTGAAACGTCCGCTTGCAGATACTACAGAAAGAGTGTTTCAAACATGCTCTATGAAAGGGAATGTTCAGTTCTGTGACTTGAATGCAAACATCACAAAGAAGTTCCTGAGAATGCTTCTCTCTAGATTTTATATGTAATCCCGTTTCCAACGAAATCCTCAAAGCTATCCAAATATCCACGTTCAGATTCCACAAAAAGAGTGTTTCAAAACTGCTCTGTAAAAAGAAAGGTTCATCTCTGTTAGTTGAATACACACATCACAAACAAGTTTCTGAGAATGCTTCTGTCTAGTTTTTATGGGAAGATATTTCCTTTTTCAACATAGGCCTCAAAGCGCTCCAAATGTCCACTTCCAGGTAGTGCAGAAAGAGTGTTTCAAACCTGCTCTATAAAAGGGAATATTCAACTCTGTGACTTGAATGCAAACATCACAAAGCACTTTCTGAGAATGCTTCTGTCTTGATTTCATATGAAGATATTCCCGTTTCCAACGAAACCTTCAAAGCTATCCAAATATCCACTTGCAGATTCTACAAAAAGAGTGTTTCCAAAATGTTGTATCAAAAGAAAGGTTCAACTCTGTTAGTTGAGGACACACATCGCAAATAAGTTTCTGAGAATGCTTCTGTCTAGTTTTTATTTGAAGATATTTCCTTTCTCACCATAGGCCTGAAAGCGCTTGAAACGTCCGCTTGCAGATACTACAGAAAGAGTGTTTCAAACCTGCTCTATGAAAGGGAATGTTCAGTTCTGTGACTTGAATGCAAACATCACAAAGAAGTTCCTGAGAATGCTTCTCTCTAGATTTTATATGTAATCCCGTTTCCAACGAAATCCTCAAAGCTATCCAAATATCCACTTTCAGATTCCACAAAAAGAGTGTTTCAAAACTGCTCTGTAAAAAGAAAGGTTCATCTCTGTTAGTTGAATACACACATCACAAACAAGTTTCTGAGAATGCTTCTGTCTGGTTTTTAGGAGAAGATATTTCCTTTTTCAACATAGGCCTCAAAGCGCTGCAAATGTCCACTTCCAAATATTACAAAAAGAGTGTTTCAAACCTGCTCTATGAAGGGAAGTGTTCAACTCTATGAGTTGAATGCAAACATCACAGAGAAGTTTCTGAGAATGCTTCTGTCTTGATTTTATATGAAGATATTCCCGTTTCCAACGAAACCTTCAAAGCTATCCAAATATCCACTTGCAGATTCTACAAAAAGAGTGTTTCCAAAATTTTGTATCAAAACAAAGGATCAACTCTGTTAGTTGAGGACACACATCGCAAATAAGTTTCTGAGAATGCTTATGTCTAGTTTTGATTTGAAGATATTTCCTTTCTTACCATAGGCCTGAAAGCGCTTGAAATGTCCGTTTGCAGATACTACAGAAAGAGTGTTTCAAACATGCTCTATGAAAGGGAATGTTCAGTTCTGTGACGTGAATGCAAACATCACAAAGAAGTTCCTGGGAATGCTTCTCTCTAGATTTTATATGTAATCCCGTTTCCAACGAAATCCTCAAAGCTATCCAAATATCCACTTTCAGATTCCACAAAAAGAGTGTTTCAAAACTGCTCTGTAAAAACAAAGGTTCATCTCTGTTAGTTGAATACACACATCACAAACAAGTTTCTGAGAATGCTTCTGTCTAGTTTTTATGGGAAGATATTACCTTTTTCATCATAGGCCTCAAAGCGCTGCAAATGTCCACTTCCAAATATTACAAAAAGAGTGTTTCAAACCTGCTGTATGAAGGGAAGTGTTCAACTCTATGAGTTGAATGCAAACATCACAGAGAAGTTTCTGAGAATGCTTCCGTCTAGATTTTATATGAAGATATTCCCGTTTCCAACGAAACCTTCAAAGCTATCCGAATATCCACCTGCAGATTCTACAAAAAGAGTGTTTCCAAAATGCCGTATCCACAGAAAGGTTCAACTCTGTTAGTTGAGAACACACATGGCAAATAAGTTTCTGAGAATGCTTTTGTCTAGTTTTTACTTGAAGATATTTCCTTTCTCACCATAGGCCTGAAAGCGCTTGAAACGTCAGCTTGCAGATACTACAGAAAGAGTGTTTCAAACCTGCTCTATGAAAGGGAATGTTCAGTTCTGTGACTTGAATGCAAACATCACAAAGGAGTTCCTGAGAATGCTTCTCTCTAGGTTTTATATGTAATCCCGTTTCCAACGAAATCCTCAAAGCTATCCAAATATCCACTTTCAGATTCCACAAAAAGAGTGTTTCAAAACTGCTCTGTAAAAAGAAAGGTTCATCTCTGTTAGTTGAATACACACATCACAAACAAGTTTCTGAGAATGCTTCTGTCTAGTTTTTATGGGAAGATATTTCCTTTTTCATCATAGGTCTCAAAGCGCTGCAAATGTCCACTTCCAAATACTACAAAAAGAGTGTTTCAAACCTGCTGTATGAAGGGAAGTGTTCAACTCTATGAGTTGAATGCAAACATCACAGAGAAGTTTCTGAGAATGCTTCCGTCTAGATTTTATATGAAGATATTCCCGTTTCCAACGAAACCTTCAAAGCTATCCGAATATCCACCTGCAGATTCTACAAAAAGAGTGTTTCCAAAATGCCGTATCCACACAAAGGTTCAACTCTGTTAGTTGAGAACACACATGGCAAATAAGTTTCTGAGAATGCTTCTGTCTAGTTTTTACTTCAAGATATTTCCTTTCTCACCATAGGCCTGAAAGCGCTTGAAACGTCAGCTTGCAGATACTACAGAAAGAGTGTTTCAAACCTGCTCTATGAAAGGGAATGTTCAGTTCTGTGACTTGAATGCAAACATCACAAAGAAGTTCCTGAGAATGCTTCTCTCTAGGTTTTATATGTAATCCCGTTTCCAACGAAATCCTCAAAGCTATCCAAATATCCACTTTCAGATTCCACAAAAAGAGTGTTTCAAAACTGCTCTGTAAAAAGAAAGGTTCATCTCTGTTAGTTGAATACACACATCACAAACAAGTTTCTGAGAATGCTTCTGTCTAGTTTTTATGGGAAGATATTTCCTTTTTCAACATAGGCCTCAAAGCGCTCCAAATGTCCACTTCCAGGTAGTGCAGAAAGAGTGTTTCAAACCTGCTCTATAAAAGGGAATATTCAACTCTGTGACTTGAATGCAAACATCACAAAGCACTTTCTGAGAATGCTTCTGTCTTGATTTTATATGAAGATATTCCCGTTTCCAAAGAAACCTTCAAAGCTATCCAAATATCCACTTGCAGATTCTACAAAAAGAGTGTTTCCAAAATGTTGTTTCAAAACAAAGGTTCAACTCTGTTAGTTGAGGACACACATCGCAAATAAGTTTCTGAGAATGCTTCTGTCTAGTTTTTATTTGAAGATATTTCCTTTCTTACCATAGGCCTGAAAGCGCTTGAAATGTCCGTTTGCAGATACTACAGAAAGAGTGTTTCAAACATGCTCTATGAAAGGGAATGTTCAGTTCTGTGACGTGAATGCAAACATCACAAAGAAGTTCCTGAGAATGCTTCTCTCTAGGTTTTATATGTAATCCCGTTTCCAACGAAATCCTCAAAGCTATCCAAATATCCACTTTCAGATTCCACAAAAAGAGTGTTTCAAAACTGCTCTGTAAAAAGAAAGGTTCATCTCTGTTAGTTGAATACACACATCACAAACAAGTTTCTGAGAATGCTTCTGTCTAGTTTTTCTGGGAAGATATTTCCTTTTTCATCATAGGCCTCAAAGCGCTGCAAATGTCCACTTCCAGGTAGTGCAGAAAGAGCGTCTCAAACCTGGTATATAACAGGGAACATTCTACTCTGTGACTTGAATGAAAACATCACAAAGCAGTTTCTGAGAATGCTTCCGTCTAGATTTTATATGAAGATATTCCCGTTTCCAACGAAACCTTCAAAGCTATCCGAATATCCACCTGTAGATTCTACAAAAAGAGTGTTTCCAAAATGCCATATCAAAACAAAGGTTCAACTCTGTTAGTTGAGAACACACATGGCAAATAAGTTTCTGAGAATGCTTCTGTCTAGTTTTTATTTGAAGATATTTCCTTTCTCACCATAGGCCTGAAAGCGTTTGAAATGTCCGTTTGCAGATACTACAGAAAGAGTGTTTCAAACATGCTCTATGAAAGGGAATGTTCAGTTCTGTGACGTGAATGCAAACATCACAAAGAAGTTCCTGAGAATGCTTCTCTCTAGATTTTATATGTAATCCCGTTTCCAACGAAATCCTCAAAGCTATCCAAATATCCACTTTCAGATTCCACAAAAAGAGTGTTTCAAAACTGCTCTGTAAAAAGAAAGGTTCATCTCTGTTAGTTGAATACACACATCACAAACAAGTTTCTGAGAATGCTTCTGTCTAGTTTTTATGGGAAGATATTTCCTTTTTCAACATAGGCCTCAAAGCGCTCCAAACGTCCACTTCCATGTAGTGCAGAAAGAGTGTCTCAAACCTGGTATATAACAGGGAACATTCTACTCTGTGACTTGAATGAAAACATCACAAAGCAGTTTCTGAGAATGCTTCCGTCTAGATTTTATATGAAGATATTCCCGTTTCCAACGAAACCTTCAAAGCTATCCGAATATCCACCTGCAGATTCTACAAAAAGAGTGTTTCCAAAATGCCATATCAAAACAAAGGTTCAACTCTGTTAGTTGAGAGCACACATCACAAATAAGTTTCTGAGAATGCTTCTGTCTAGTTTTTACTTGAAGATATTTCCTTTCTCACCATAGGCCTGAAAGCGCTTGAAACGTCAGCTTGCAGATACTACAGAAAGAGTGTTTCAAACCTGCTCTATGAAAGGGAATGTTCAGTTCTGTGACTTGAATGCAAACATCGCAAAGAAGTTCCTGAGAATGCTTCTCTCTAGGTTTTATATGTAATCCCGTTTCCAACGAAATCCGCAAAGCTATCCAAATATCCACTTTCAGATTCCACAAAAAGAGTGTTTTAAAACTGCTCTGTAAAAAGAAAGGTTCATCTCTGTTAGTTGAATACACACATCACAAACAAGTTTCTGAGAATGCTTCTGTCTAGTTTTTATGGGAAGATATTTCCTTTTTCAACATAGGCCTCAAAGCGCTCCAAATGTCCACTTCCAGGTAGTGCAGAAAGAGTGTTTCAAACCTGCTCTATAAAAGGGAATATTCAACTCTGTGACTTGAATGCAAACATCACAAAGCACTTTCTGAGAATGCTTCTGTCTTGATTTCATATGAAGATATTCCCGTTTCCAACGAAACCTTCAAAGCTATCCAAATATCCACTTGCAGATTCTACAAAAAGAGTGTTTCCAAAATGTTGTATCAAAAGAAAGGTTCAACTCTGTTAGTTGAGGACACACATCGCAAATAAGTTTCTGAGAATGCTTCTGTCTAGTTTTTATTTGAAGATATTTCCTTTCTTACCATAGGCCTGAAAGCGCTTGAAATGTCCGTTTGCAGATACTACAGAAAGAGTGTTTCAAACATGCTCTATGAAAGGGAATGTTCAGTTCTGTGACGTGAATGCAAACATCACAAAGAAGTTCCTGAGAATGCTTCTCTCTAGATTTTATATGTAATCCCGTTTCCAACGAAATCCTCAAAGCTATCCAAATATGCACTTTCAGATTCCACAAAAAGAGTGTTTCAAAACTGCTCTGTAAAAAGAAAGGTTCATCTCTGTTAGTTGAATACACACATCACAAACAAGTTTCTGAGAATGCTTCTGTCTAGTTTTTATGGGAAGATATTTCCTTTTTCATCATAGGCCTCAAAGCGCTCCAAATGTCCACTTCCAGATAGTGCAGAAAGAGTGTCTCAAACCTGGTATATAAAAGAGAACATTCTACTCTGTGACTTGAATGAAAACATCACAAAGCAGTTTCTGAGAATGCTTCCGTCTAGATTTTCTATGAAGATATTCCCGTTTCCAACGAAACCTTCAAAGCTATCCGAATATCCACCAGCAGATTCTACAAAAAGAGTGTTTCCAAAATGCCGTATCAAAACAAAGGTTCAACTCTGTTAGTTGAGAACACACATGTTAAATAAGTTTCTGAGAATGCTTCTGTCTAGTTTTTACTTGAAGATATTTCCTTTCTCACCATAGGCCTGAAAGTGCTTGAAACGTCAGCTTGCAGATACTACAGAAAGAGTGTTTCAAACCTGCTCTATGAAAGGGAATGTTCAGTTCTGTGACTTGAATGCAAACATCACAAAGAAGTTCCTGAGAATGCTTCTCCCTAGATTTTATATGTAATCCCGTTTCCAACGAAATCCTCAAAGCTATCCAAATATCCACTTTCAGATTCCACAAAAAGAGTGTTTCAAAACTGCTCTGTAAAAAGAAAGGTTCATCTCTGTTAGTTGAATACACACATCACAAACAAGTTTCTGAGAATGCTTCTGTCTGGTTTTTAGGAGAAGATATTTCCTTTTTCAACATAGGCCTCAAAGCGCTGCAAATGTCCACTTCCAAATATTAGAAAAAGAGTGTTTCAAACCTGCTGTATGAAGGGAAGTGTTCAACTCTATGAGTTGAATGCAAACATCACAGAGAAGTTTCTGAGAATGCTTCTGTCTTGATTTCATATGAAGATATTCCCGTTTCCAACGAAACCTTCAAAGCTATCCAAATATCCACTTGCAGATTCTACAAAAAGAGTGTTTCCAAAATGTTGTATCAAAAGAAAGGTTCAACTCTGTTAGTTGAGGACACACATCGCAAATAAGTTTCTGAGAATGCTTCTGTCTAGTTTTTATTTGAAGATATTTCCTTTCTCACCACAGGCCTGAAAGCGCTTAAAACGTCCGCTTGCAGATACTACAGAAAGAGTGTTTCAAACCTGCTCTATGAAAGGGAATGTTCAGTTCTGTGACTTGAATGCAAACATCACAAAGAAGTTCCTGAGAATGCTTCTCCCTAGATTTTATATGTAATCCCGTTTCCAACGAAATCCGCAAAGCTATCCAAATATCCACTTTCAGATTCCACAAAAAGAGTGTTTCAAAACTGCTCTGTAAAAAGAAAGGTTCATCTCTGTTAGTTGAATACACACATCACAAACAAGTTTCTGAGAATGCTTCTGTCTAGTTTTTATGGGAAGATATTTCCTTTTTCATCATAGGCCTCAAAGCGCTCCAAATGTGCACTTCCAGGTAGTGCAGAAAGTGTGTCTCAAACCTGGTATATAACAGGGAACATTCTACTCTGTGACTTGAATGAAAACATCACAAAGCAGTTTCTGAGAATGCTTCCGTCTAGATTTTATATGAAGATATTCCCGTTTCCAACGAAACCTTTAAAGCTATCCGAATATCCACCTGCAGATTCTACAAAAAGAGTGTTTCCAAAATGCCGTATGAAAACAAAGCTTCAACTCTGTTAGTTGAGAACACACATGGCAAATAAGTTTCTGAGAATGCTTCTGTCTAGTTTTTACTTGAAGATATTTCCTTTCTCACCATAGGCCTGAAAGCGCTTGAAACGTCAGCTTGCAGATACTACAGAAAGAGTGTTTCAAACCTGCTCTATGAAAGGGAATGTTCAGTCCTGTGACTTGAAGGCAAACATCACAAAGAAGTTCCTGAGAATGCTTCTCTCTAGATTTTATATGTAATCCCGTTTCCAACGAAATCCTCAAAGCTATCCAAATATCCACTTTCAGATTACACAAAAAGAGTGTTTCAAAACTGCTCTGTAAAAAGAAAGGTTCATCTCTGTTAGTTGAATACACACATCACAAACAAGTTTCTGAGAATGCTTCTGTCTAGTTTTTATGGGAAGATATTTCCTTTTTCATCATAGGCCTCAAAGCGCTGCAAATGTCCACTTCCAGGTAGTGCAGAAAGAGTGTCTGAAACCTGGTATATAACAGGGAAGATTCTACTCTGTGACTTGAATGAAAACATCACAAAGCAGTTTCTGAGAATGCTTCCGTCAAGATTTTATATGAAGATATTCCCGTTTCCAACGAAACCTTCAAAGCTATCCGAATATCCACCTGCAGATTCTACAAAAAGAGTGTTTCCAAAATGCCGTATCAAAACAAAGGTTCAACTCTGTTAGTTGAGAACACACATGGCAAATAAGTTTCTGAGAATGCTTCTGTCTAGTTTTTACTTGAAGATATTTCCTTTCTCACCATAGGCCTGAAAGCGCTTGAAACGTCAGCCTGCAGATACTACAGAAAGAGTGTTTCAAACCTGCTGTATGAAAGGGAATGTTCAGTTCTGTGACTTGAATGCAAACATCACAAAGAAGTTCCTGAGAATGCTTCTCCCTAGATTTTATATGTAATCCCGTTTCCAACGAAATCCTCAAAGCTATCCAAATATCCACTTTCAGATTCCACAAAAAGTGTGTTTCAAAACTGCTCTGTAAAAAGAAAGGTTCATCTCTGTTAGTTGAATACACACATCACAAACAAGTTTCTGAGAATGCTTCTGTCTGGTTTTTAGGAGAAGATATTTCCTTTTTCAACATAGGCCTCAAAGCGCTGCAAATATCCACTTCCAAATATTAGAAAAAGAGTGTTTCAAACCTGCTGTATGAAGGGAAGTGTTCAACTCTATGAGTTGAATGCAAACATCACAGAGAAGTTTCTGAGAATGCTTCTGTCTTGATTTTATATGAAGATATTCCCGTTTCCAACGAAACCTTCAAAGCTATCCAAATATCCACTTGCAGATTCTACAAAAAGAGTGTTTCCAAAATGTGGTATCCAAACAAAGGTTCAACTCTTTTAGTTGAGAACACACATCGCAAATAAGTTTCTGAGAATGCTTCTGTCTAGTTTTTATTTGAAGATATTTCCTTTCTCACCACAGGCCTGAAAGCGCTTAAAACGTCCGCTTGCAGATACTACAGAAAGAGTGTTTCAAACATGCTCTATGAAAGGGAATGTTCAGTTCTGTGACTTGAATGCAAACATCACAAAGAAGTTCCTGAGAATGCTTCTCTCTAGATTTTATATGTAATCCCGTTTCCAACGAAATCCTCAAAGCTATCCAAATATCCACTTTCAGATTCCACAAAAAGAGTGTTTCAAAACTGCTCTGTAAAAAGAAAGGTTCATCTCTGTTAGTTGAATACACACATCACAAACAAGTTTCTGAGAATGCTTCTGTCTAGTTTTTATGGGAAGATATTTCTTTTTTCAACATAGGCCTCAAAGCGCTCCAAACGTCCACTTCAAGGTAGTGCAGAAAGAGTGTCTCAAACCTGGTATATAACAGGGAACATTCTACTCTGTGACTTGAATGAAAACATCACCAAGCAGTTTCTGAGAATGCTTCCGTCTAGATTTTATATGAAGATATTCCCGTTTCCAACGAAACCTTCAAAGCTATCCGAATATCCACCTGCAGATTCTACAAAAAGAGTGTTTCCAAAATGCCGTATCAAAACAAAGGTTCAACTCTGTTAGTTGAGAACACACATGGCAAATAAGTTTCTGAGAATGCTTCTGTCTAGTTTTTACTTGAAGATATTTCCTTTCTCACCATAGGCCTGAAAGCGCTTGAAACGTCAGCTTGCAGATACTACAGAAGGAGTGTTTCAAACCTGCTCTATGAAAGGGAATGTTCAGTCCTGTGACTTGAAGGCAAACATCACAAAGAAGTTCCTGAGAATGCTTCTCCCTAGATTTTATATGTAATCCCGTTTCCAACGAAATCCGCAAAGCTATCCAAATATCCACTTTCAGATTCCACAAAAAGAGTGTTTCAAAACTGCTCTGTAAAAAGAAAGGTTCATGCTCTGTTAGTTGAATACACACATCACAAACAAGTTTCTGAGAATGCTTTCTGTCTAGTTTTTATGGGAAGATATTTCCTTTTTCATCAAAGGCCTCAAAGCGCTCCAAACGTCCACTTCCAGGTAGTGCAGAAAGAGTGTCTCAAACCTGGTATATAACAGGGAACATTCTACTCTGTGACTTGAATGAAAACATCACCAAGCAGTTTCTGAGAATGCTTCTGTCGAGATTTTATATGAAGATATTCCCGTTTCCAACGAAACCTTCAAAGCTATCCAAATATCCACCTGCAGATTCTACAAAAAGAGTGTTTCCAAAATGCCGTATCAAAACAAAGGTTCAACTCTGTTAGTTGAGAACACACATGGCAAATAAGTTTCTGAGAAGGCTTCTGTCTAGTTTTTATTTGAAGATATTTCCTTTTTCACCACAGGCCTGAAAGCACTTGAAACGTCCGCTTGCAGATACTACAGAAAGAGTGTTTCAAACCTGCTCTATGAAAGGGAATGTTCAGTTCTGTGACTTGAATGCAAACATCACAAAGAAGTTCCTGAGAATGCTTCTGTCTAGATTTTATACGAAGATATCCCGTTTCCAAAGAAATCCTCAAAGGTATCCAAATATCTACTTCCAGATTCTACAAAAAGACTGTTTCAAAACGGCTCTGTCAAAAGGAAGGTTCAACTCTGTTACTTGAGTACACACATCACAAGGAAGTTTCTGAGAATGCTTCTGTCTGGTTTTTAGGAGAAGATATTTCCTTTTTCAACATAGGCCTCAAAGCGCTGCAAATGTCCACTTCCAAATATTACAAAAAGAGTGTTTCAAACCTGCTCTATGAAGGGAAGTGTTCAACTCTATGAGTTGAATGCAAACATCACAGAGAAGTTTCTGAGAATGCTTCTGTCTTGATTTTATATGAAGATATTCCCGTTTCCAACGAAACCTTCAAAGCTATCCAAATATCCACTTGCAGATTCTACAAAAAGAGTGTTTCCAAAATGTTGTATCAAAACAAAGGATCAACTCTGTTAGTTGAGGACACACATCGCAAATAAGTTTCTGAGAATGCTTCTGTCTAGTTTTTATTTGAAGATATTTCCTTTCTTACCAGAGGCTTGAAAGCGCTTGAAATGTCCGTTTGCAGATACTACAGAAAGAGTGTTTCAAACATGCTCTATGAAAGGGAATGTTAAGTTCTGTGACGTGAATGCAAACATCACAAAGAAGTTCCTGAGAATGCTTCTCTCTAGATTTTATATGTAATCCCGTTTCAAACGAAATCCTCAAAGCTATCCAAATATCCACTTTCAGATTCCACAAAAAAAGTGTTTCAAAACTGCTCTGTAAAAAGAAAGGTTCATCTCTGTTAGTTGAATACACACATCACAAACAAGTTTCTGAGAATGCTTCTGTCTAGTTTTTATGGGAAGATATTTCCTTTTTCATCATAGGCCTCAAAGCGCTCCAAATGTCCACTTCCAGATAGTGCAGAAAGAGTGTCTCAAACCTGGTATATAAAAGGGAACATTCTACTCTGTGACTTGAATGAAAACATCACAAAGCAGTTTCTGAGAATGCTTCCGTCTAGATTTTATATGAAGATATTCCCGTTTCCAACGAAACCTTCAAAGCTATCCGAATATCCACCTGCAGATTCTACAAAAAGAGTGTTTCCAAAATGCCATATCAAAACAAAGGTTCAACTCTGTTAGTTGAGAACACACATCGCAAATAAGTTTCTGAGAATGCTTCTGTCTAGTTTTTACTTGAAGATATTTCCTTTCTCACCATAGGCCTGAAAGCGCTTGAAACGTCAGCTTGCAGATACTACAGAAAGAGTGTTTCAAACCTGCTCTATGAAAGGGAATGTTCAGTCCTGTGACTTGAAGGCAAACATCACAAAGAAGTTCCTGAGAATGCTTCTCTCTAGGTTTTATATGTAATCCCGTTTCCAACGAAATCCTCAAAGCTATCCAAATATCCACTTTCAGATTCCACAAAAAGAGTGTTTCAAAACTGCTCTGTAAAAAGAAAGGTTCATCTCTGTTAGTTGAATACACACATCACAAACAAGTTTCTGAGAATGCTTCTGTCTAGTTTTTATGGGAAGATATTTCCTTTTTCATCATAGGCCTCAAAGCGCTCCAAATGTCCACTTCCAGGTAGTGCAGAAAGAGTGTCTCAAACCTGGTATATAACAGGAAACATTCTACTCTGTGACTTGAATGAAAACATCACAAAGCACTTTCTGAAAATGCTTCTGTCTTGATTTCATATGAAGATATTCCCGTTTCCAACGAAACCTTCAAAGCTATCCAAATATCCACTTGCAGATTCTACAAAAAGAGTGTTTCCAAAATGTTGTATCAAAAGAAAGGTTCAACTCTGTTAGTTGAGGACACACATCGCAAATAAGTTTCTGAGAATGCTTCTGTCTAGTTTTTATTTGAAGATATTTCCTTTCTCACCACAGGCCTGAAAGCGCTTAAAACGTCCGCTTGCAGATACTACAGAAAGAGTGTTTCAAACCTGCTCTATGAAAGGGAATGTTCAGTTCTGTGACTTGAATGCAAACATCACAAAGAAAGTTCCTGAGAATGCTTCTCTCTAGATTTTATATGTAATCCCGTTTCCAACGAAATCCTCAAAGCTATCCAAATATCCACTTTCAGATTCCACAAAAAGAGTGTTTCAAAACTGCTCTGTAAAAAGAAAGGTTCATCTCTGTTAGTTGAATACACACATCACAAACAAGTTTCTGAGAATGCTTCTGTCTAGTTTTTATGGGAAGATATTCCCTTTTTCAACATAGGCCTCAAAGCGCTCCAAATGTCCACTTCCAGGTAGTGCAGAAAGAGTGTTTCAAACCTGCTCTATAAAAGGGAATATTCAACTCTGTGACTTGAATGCAAACATCACAAAGCACTTTACTGAGAATGCTTCCGTCAATATTTTATATGAAGATATTCCCGTTTCCAACGAAATCTTCAAAGCTATCCGAATATCCACCTGCAGATTCTACAAAAAGAGTGTTTCCAAAATGCCGTATCAAAACAAAGGTTCAACTCTGTTAGTTGAGAACACACATGGCAAATAAGTTTCTGAGAATGCTTCTGTCTAGTTTTTACTTGAAGATATTTCCTTTCTCACCATAGGCCTGAAAGCGCTTGAAACGTCAGCTTGCAGATACTACAGAAAGAGTGTTTCAAACCTGCTCTATGAAAGGGAATGTTCAGTCCTGTGACTTGAAGGCAAACATCACAAAGAAGTTCCTGAGAATGCTTCTCTCTAGATTTTATATGTAATCCCGTTTCCAACGAAATCCTCAAAGCTATCCAAATATCCACTTTCAGATTCCACAAAAAGAGTGTTTCAAAACTGCTCTGTAAAAAGAAAGGTTCATCTCTGTTAGTTGAATACACACATCACAAACAAGTTTCTGAGAATGCTTCTGTCTAGTTTTTGTGGGAAGATATTTCCTTTTTCAACATAGGCCTCAAATCGCTCCAAACGTCCACTTCCAGGTAGTGCAGAAAGAGTGTCTCAAACCTGGTATATAACAGGGAACATTCTACTCTGTGACTTGAATGAAAACATCACAAAGCAGTTTCTGAGAATGCTTCCGTCCAGATTTTATATGAAGATATTCCCGTTTCCAACGAAACCTTCAAAGCTATCCGAATATCCACCTGCAGATTCTACAAAAAGAGTGTTTCCAAAATGCCGTATCAAAACAAAGGTTCAACTCTGTTAGTTGAGAACACACATGGCAAATAAGTTTCTGAGAATGCTTCTGTCTGGTTTTTATTTGAAGAAATTTCCTTTCTTACCATAGGCCTGAAAGCGCTTGAAATGTCCGTTTGCAGATACTACAGAAAGAGTGTTTCAAACATGCTCTATGAAAGGGAATGTTCAGTTCTGTGACGTGAATGCAAACATCACAAAGAAGTTCCTGAGAATGCTTCTCTCTAGATTTTATATGTAATCCCGTTTCCTACGAAATCCTCAAAGCTATCCAAATATGCACTTTCAGATTCCACAAAAAGAGTGTTTCAAAACTGCTCTGTAAAAAGAAAGGTTCATCTCTGTTAGTTGAATACACACATCACAAACAAGTTTCTGAGAATGCTTCTGTCTAGTTTTTATGGGAAGATATTTCCTTTTTCATCATAGGCCTCAAAGCGCTCCAAATGTCCACTTCCAGATAGTGCAGAAAGAGTGTCTCAAACCTGGTATATAAAAGGGAACATTCTACTCTGTGACTTGAATGAAAACATCACAAAGCAGTTTCTGAGAATGCTTCCGTCTAGATTTTATATGAAGATATTCCCGTTTCCAACGAAACCTTCAAAGCTATCCGAATATCCACCTGCAGATTCTACAAAAAGAGTGTTTCCAAAATGCCGTATCAAAACAAAGGTTCAACTCTGTTAGTTGAGAACACACATGGCAAATAAGTTTCTGAGAATGCTTCTGTCTAGTTTTTACTTGAAGATATTTCCTTTCTCATCATAGGCCTGAAAGCGCTTGAAACGTCAGCTTGCAGATACTACAGAAAGAGTGTTTCAAACCTGCTCTATGAAAGGGAATGTTCAGTTCTGTGACTTGAATGCAAACATCACAAAGAAGTTCCTGAGAATGCTTCTCTCTAGGTTTTATATGTAATCCCGTTTCCAACGAAATCCTCTAAGCTATCCAAATATCCACTTTCAGATTCCACAAAAAGAGTGTTTCAAAACTGCTCTGTAAAAAGAAAGGTTCATCTCTGTTAGTTGAATACACACATCACAAACAAGTTTCTGAGAATGCTTCTGTCTAGTTTTTATGGGAAGATATTTCCTTTTTCAACATAGGCCTCAAAGCGCTCCAAATGTCCACTTCCAGGTAGTGCAGAAAGAGTGTTTCAAACCTGCTCTATAAAAGGGAATATTCAACTCTGTGACTTGAATGCAAACATCACAAAGCACTTTCTGAGAATGCTTCTGTCTTGATTTTATATGAAGATATTCCCGTTTCCAACGAAACCTTCAAAGCTATCCAAATATCCACTTGCAGATTCTACAAAAAGAGTGTTTCCAAAATGTTGTATCAAAAGAAAGGTTCAACTCTGTTAGTTGAGGACACACATCGCAAATAAGTTTCTGAGAATGCTTCTGTCTAGTTTTTATTTGAAGATATTTCCTTTCTCACCATAGGCCTGAAAGCGTTTGAAATGTCCGTTTGCAGATACTACAGAAAGAGTGTTTCAAACATGCTCTATGAAAGGGAATGTTCAGTTCTGTGACTTGAATGCAAACATCACAAAGAAGTTCCTGAGAATGCTTCTCTCTAGATTTTATATGTAATCCCGTTTCCAACGAAATCCTCAAAGCTATCCAAATATCCACTTTCAGATTCCACAAAAAGAGTGTTTCAAAACTGCTCTGTAGAAAGAAAGGTTCATCTCTGTTAGTTGAATACACACATCACAAACAAGTTTCTGAGAATGCTTCTGTCTAGTTTTTATGGGAAGATATTTCCTTTTTCAACATAGGGCTCATAGCGCTCCAAACGTCCACTTCCAGGTAGTGCAGAAAGAGTGTCTCAAACCTGGTATATAACAGCGAACATTCTACTCTGTGACTTGAATTAAAACATCACAAAGCAGTTTCTGAGAATGCTTCCGTCTAGATTTTATATGAAGATATTCCCGTTTCCAACGAAACCTTCAAAGCTATCCGAATATCCACCTGCAGATTCTACAAAAAGAGTGTTTCCAAAATGCCATATCAAAACAAAGGTTCAACTCTGTTAGTTGAGAACACACATCGCAAATAAGTTTCTGAGAATGCTTCTGTCTAGTTTTTACTTGAAGATATTTCCTTTCTCACCATAGGCCTGAAAGCGCTTGAAACGTCAGCTTGCAGATACTACAGAAAGAGTGTTTCAAACCTGCTCTATGAAAGGGAATGTTCAGTTCTGTGACTTGAATGCAAACATCACAAAGAAGTTCCTGAGAATGCTTCTCTCTAGATTTTATATGTAATCCCGTTTCCAACGAAATCCTCAAAGCTATCCAAATATCCACTTTCAGATTCCACAAAAAGAGTGTTTCAAAACTGCTCTGTAAAAAGAAAGGTTCATCTCTGTTAGTTGAATACACACATCACAAACAAGTTTCTGAGAATGCTTCTGTCTAGTTTTTATGGGAAGATATTTCCTTTTTCAACATAGGCCTCAAAGCGCTCCAAATGTCCACTTCCAGGTAGTGCAGAAAGAGTGTTTCAAACCTGCTCTATAAAAGGGAATATTCAACTCTGTGACTTCACTGAAAACATCACAAAGCAGTTTCTGAGAATGCTTCCGTCTAGATTTTATATGAAGATATTCCCGTTTCCAACGAAACCTTCAAAGCTATCCGAATATCCACCTGCAGATTCTACAAAAAGAGTGTTTCCAAAATGCCATATCAAAACAAAGGTTCAACTCTGTTAGTTGAGAACACACATCGCAAATAAGTTTCTGAGAATGCTTCTGTCTAGTTTTTACTTGAAGATATTTCCTTTCTCACCATAGGCCTGAAAGCGCTTGAAACGTCAGCTTGCAGATACTACAGAAAGAGTGTTTCAAACCTGCTCTATGAAAGGGAATGTTCAGTTCTGTGACTTGAATGCAAACATCACAAAGAAGTTCCTGAGAATGCTTCTCTCTAGATTTTATATGTAATCCCGTTTCCAACGAAATCCTCAAAGCTATCCAAATATCCACTTTCAGATTCCACAAAAAGAGTGTTTCAAAACTGCTCTGTAAAAAGAAAGGTTCATCTCTGTTAGTTGAATACACACATCACAAACAAGTTTCTGAGAATGCTTCTGTCTAGTTTTTATGGGAAGATATTTCCTTTTTCATCATAGGCCTCAAAGCGCTGCAAATGTCCACTTCCAGGTAGTGCAGAAAGAGTGTCTCAAACCTGGTATATAACAGGGAACATTCTACTCTGTGACTTGAATGAAAACATCACAAAGCAGTTTCTGAGAATGCTTCCGTCTAGATTTTATATGAAGATATTCCCGTTTCCAACGAAACCTTCAAAGCTATCCGAATATCCACCTGCAGATTCTACAAAAAGAGTGTTTCCAAAATGCCATATCAAAACAAAGGTTCAACTCTGTTAGTTGAGAACACACATCGCAAATAAGTTTCTGAGAATGCTTCTGTCTAGTTTTTACTTCAAGATATTTCCTTTCTCACCATAGGCCTGAAAGCGCTTGAAACGTCAGCTTGCAGATACTACAGAAAGAGTGTTTCAAACCTGCTCTATGAAAGGGAATGTTCAGTTCTGTGACTTGAATGCAAACATCACAAAGAAGTTCCTGAGAATGCTTCTCTCTAGATTTTATATGTAATCCCGTTTCCAACGAAATCCTCAAAGCTATCCAAATATCCACTTTCAGATTCCACAAAAAGAGTGTTTCAAAACTGCTCTGTAAAAAGAAAGGTTCATCTCTGTTAGTTGAATACACACATCACAAACAAGTTTCTGAGAATGCTTCTGTCTAGTTTTTATGGGAAGATATTTCCTTTTTCAACATAGGCGTCAAAGCGCTCCAAACGTCCACTTCCAGGTAGTGCAGAAAGAGTGTCTCAAACCTGGTATATAACAGGGAACATTCTACTCTGTGACTTGAATGAAAACATCACAAAGCAGTTTCTGAGAATGCTTCCGTCTAGATTTTATATGAAGATATTCCCGTTTCCAACGAAACCTTCAAAGCTATCCGAATATCCACCTGCAGATTCTACAAAAAGAGTGTTTCCAAAATGCCGTATCAAAACAAAGGTTCAACTCTGTTAGTTGAGAACACACATGGCAAATAAGTTTCTGAGAATGCTTCTGTCTAGTTTTTACTTGAAGATATTTCCTTTCTCACCATAGGCCTGAAAGCGCTTGAAACGTCAGCTTGCAGATACTACAGAAAGAGTGTTTCAAACCTGCTCTATGAAAGGGAATGTTCAGTTCTGTGACTTGAATGCAAACATCACAAAGAAGTTCCTGAGAATGCTTCTCTCTAGGTTTTATATGTAATCCCGTTTCCAAAGAAATCCTCAAAGCTATCCAAATATCCACTTTCAGATTCCACAAAAAGAGTGTTTCAAAACTGCTCTATCAAAAGAAAGGTTCATCCCTGTTAGTTGAATACACACATCACAAACAAGTTTCTGAGAATGCTTCTGTCTAGTTTTTATGGGAAGATATTTCCTTTTTCATCATAGGCCTCAAAGCGCTGCAAATGTCCACTTCCAGGTAGTGCAGAAAGAGTGTCTGAAACCTGGTATATAACAGGGAAGATTCTACTCTGTGACTTGAATGAAAACATCACAAAGCAGTTTCTGAGAATGCTTCTGTCTTGATTTTATATGAAGATATTCCCGTTTCCAAAGAAACCTTCAAAGCTATCCAAATATCCACTTGCAGATTCTACAAAAAGAGTGTTTCCAAAATGTTGTATCAAAAGAAAGGTTCAACTCTGTTAGTTGAGGAAACACATCGCAAACAAGTTTCTGAGAATGCTTCTGTCTAGTTTTTATTTGAAGATATTTCCTTTCTCACCATAGGCCTGAAAGCGTTTGAAATGTCCGTTTGCAGATACTACAGAAAGAGTGTTTCAAACATGCTCTATGAAAGGGAATGTTCAGTTCTGTGACTTGAATGCAAACATCACAAAGAAGTTCCTGAGAATGCTTCTCTCTAGGTTTTATATGTAATCCCGTTTCCAACGAAATCCTCAAAGCTATCCAAAAATCCACTTTCAGAGTCCACAAAAAGAGTGTTTCAAAACTGCTCTGTAATAAGAAAGGTTCATCCCTGTTAGTTGAATACACACATCACAAACAAGTTTCTGAGAATGCTTCTGTCTAGTTTTTATGGGAAGATATTTCCTTTTTCAACATAGGCCTCAAAGCGCTCCAAACGTCCACTTCCAGGTAGTGCAGAAAGAGTGTCTCAAACCTGGTATATAACAGGGAACATTCTACTCTGTGACTTGAATGCAAACATCACAAAGCACTTTCTGAGAATGCTTCCGTCTAGATTTTATATGAAGATATTCCCGTTTCCAACGAAACCTTCAAAGCTATCCGAATATCCACCTGCAGATTCTACAAAAAGAGTGTTTCCAAAATGCCGTATCAAAACAAAGGTTCAACTCTGTTAGTTGAGAACACACATGGCAAATAAGTTTCTGAGAATGCTTCTGTCTAGTTTTTACTTGAAGATATTTCCTTTCTCACCATAGGCCTGAAAGCGCTTGAAACGTCCGCTTGCAGATACTACAGAAAGAGTGTTTCAAACATGCTCTATGAAAGGGAATGTTCAGTTCTGTGACTTGAATGCAAACATCACAAAGAAGTTCCTGAGAATGCTTCTGTCTAGATTTTATATGAAGATATCCCGTGTCCAAAGAAATCCTCAAAGGTATCAAAATATCCACTTGCAGATTCTACAAAAAGAGTGCTTCAAAACTGCTCTGTCAAAAGGAAGGTTCAACTCTGTTACTTGAGTACACACATCACAAGAAAGATTCTGAGAATGCTTCTGTCCAGTTTTTATGGGAAGATATTTCCTTTTTCATCATAGGCCTCAAAGCGCTCCAAATGTCCACTTCCAGATAGTGCAGAAAGAGTGTCTCAAACCTGGTATATAAAAGGGAACATTCTACTCTGTGACTTCAATGAAAACATCACAAAGCAGTTTCTGAGAATGCTTCCGTCTAGATTTTATATGAAGATATTCCCGTTTCCAACGAAACCTTCAAAGCTATCCGAATATCCACCTGCAGATTCTACAAAAAGAGTGTTTCCAAAATGCCATATCAAAACAAAGGTTCAACTCTGTTAGTTGAGAACACACATCGCAAATAAGTTTCTGAGAATGCTTCTGTCTAGTTTTTATTTGAAGATATTTCCTTTCTCACCATAGGCCTGAAAGCGTTTGAAATGTCCGTTTGCAGATACTACAGAAAGAGTGTTTCAAACATGCTCTATGAAAGGGAATGTTCAGTTCTGTGACGTGAATGCAAACATCACAAAGAAGTTCCTGAGAATGCTTCTCTCTAGATTTTATATGTAATCCCGTTTCCAACGAAATCCTCAAAGCTATCCAAATATCCACTTTCAGATTCCACAAAAAGAGTGTTTCAAAACTGCTCTGTAAAAAGAAAGGTTCATCTCTGTTAGTTGAATACACACATCACAAACAAGTTTCTGAGAATGCTTCTGTCTAGTTTTTATGGGAAGATATTTCCTTTTTCATCATAGGCCTCAAAGCGCTCCAAATGTCCACTTCCAGATAGTGCAGAAAGAGTGTCTCAAACCTGGTATATAAAAGGGAACATTCTACTCTGTGACTTCAATGAAAACATCACAAAGCAGTTTCTGAGAATGCTTCCGTCTAGATTTTATATGAAGATATTCCCGTTTCCAACGAAACCTTCAAAGCTATCCGAATATCCACCTGCAGATTCTACAAAAAGAGTGTTTCCAAAATGCCGTATCAAAACAAAGGTTCAACTCTGTTAGTTGAGAACACACATGGCAAATAAGTTTCTGAGAATGCTTCTGTCTAGTTTTTACTTGAAGATATTTCCTTTCTCACCATAGGCCTGAAAGCGCTTGAAACGTCAGCTTGCAGATACTACAGAAAGACTGTTTCAAACCTGCTCTATGAAAGGGAATGTTCAGTTCTGTGACTTGAATGCAAACATCACAAAGAAGTTCCTGAGAATGCTTCTCTCTAGGTTTTATATGTAATCCCGTTTCCAACGAAATCCTCAAAGCTATCCAAATATCCACTTTCAGATTCCACAAAAAGAGTGTTTCAAAACTGCTCTGTAAAAAGAAAGGTTCATCTCTGTTAGTTGAATACACACATCACAAACAAGTTTCTGAGAATGCTTCTGTCTAGTTTTTATGGGAAGATATTTCCTTTTTCATCATAGGCCTCAAAGCGCTCCAAATGTCCACTTCCAGATAGTGCAGAAAGAGTGTCTCAAACCTGGTATATAAAAGGGAACATTCTACTCTGTGACTTCAATGAAAACATCACAAAGCAGTTTCTGAGAATGCTTCTGTCTTGATTTTATATGAAGATATTCCCGTTTCCAACGAAACCTTCAAAGCTATCCGAATATCCACCTGCAGATTCTACAAAAAGAGTGTTTCCAAAATGCCATATCAAAACAAAGGTTCAACTCTGTTAGTTGAGAACACACATCTCAAATAAGTTTCTGAGAATGCTTCTGTCTAGTTTTTACTTGAAGATATTTCCTTTCTCACCATAGGCCTGAAAGCGCTTGAAACGTCAGCTTGCAGATACTACAGAAAGAGTGTTTCAAACCTGCTCTATGAAAGGGAATGTTCAGTCCTGTGACTTGAAGGCAAACATCACAAAGAAGTTCCTGAGAATGCTTCTCTCTAGATTTTATATGTAATCCCGTTTCCAACGAAATCCTCAAAGCTATCCAAATATCCACTTTCAGATTCCACAAAAAGAGTGTTTCAAAACTGCTCTGTAAAAAGAAAGGTTCATCTCTGTTAGTTGAATACACACATCACAAACAAGTTTCTGAGAATGCTTCTGTCTAGTTTTTATGGGAAGATATTTCCTTTTTCATCATAGGCCTCAAAGCGCTCCAAATGTCCACTTCCAGATAGTGCAGAAAGAGTGTCTCAAACCTGGTATATAAAAGAGAACATTCTACTCTGTGACTTGAATGAAAACATCACAAAGCAGTTTCTGAGAATGCTTCTGTCTTGATTTCATATGAAGATATTCCCGTTTCCAACTGAAACCTTCAAAGTTATCCAAATATCCACTTGCAGATTCTACAAAAAGAGTGTTTCCAAAATGTTGTATCAAAAGAAAGGTTCAACTCTGTTAGTTGAGGACACACATCGTAAATAAGTTTCTGAGAATGCTTCTGTCTAGTTTTTATTTGAAGATATTTCCTTTCTCACCACAGGCCTGAAAGCGCTTAAAACGTCCGCTTGCAGATACTACAGAAAGAGTGTTTCAAACCTGCTCTATGAAAGGGAATGTTCAGTTCTGTGACTTGAATGCAAACATCACAAAGAAGTTCCTGAGAATGCTTCTCCCTAGATTTTATATGTAATCCCGTTTCCAACGAAATCCGCAAAGCTATCCAAATATCCACTTTCAGATTCCACAAAAAGAGTGTTTCAAAACTGCTCTGTAAAAAGAAAGGTTCATCTCTGTTAGTTGAATACACACATCACAAACAAGTTTCTGAGAATGCTTCTGTCTGGTTTTTAGGAGAAGATATTTCCTTTTTCAACATAGGCCTCAAAGCGCTGCAAATGTCCACTTCCAAATATTAGAAAAAGAGTGTTTCAAACCTGCTGTATGAAGGGAAGTGTTCAACTCTATGAGTTGAATGCAAACATCACAGAGAAGTTTCTGAGAATGCTTCTGTCTTGATTTTATATGAAGATATTCCGGTTTCCAACGAAACCTTCAAAGCTATCCAAATATCCACTTGCAGATCCTACAAAAAGAGTGTTTCCAAAGCGTTGTATCCAAACAAAGGTTCAACTCTTTTAGTTGAGAACACACATCGCAAATAAGTTTCTGAGAATGCTTCTGTCTAGTATTTATTTGAAGATATTTCCTTTTTCACCACACGCCTGAAAGCGCTTCAAACGTCCGCTTGCAGATACTACAGAAAGAGTGTTTCAAACCTGCTCTATGAAAGGGAATGTTCAGTTCTGTGACTTGAATGCAAACATCACAAAGAAGTTCCTGAGAATGCTTCTCTCTAGATTTTATATGTAATCCCGTTTCCAACGAAATCCTCAAAGCTATCCAAATATCCACTTTCAGATTCCACAAAAAGAGTGTTTCAAAACTGCTCTGTAAAAAGAAAGGTTCATCTCTGTTAGTTGAATACACACATCACAAACAAGTTTCTGAGAATGCTTCTGTCTAGTTTTTATGGGAAGATATTTCCTTTTTCAACATTGGCCTCAAAGCGCTCCAAACGTCCACTTCCGGGTAGTGCAGAAAGAGTGTCTCAAACCTGGTATATAACAGGGAACATTCAACTCTGTGACTTGAATGAAAACATCACAAAGCAGTTTCTGAGAATGCTTCCGTCTAGATTTTATATGAAGATATTCCCGTTTCCAACGAAACCTTCAAAGCTATCCGAATATCCACCTGCAGATTCTACAAAAAGAGTGTTTCCAAAATGCCGTATCAAAACAAAGGTTCAACTCTGTTAGTTGAGAACACACATGGCAAATAAGTTTCTGAGAATGCTTCTGTCTAGTTTTTACTTGAAGATATTTCCTTTGTCACCATAGGCCTGAAAGCGCTTGAAACGTCAGCTTGCAGATACTACAGAAAGAGTGTTTCAAACCTGCTCTATGAAAGGGAATGTTCAGTTCTGTGACTTGAATGCAAACATCACAAAGAAGTTCCTGAGAATGCTTCTCTCTAGGTTTTATATGTAATCCCGTTTCCAACGAAATCCTCAAAGCTATCCAAATATCCACTTTCAGATTCCACAAAAAGAGTGTTTCAAAACTGCTCTGTAAAAAGAAAGGTTCATCTCTGTTAGTTGAATACACACATCACAAACAAGTTTCTGAGAATGCTTCTGTCTAGTTTTTATGGGAAGATATTTCCTTTTTCTACATAGGCCTCAAAGCGCTCCAAATGTCCACATCCAGGTAGTGCAGAAAGAGTGTCTCAAACCTGGTATATAACAGGGAACATTCTACTCTGTGACTTGAATGAAAACATCACAAAGCACTTTCTGAGAATGCTTCCGTCTAGATTTTATATGAAGATATTCCCGTTTCCAACGAAACCTTCAAAGCTATCCGAATATCCACCTGCAGATTCTACAAAAAGAGTGTTTCCAAAATGCCGTATCAAAACAAAGGTTCAACTCTGTTAGTTGAGAACACACATCGCAAATAAGTTTCTGAGAATGTTTCTGTCTAGATTTTATATGAATATATCCCGTTTCCAAAGAAATCCTCAAAAGTATCCAAATATCTACTTCCAGATTCTACAAAAAGACTGTTTCAAAACGGCTCTGTCAGAAGTAAGGTTCAACTCTGTTACTTGAGTACACACATCACAAGGAAGTTTCTGAGAATGCTTCTGTCTAGTTTTTATGGGAAGATATTTCCTTTTTCAACATAGGCCTCAAAGCGCTCCAAATGTCCACTTCCAGGTAGTGCAGAAAGAGTGTTTCAAACCTGCTCTATAAAAGGGAATATTCAACTCTGTGACTTGAATGAAGACATCACAAAGCAGTTTCTGAGAATGCTTCTGTCTTGATTTTATATGAAGATATTCCCGTTTCCAACGAAACCTTCAAAGCTATTCAAATATCCACTTGCAGATTCTAAAAAAAGAGTGGTTCCAAAATGTTGAATCAAAAGAAAGGTTCAACTCTGTTAGTTGAGGACACACATCGCAAATAAGTTTCTGAGAATGCTTCTGTCTAGTTTTTATTTGAAGATATTTCCTTTCTCACCATAGGCCTGAAAGCGTTTGAAATGTCCGTTTGCAGATACTACAGAAAGAGTGTTTCAAACATGCTCTATGAAAGGGAATGTTCAGTTCTGTGACGTGAATGCAAACATCACAAAGAAGTTCCTGAGAATGCTTCTCTCTAGATTTTATATGTAATCCCGTTTCCAACGAAATCCTCAAAGCTATCCAAATATCCACTTTCAGATTACACAAAAAGAGTGTTTCAAAACTGCTCTGTAAAAAGAAAGGTTCATCTCTGTTAGTTGAATACACACATCACAAACAAGTTTCTGAGAATGCTTCTGTCTAGTTTTTATGGGAAGATATTTCCTTTTTCAACATAGGCCTCAAGGCGCTCCAAATGTCCACTTCCAGGTAGTGCAGAAAGAGTGTTTCAAACCTGCTCTATAAAAGGGAACATTCTACTCTGTTACTTGAATGAAAACATCACAAAGCAGTTTCTGAGAATGCTTCTGTCTTGATTTCATATGAAGATATTCCCGTTTCCAACGAAACCTTCAAAGCTATCCAAATATCCACTTGCAGATTCTACAAAAAGAGTGTTTCCAAAATGTTGTATCAAAAGAAAGGTTCAACTCTGTTAGTTGAGGACACACATCGCAAATAAGTTTCTGAGAATGCTTCTGTCTAGTTTTTATTTGAAGATATTTCCTTTCTCACCACAGGCCTGAAAGCGCTTAAAACGTCCGCTTGCAGATACTACAGAAAGAGTGTTTCAAACCTGATCTATGAAAGGGAATGTTCAGTTCTGTGACTTGAATGCAAACATCACAAAGAAGTTCCTGAGAATGCTTCTCCCTAGATTTTATATGTAATCCCGTTTCCAACGAAATCCGCAAAGCTATCCAAATATCCACTTTCAGATTCCACAAAAAGAGTGTTTCAAAACTGCTCTGTAAAAAGAAAGGTTCATCTCTGTTAGTTGAATACACACATCACAAACAAGTTTCTGAGAATGCTTCTGTCTAGTTTTTATGGGAAGATATTACCTTTTTCATCATAGGCCTCAAAGCGCTGCAAATGTCCACTTCCAAATATTACAAAAAGAGTGTTTCAAACCTGCTCTATGAGGGGAAGTGTTCAACTCTATGAGTTGAATGCAAACATCACAGAGAAGTTTCTGAGAATGCTTCTGTCTTGATTTTATATGAAGATATTCCCGTTTCCAACGAAACCTTCAAAGCTATTCAAATATCCACTTGCAGATTCTACAAAAAGAGTGTTTCCAAAATGTTGTATCAAAAGAAAGGTTCAACTCTGTTAGTTGAGGACACACATCGCAAATAAGTTTCTGAGAATGCTTCTGTCTAGTTTTTACTTGAAGATATTTCCTTTCTCACCATAGGCCTGAAAGCGTTTGAAATGTCCGTTTGCAGATACTACAGAAAGAGTGTTTCAAACATGCTCTATGAAAGGGAATGTTCAGTTCTGTGACGTAAATGCAAACATCACAAAGAAGTTCCTGAGAATGCTTCTCTCTAGATTTTATATGTAATCCCGTTTCCAACGAAATCCTCAAAGCTATCCAAATATCCACTTTCAGATTCCACAAAAAGAGTGTTTCAAAACTGCTCTGTAAAAAGAAAGGTTCATCTCTGTTAGTTGAATACACACATCACAAACAAGTTTCTGAGAATGCTTCTGTCTAGTTTTTATGGGAAGATATTTCCTTTTTCATCATAGGCCTCAAAGCGCTGCAAATGTCCACTTCCAGGTAGTGCAGAAAGAGTGTCTGAAACCTGGTATATAACAGGGAAGATTCTACTCTGTGACTTGAATGAAAACATCACAAAGCAGTTTCTGAGAATGCTTCCGTCTAGATTTTATATGAAGATATTCCCGTTTCAAACGAAACCTTCAAAGCTATCCGAATATCCACCTGCAGATTCTACAAAAAGAGTGTTTCCAAAATGCCATATCAAAACAAAGGTTCAACTCTGTTAGTTGAGAACACACATCGCAAATAAGTTTCTGAGAATGCTTCTGTCTAGTTTTTACTTGAAGATATTTCCTTTGTCACCGTAGGCCTGAAAGCGCTTGAAACGTCAGCTTGCAGATACTACAGAAAGAGTGTTTCAAACCTGCTCTATGAAAGGGAATGTTCAGTCCTGTGACTTGAAGGCAAACATCACAAAGAAGTTCCTGAGAATGCTTCTCTCTAGGTTTTATATGTAATCCCGTTTCCAACGAAATCCTCAAAGCTATCCAAATATCCACTTTCAGATTCCACAAAAAGAGTGTTTCAAAACTGCTCTGTAAAAAGAAAGGTTCATCTCTGTTAGTTGAATACACACATCACAAACAAGTTTCTGAGAATGCTTCTGTCTAGTTTTTATGGGAAGATATTTCCTTTTTCAACATAGGCCTCAAAGCGCTCCAAATGTCCACTTCCAGGTAGTGCAGAAAGAGTGTTTCAAACCTGCTCTATAAAAGGGAATATTCAACTGTGTGACTTGAATGCAAACATCACAAAGCACTTTCTGAGAATGCTTCCGTCTAGATTTTATATGAAGATATTCCCGTTTCCAAGGAAATCTTCCTAGCTATCTAAATATCAACTTGCATATCCTACTAAAGGAGTGTTTCCAAAATGCTGTATCCACACAAAGTTTCAACTCTGTTAATTGAGGACATACAGCACAAAGAAGTTTCTGAGAATGCTTCTGTTTAGTTTTTATTTGAAGATATTTCCTTTCTCACCATAGGCCTGAAAGCGTTTGAAATGTCCGTTTGCAGATACTACAGAAAGAGTGTTTCAAACATGCTCTATGAAAGGGAATGTTCAGCTCTGTGACGTGAATGCAAACATCACAAAGAAGTTCTTGAGAATGCTTCTCTCTAGATTTTATATGTAATCCCGTTTCCAACGAAATCCTCAAAGCTATCCAAATATCCACTTTCAGATTCCACAAAAAGAGTGTTTCAAAACTGCTCTGTAAAAAGAAAGGTTCATCTCTGTTAGTTGAATACACACATCACAAACAAGTTTCTGAGAATGCTTCTGTCTAGTTTTTATGGGAAGATATTTCCTTTTTCATCTTAGGCCTCAAAGCGCTCCAAATGTCCACTTCCAGGTAGTGCAGAAATAGTGTCTCAAACCTGGTATATAACAGGGAACATTCTACTCTGTGACTTGAATGAAAACATCACAAAGCAGTTTCTGAGAATGCTTCTGTCTTGATTTCATATGAAGATATTCCCGTTTCCAACGAAACCTTCAAAGCTATCCAAATATCCACTTGCAGATTCTACAAAAAGAGTGTTTCCAAAATGTTGTATCAAAAGAAAGGTTCAACTCTGTTAGTTGAGGACACACATCGCAAATAAGTTTCTGAGAATGCTTCTGTCTAGTTTTTACTTGAAGATATTTCCTTTCTCACCATAGGCCTGAAAGCGCTTGAAATGTCCGTTTGCAGATACTACAGAAAGAGTGTTTCAAACCTGCTCTATGAAAGGGAATGTTCAGTTCTGTGACTTGAATGCAAACATCACAAAGAAGTTCCTGAGAATGCTTCTCTCTAGATTTTATATGTAATCCCGTTTCCAACGAAATCCTCAAAGCTATCCAAATATCCACTTTCAGATTCCACAAAAAGAGTGTTTCAAAACTGCTCTGTAAAAAGAAAGGTTCATCTCTGTTAGTTGAATACACACATCACAAACAAGTTTCTGAGAATGCTTCTGTCTAGTTTTTATGGGAAGATATTTCCTTTTTCATCATAGGCCTCAAAGCGCTGCAAATGTCCACTTCCAGGTAGTGCAGAAAGAGTGTCTCAAACCTGGTATATAACAGGGAACATTCTACTCTGTGACTTGAATGAAAACATCACAAAGCAGTTTCTGAGAATGCTTCCGTCTAGATTTTATATGAAGATATTCCCGTTTCCAACGAAACCTTCAAAGCTATCCGAATATCCACCTGCAGATTCTACAAAAAGAGTGTTTCCAAAATGCCGTATCAAAACAAAGGTTCAACTCTGTTAGTTGAGAACACACATGGCAAATAAGTTTCTGAGAATGCTTCTGTCTAGTTTTTACTTGAAGATATTTCCTTTCTCACCATAGGCCTGAAAGCGCTTGAAACGTCAGCTTGCAGATACTACAGAAAGAGTGTTTCAAACCTGCTCTATGAAAGGGAATGTTCAGTTCTGTGACTTGAATGCAAACATCACAAAGAAGTTCCTGAGAATGCTTCTCTCTAGGTTTTATATGTAATCCCGTTTCCAAGGAAATCCTCAAAGCTATCCAAATATCCACTTTCAGATTCCACAAAAAGAGTGTTTCAAAACTGCTCTATCAAAAGAAAGGTTCATCCCTGTTAGTTGAATACACACATCACAAACAAGTTTCTGAGAATGCTTCTGTCTAGTTTTTATGGGAAGATATTTCCTTTTTCAACATAGGCCTCAAAGCGCTACAAACGTCCACTTCCAGGTAGTGCAGAAAGAGTGTCTCAAACCTGGTATATAACAGGGAACATTCTACTCTGTGACTTGAATGAAAACATCACAAAGCAGTTTCTGAGAATGCTTCTGTCTTGATTTCATATGAAGATATTCCCGTTTCCAACGAAACCTTCAAAGCTATCCAAATATCCACTTGCAGATTCTACAAAAAGAGTGTTTCCAAAATGTTGTATCAAAAGAAAGGTTCAACTCTGTTAGTTGAGGACACACATCGCAAATAAGTTTCTGAGAATGCTTCTGTCTAGTTTTTATTTGAAGATATTTCCTTTCTCACCACAGGCCTGAAAGCGCTTAAAACGTCCGCTTGCAGATACTACAGAAAGAGTGTTTCAAACCTGCTCTATGAAAGGGAACGTTCAGTCCTGTGACTTGAATGCAAACATCACAAAGAAGTTCCTGAGAATGCTTCTCTCTAGGTTTTATATGTAATCCCGTTTCCAACGAAATCCTCAAAGCTATCCAAATATCCACTTTCAGATTCCACAAAAAGAGTGTTTCAAAACTGCTCTGTAAAAAGAAAGGTTCATCTCTGTTAGTTGAATACACACATCACAAACAAGTTTCTGAGAATGCTTCTGTCTGGTTTTTAGGAGAAGATATTTCCTTTTTCAACATAGGCCTCAAAGCGCTGCAAATGTCCACTTCCAAATATTACAAAAAGAGTGTTTCAAACCTGCTCTATGAAGGGAAGTGTTCAACTCTATGAGTTGAATGCAAACATCACAGAGAAGTTTCTGAGAATGCTTCTGTCTTGATTTTATATGAAGATATTCCGGTTTCCAACGAAACCTTCAAAGCTATCCAAATATCCACTTGCAGATTCTACAAAAAGAGTGTTTCCAAAATGTTGTATCAAAACAAAGGTTCAACTCTGTTAGTTGAGGACACACATCGCAAATAAGTTTCTGAGAATGCTTCTGTCTAGTTTTTATTTGAAGATATTTCCTTTCTTACCATAGGCCTGAAAGCGCTTGAAATGTCCGTTTGCAGATACTACAGAAAGAGTGTTTCAAACATGCTCTATGAAAGGGAATGTTCAGTTCTGTGACGTGAATGCAAACATCACAAAGAAGTTCCTGAGAATGCTTCTCTCTAGATTTTATATGTAATCCCGTTTCCAACGAAATCCTCAAAGCTATCCAAATATCCACTTTCAGATTCCACAAAAAGAGTGTTTCAAAACTGTTCTGTAAAAAGAAAGGTTCATCTCTGTTAGTTGAATACACACATCACAAACAAGTTTCTGAGAATGCTTCTGTCTAGTTTTTATGGGAAGATATTTCCTTTTTCATCATAGGCCTCAAAGCGCTCCAAATGTCCACTTCCAGATAGTGCAGAAAGAGTGTCTCAAACCTCGTATATAAAAGGGAACATTCTACTCTGTGACTTGAATGAAAACATCACAAAGCAGTTTCTGAGAATGCTTCCGTCTAGATTTTATATGAAGATATTCCCGTTTCCAACGAAACCTTCAAAGCTATCCGAATATCCACCTGCAGATTCTACAAAAAGAGTGTTTCCAAAATGCCGTATCAAAACAAAGGTTCAACTCTGTTAGTTGAGAACACACATGGCAAATAAGTTTCTGAGAATGCTTCTGTCTAGTTTTTACTTGAAGATATTTCCTTTCTCACCATAGGCCTGAAAGCGCTTGAAACGTCAGCTTGCAGATACTACAGAAAGAGTGTTTCAAACCTGCTCTATGAAAGGGAATGTTCAGTCCTGTGACTTGAATGCAAACATCACAAAGAAGTTCCTGAGAATGCTTCTCTCTAGGTTTTATATGTAATCCCGTTTCCAACGAAATCCTCAAAGCTATCCAAATATCCACTTTCAGATTCCACAAAAAGAGTGTTTCAAAACTGCTCTGTAAAAAGAAAGGTTCATCTCTGTTAGTTGAATACACACATCACAAACAAGTTTCTGAGAATGCTTCTGTCTAGTTTTTATGGGAAGATATTTCCTTTTTCATCATAGGCCTCAAAGCGCTGCAAATGTCCACTTCCAAATATTACAAAAAGAGTGTTTCAAACCTGCTGTATGAAGGGAAGTGTTCAACTCTATGAGTTGAATGCAAACATCACAGAGAAGTTTCTGAGAATGCTTCTGTCTTGATTTCATATGAAGATATTCCCGTTTCCAACGAAACCTTCAAAGCTATCCAAATATCCACTTGCAGATTCTACAAAAAGAGTGTTTCCAAAATGTTGTATCAAAAGAAAGGTTCAACTCTGTTAGTTGAGGACACACATCGCAAATAAGTTTCTGAGAATGCTTCTGTCTAGTTTTTATTTGAAGATATTTCCTTTCTCACCACAGGCCTGAAAGCGCTTAAAACGTCCGCTTGCAGATACTACAGAAAGAGTGTTTCAAACCTGCTCTAAGAAAGGGAATGTTCAGTTCTGTGACTTGAATGCAAACATCACAAAGAAGTTCCTGAGAATGCTTCTCCCTAGATTTTATATGTAATCCCGTTTCCAACGAAATCCGCAAAGCTATCCAAATATCCACTTTCAGATTCCACAAAAAGAGTGTTTCAAAACTGCTCTGTAAAAAGAAAGGTTCATCTCTGTTAGTTGAATACACACATCACAAACAAGTTTCTGAGAATGCTTCTGTCTAGTTTTTATGGGAAGATATTTCCTTTTTCAACATAGGTCTCAAAGCGCTCCAAATGTCCACTTCCAGGTAGTGCAGAAAGAGTGTTTCAAACCTGCTCTATAAAAGGGAACATTCTACTCTGTGACTTGAATGAAGACATCACAAAGCACTTTCTGAGAATGCTTCTGTCTTGATTTCATATGAAGATATTCCCGTTTCCAACGAAACCTTCAAAGCTATCCAAATATCCACTTGCAGATTCTACAAAAAGAGTGTTTCCAAAATGTTGTATCAAAAGAAAGGTTCAACTCTGTTAGTTGAGGACACACATCGCAAATAAGTTTCTGAGAATGCTTCTGTCTAGTTTTTATTTGAAGATATTTCCTTTCTCACCACAGGCCTGAAAGCGCTTAAAACGTCCGCTTGCAGATACTACAGAAAGAGTGTTTCAAACATGCTCTATGAAAGGGAATGTTCAGTTCTGTGACTTGAATGCAAACATCACAAAGAAGTTCCTGAGAATGCTTCTCTCTAGGTTTTATATGTAATCCCGTTTCCAACGAAATCCTCAAAGCTATCCAAATATCCACTTTCAGATTCCACAAAAAGAGTGTTTCAAAACTGCTCTGTAAAAAGAAAGGTTCATCTCTGTTAGTTGAATACACACATCACAAACAAGTTTCTGAGAATGCTTCTGTCTAGTTTTCATGGGAAGATATTTCCTTTTTCATCATAGGCCTCAAAGCGCTGCAAATGTCCACTTCCAGGTAGTGCAGAAAGAGTGTCTGAAACCTGGTATATAACAGGGAAGATTCTACTCTGTGACTTGAATGAAAACATCACAAAGCAGTTTCTGAGAATGCTTCCGTCAAGATTTTATATGAAGATATTCCCGTTTCCAACGAAACCTTCAAAGCTATCCGAATATCCACCTGCAGATTCTACAAAAAGAGTGTTTCCAAAATGCCGTATCAAAACAAAGGTTCAACTCTGTTAGTTGAGAACACACATGGCAAATAAGTTTCTGAGAATGCTTCTGTCTAGTTTTTATTTGAAGATATTTCCTTTTTCACCACAGGCCTGAAAGCGCTTGAAACGTCCACTTGCAGATACTACAGAAAGAGTGTTTCAAACCTGCTGTATGAAAGGGAATGTTCAGTTCTGTGACTTCAATGCAAACATCACAAAGAAGTTCCTGAGAATGCTTCTCTCTAGATTTTATATGTAATCCCGTTTCCAACGAAATCCTCAAAGCTATCCAAATATCCACTTTCAGATTCCACAAAAAGAGTGTTTCAAAACTGCTCTGTAAAAAGAAAGGTTCATCTCTGTTAGTTGAATACACACATCACAAACAAGTTTCTGAGAATGCTTCTGTCTAGTTTTTATGGGAAGATATTTCCTTTTTCAACATTGGCCTCAAAGCGCTCCAAACGTCCACTTCCGCGTAGTGCAGAAAGAGTGTCTCAAACCTGGTATATAACAGGGAACATTCTACTCTGTGACTTGAATGAAAACATCACAAAGCAGTTTCTGAGAATGCTTCCGTCTAGATTTTATATGAAGATATTCCCGTTTCCAACGAAACCTTCAAAGCTATCCGAATATCCACCTGCAGATTCTACAAAAAGAGTGTTTCCAAAATGCCGTATCAAAACAAAGGTTCAACTCTGTTAGTTGAGAACACACATGGCAAATAAGTTTCTGAGAATGCTTCTGTCTAGTTTTTACTTGAAGATATTTCCTTTCTCACCATAGGCCTGAAAGCGCTTGAAACGTCAGCTTGCAGATACTACAGAAGGAGTGTTTCAAACCTGCTCTATGAAAGGGAATGTTCAGTCCTGTGACTTGAAGGCAAACATCACAAAGAAGTTCCTGAGAATGCTTCTCTCTAGGTTTTATATGTAATCCCGTTTCCAACGAAATCCTCAAAGCTATCCAAATATCCACTTTCAGATTCCACAAAAAGAGTGTTTCAAAACTGCTCTGTAAAAAGAAAGGTTCATCTCTGTTAGTTGAATACACACATCACAAACAAGTTTCTGAGAATGCTTCTGTCTAGTTTTTATGGGAAGATATTTCCTTTTTCAACATAGGCCTCAAAGCTCTCCAAATGTCCACTTCCAGGTAGTGCAGAAAGAGTGTTTCAAACCTGCTCTATAAAAGGGAATATTCAACTCTGTGACTTGAATGCAAACATCACAAAGCACTTTCTGAGAATGCTTCCGTCTAGATTTTATATGAAGATATTCCCGTTTCCAACGAAACCTTCAAAGCTATCCGAATATCCACCTGCAGATTCTACAAAAAGAGTGTTTCCAAAATGCCATATCAAAACAAAGGTTCAACTCTGTTAGTTGAGAACACACATGGCAAATATGTTTCTGAGAATGCTTCTGTCTAGTTTTTACTTGAAGATATTTCCTTTCTCACCATAGGCCTGAAAGCGCTTGAAACGTCAGCTTGCAGATACTACAGAAAGAGTGTTTCAAACCTGCTCTATGAAAGGGAATGTTCAGTTCTGTGACTTGAATGCAAACATCACAAAGAAGTTCCTGAGAATGCTTCTCTCTAGATTTTATATGTAATCCCGTTTCCAACGAAATCCTCAAAGCTATCCAAATATCCACTTTCAGATTCCACAAAAAGAGTGTTTCAAAACTGCTCTGTAAAAAGAAAGGTTCATCTCTGTTAGTTGAATACACACATCACAAACAAGTTTCTGAGAATGCTTCTGTCTAGTTTTTATGGGAAGATATTTCCTTTTTCAACATAGGCCTCAAAGCGCTCCAAACGTCCACTTCCAGGTAGTGCAGAAAGAGTGTCTCAAACCTGGTGTATAACAGGGAACATTCTACTCTGTGACTTGAATGAAAACATCACAAAGCAGTTTCTGAGAATGCTTCCGTCTAGATTTTATATGAAGATATTCCCGTTTCCAACGAAACCTTCAAAGCTATCCGAATATCCACCTGCAGATTCTAGAAAAAGAGTGTTTCCAAAATGCCATATCAAAACAAAGGTTCAACTCTGTTAGTTGAGAACACACATGGCAAATAAGTTTCTGAGAATGCTTCTGTCTAGTTTTTACTTGAAGATATTTCCTTTCTCACCATAGGCCTGAAAGCGCTTGAAACGTCAGCTTGCAGATACTACAGAAAGAGTGTTTCAAACCTGCTCTATGAAAGGGAATGTTCAGTCCTGTGACTTGAAGGCAAACATCACAAAGAAGTTCCTGAGAATGCTTCTCTCTAGGTTTTATATGTAATCCCGTTTCCAACGAAATCCTCAAAGCTATCCAAATATCCACTTTCAGATTCCACAAAAAGAGTGTTTCAAAACTGCTCTGTAAAAAGAAAGGTTCATCTCTGTTAGTTGAATACACACATCACAAACAAGTTTCTGAGAATGCTTCTGTCTAGTTTTTTATGGGAAGATATTTCCTTTTTCATCATAGGCCTCAAAGCGCTGCAAATGTCCACTTCCAGGTAGTGCAGAAAGAGTGTCTCAAACCTGGTATATAACAGGGAACATTCTACTCTGTGACTTGAATGAAAACATCACAAAGCAGTTTCTGAGAATGCTTCCGTCTAGATTTTATATGAAGATATTCCCGTTTCCAACGAAACCTTCAAAGCTATCCGAATATCCACCTGCAGATTCTACAAAAAGAGTGTTTCCAAAATGCCGTATCAAAACAAAGGTTCAACTCTGTTAGTTGAGAACACACATGGCAAATAAGTTTCTGAGAATGCTTCTGTCTAGTTTTTATTTGAAGATATTTCCTTTCTCACCATAGGCCTGAAAGCGTTTGAAATGTCCGTTTGCAGATACTACAGAAAGAGTGTTTCAAACATGCTCTATGAAAGGGAATGTTCAGTTCTGTGACGTGAATGCAAACATCACAAAGAAGTTCCTGAGAATGCTTCTCTCTAGATTTTATATGTAATCCCGTTTCCAACGAAATCCTCAAAGCTATCCAAATATCCACTTTCAGATTCCACAAAAAGAGTGTTTCAAAACTGCTCTGTAAAAAGAAAGGTTCATCTCTGTTAGTTGAATACACACATCACAAACAAGTTTCTGAGAATGCTTCTGTCTAGTTTTTATGGGAAGATATTTCCTTTTTCAACATATGCCTCAAAGCGCTCCAAACGTCCACTTCCAGGTAGTGCAGAAAGAGTGTCTCAAACCTGGTATATAACAGGGAACATTCTACTCTGTGACTTGAATGAAAACATCACAAAGCAGTTTCTGAGAATGCTTCTGTCTTGATTTTATATGAGGATATTCCCGTTTTCAACGAAACCTTCAAAGCTATCCAAATATCCACCTGCAGATCCTACAAAAAGAGTGTTTCCAAAATGCTGTATCAAAACAAAGGTTCAACTCTGTTAGTTGAGAACACACATCGCAAATAAGTTTCTGAGAATGCTTCTGTCTAGTTTTTATTTGAAGATATTTCCTTTTTCACCACAGGCCTGAAAGCGCTTGAAACCTCCGCTTGCAGATACTACAGAAAGAGTGTTTCAAACCTGCTCTATGAAAGGGAATGTTCAGTTCTGTGACTTGAATGCAAACATTACAAAGAAGTTCCTGAGAATGCTTCTCTCTAGGTTTTATATGTAATCCCGTTTCCAACGAAATCCTCAAATCTATCCAAATACCCACTTTCAGATTCCACAAAAAGAGTGTTTCAAAACTGCTCTGTAAAAAGAAAGGTTCATCTCTGTTAGTTGAATACACACATCACAAACCAGTTTCTGAGAATGCTTCTGTCTAGTTTTTATGGGAAGATATTTCCTTTTTCATCATAGGCCTCAAAGCGCTCCAAATGTCCACTTCCAGATAGTGCAGAAAGAGTGTCTCAAACCTGGTATATAAAAGGGAACATTCTACTCTGTGGCTTGAATGCAAACATCACAAAGCACTTTCTGAGAATGCTTCCGTCTAGATTTTATATGAAGATATTCCCGTTTCCAACGAAACCTTCAAAGCTATCCGAATATCCACCTGCAGATTCTACAAAAAGAGTGTTTCCAAAATGCCGTATCAAAACAAAGGTTCAACTCTGTTAGTTGAGAACACACATGGCAAATAAGTTTCTGAGAATGCTTCTGTCTAGTTTTTACTTGAAGATATTTCCTTTCTCACCATAGGCCTGAAAGCGCTTGAAACGTCAGCTTGCAGATACTACAGAAAGAGTGTTTCAAACCTGCTCTATGAAAGGGAATGTTCAGTTCTGTGACTTGAATGCAAACATCACAAAGAAGTTCCTGAGAATGCTTCTCTCTAGATTTTATATGTAATCCCGTTTCCAACGAAATCCTCAAAGCTATCCAAATATCCACTTTCAGATTCCACAAAAAGAGTGTTTCAGAACTGCTCTGTAAAAAGAAAGGTTCATCTCTGTTAGTTGAATACACACATCACAAACAAGTTTCTGAGAATGCTTCTGTCTAGTTTTTATGGGAAGATATTTCCTTTTTCATCATAGGCCTCAAAGCGCTCCAAATGTCCACTTCCAGGTAGTGCAGAAAGAGTGTCTCAAACCTGGTATATAAAAGGGAACATTCCACTCTGTGACTTGAATGAAAACATCACAAAGCAGTTTCTGAGAATGCTTCCGTCTAGATTTTATATGAAGATATTCCCGTTTCCAACGAAACCTTAAAAGCTATCCGAATATCCACCTGCAGATTCTACAAAAAGAGTGTTTCCAAAATGCCGTATCAAAACAAAGGTTCAACTCTGTTAGTTGAGAACACACATGGCAAATAAGTTTCTGAGAATGCTTCTGTCTAGTTTTTATTTGAAGATATTTCCTTTCTCACCATAGGCCTGAAAGCGTTTGAAATGTCCGTTTGCAGATACTACAGAAAGAGTGTTTCAAACATGCTCTATGAAAGGGAATGTTCAGTTCTGTGACGTGAATGCAAACATCACAAAGAAGTTCCTGAGAATGCTTCTCTCTAGGTTTTATATGGAATCCCGTTTCCAACGAAATCCTCAAAGCTATCCAAATATCCACTTTCAGATTCCAGAAAAAGAGTGTTTCAAAACTGCTCTGTAAAAAGAAAGGTTCATCTCTGTTAGTTGAATACACACATCACAAACAAGTTTCTGAGAATGCTTCTGTCTAGTTTTTATGGGAAGATATTTCCTTTTTCAGCATAGGCCTCAAAGCGCTCCAAATGTCCACTTCCAGGTAGTGCAGAAAGAGTGTCTCAAACCTGGTATATAACAGGGAACATTGTACTCTGTGACTTGAATGAAAACATCACAAAGCACTTTCTGAGAATGCTTCTGTCTTGATTTTATATCAAGATATTCCCGTTTCCAACGAAACCTTCAAAGCTATCCAAATATCCACTTGCAGATTCTACAAAAAGAGTGTTTCCAAAATGTTGTATCCAAACAAAGGTTCAACTCTGTTAGTTGAGAACTCACATCGCAAATAAGTTTCTGAGAATGCTTCTGTCTAGTTTTTATTTGAAGATATTTCCTTTCTCACCATAGGCCTGAAAGCGTTTGAAATGTCCGTTTGCAGATACTACAGAAAGAGTGTTTCAAACATGCTCTATGAAAGGGAATGTTCAGTTCTGTGACGTGAATGCAAACATCACAAAGAAGTTCCTGAGAATGCTTCTCTCTAGATTTTATATGTAATCCCGTTTCCAACGAAATCCTCAAAGCTATCCAAATATCCACTTTCAGATTCCACAAAAAGAGTGTTTCAAAACTGCTCTGTAAAAAGAAAGGTTCATCTCTGTTAGTTGAATACACACATCAGAAAGAAGTTTCTGAGAATGCTTCTGTCTAGTTTTTATGGGAAGATATTTCCTTTTTCAACAAAGGCCTCAAAGCGCTCCAAACGTCCACTTCCAGGTAGTGCAGAAAGAGTGTCTCAAACCTGGTATATAACAGGGAACATTCTACTCTGTGACTTGAATGAAAACATCACAAAGCAGTTTCTGAGAATGCTTCCGTCTAGATTTTATATGAAGATATTCCCGTTTCCAACGAAACCTTCAAAGCTATCCGAATATCCACCTGCAGATTCTACAAAAAGAGTGTTTCCAAAATGCCGTATCAAAACAAAGGTTCAACTCTGTTAGTTGAGAACACACATGGCAAATAAGTTTCTGAGAATGCTTCTGTCTAGTTTTTACTTGAAGATATTTCCTTTCTCACCATAGGCCTGAAAGCGCTTGAAACGTCAGCTTGCAGATACTACAGAAAGACTGTTTCAAACCTGCTCTATGAAAGGGAATGTTCAGTTCTGTGACTTGAATGCAAACATCACAAAGAAGTTCCTGAGAATGCTTCTCTCTAGATTTTATATGTAATCCCGTTTCCAACGAAATCCTCAAAGCTATCCAAATATCCACTTTCAGATTCCACAAAAAGAGTGTTTCAAAACTGCTCTGTAAAAAGAAAGGTTCATCTCTGTTAGTTGAATACACACATCACAAACAAGTTTCTGAGAATGCTTCTGTCTAGTTTTTATGGGAAGATATTTCGTTTTTCAACATAGGCCTCAAAGCGCTCCAAATGTCCACTTCCAGGTAGTGCAGAAAGAGTGTTTCAAACCTGCTCTATAAAAGGGAATATTCAACTCTGTGACTTGAATGCAAACATCACAAAGCACTTTCTGAGAATGCTTCCGTCTAGATTTTATATGAAGATATTCCCGTTTCCAACGAAACCTTCAAAGCTATCCGAATATCCACCTGCAGATTCTACAAAAAGAGTGTTTCCAAAATGCCATATCAAAACAAAGGTTCAACTCTGTTAGTTGAGAACACACATGGCAAATAAGTTTCTGAGAATGCTTCTGTCTAGTTTTTACTTGAAGATATTTCCTTTCTCACCATAGGCCTGAAAGCGCTTGAAACGTCAGCTTGCAGATACTACAGAAAGAGTGTTTCAAACCTGCTCTATGAAAGGGAATGTTCAGTCCTGTGACTTGAATGCAAACATCACAAAGAAGTTCCTGAGAATGCTTCTCTCTAGGTTTTATATGGAATCCCGTTTCCAACGAAATCCTCAAAGCTATCCAAATATCCACTTTCAGATTCCACAAAAAGAGTGTTTCAAAACTGCTCTGTAAAAAGAAAGGTTCATCTCTGTTAGTTGAATACACACATCACAAACAAGTTTCTGAGAATGCTTCTGTCTAGTTTTTATGGGAAGATATTTCCTTTTTCAACATAGGCCTCAAAGCGCTCCAAATGTCCACTTCCAGGTAGTGCAGAAAGAGTGTTTCAAACCTGCTCTATAAAAGGGAATATTCAACTCTGTGACTTGAATGCAAACATCACAAAGCACTTTCTGAGAATGCTTCTGTCTAGATTTTATATGAAGATATTCCCGTTTCCAACGAAACCTTCAAAGCTATCCGAATATCCACCTGCAGATTCTACAAAAAGAGTGTTTCCAAAATGCCATATCAAAACAAAGGTTCAACTCTGTTAGTTGAGAACACACATGGCAAATAAGTTTCTGAGAATGCTTCCTGTCTAGTTTTTACTTGAAGATATTTCCTTTCTCACCATAGGCCTGAAAGCGCTTGAAACGTCAGCTTGCAGATACTACAGAAAGAGTGTTTCAAACCTGCTCTATGAAAGGGAATGTTCAGTCCTGTGACTTGAAGGCAAACATCACAAAGAAGTTCCTGAGAATGCTTCTGTCTAGATTTTATATGAAGATATCCCGTGTCCAACGAAATCCTCAAAGGTATCAAAATATCCACTTGCAGATTCTACAAAAAGAGTGCTTCAAAACTGATCTGTCAAAAGGAAGGTTCAACTCTGTTACTTGTGTACACATATCACAAGGAAGTTTCCGAGAATGCTTCCTGTCTAGTTTTTATGGGAAGATATTTCCTTTTTCATCATAGGCCTCAAAGCGCTGCAAATGTCCACTTCCAAATATTACAAAAAGAGTGTTTCAAACCTGCTGTATGAAGGGAAGTGTTCAACTCTATGAGTTGAATGCAAACATCACAGAGAAGTTTCTGAGAATGCTTCTGTCTTGATTTTATATGAAGATATTCCCGTTTCCAACGAAACCTTCAAAGCTATCCAAATATCCACTAGCAGATTCTACAAAAAGAGTGTTTCCAAAATGATGTATCCAAACAAAGGTTCAACTCTGTTAGTTGAGAACACACATCGCAAATAAGTTTCTGAGAATGCTTCTGTCTAATTTTTATTTGAAGATATTTCCTTTTTCACCACAGGCCTGAAAGCGCTTCAAACGTCCGCTTGCAGATACTACAGACAGAGTGTTTCAAACCTGCTCTATGAAAGGGAATGTTCAGTTCTGTGACTTGAATGCAAACATCACAAAGAAGTTCCTGAGAATGCTTCTCTCTAGATTTTATATGTAATCCCGTTTCCAACGAAATCCTCAAAGCTATCCAAATATCCACTTTCAGATTCCACAAAAAGAGTGTTTCAAAACTGCTCTGTAAAAAGAAAGGTTCATCTCTGTTAGTTGAATACACACATCACAAACAAGTTTCTGAGAATGCTTCTGTCTAGTTTTTATGGGAAGATATTTCCTTTTTCATCATAGGCCTCAAAGCGCTGCAAATGTCCACTTCCAGGTAGTGCAGAAAGAGTGTCTCAAACCTGGTATATAACAGGGAACATTCTACTCTGTGACTTGAATGAAAACATCACAAAGCAGTTTCTGAGAATGCTTCCGTCTAGATTTTATATGAAGATATTCCCGTTTCCAACGAAACGTTCAAAGCTATCCGAATATCCACCTGCAGATTCTACAAAAAGAGTGTTTCCAAAATGCCATATCAAAACAAAGGTTCAACTCTGTTAGTTGAGAACACACATCGCAAATAAGTTTCTGAGAATGCTTCTGTCTAGTTTTTACTTGAAGATATTTCCTTTCTCACCATAGGCCTGAAAGCGCTTGAAACGTCAGCTTGCAGATACTACAGAAAGACTGTTTCAAACCTGCTCTATGAAAGGGAATGTTCAGTTCTGTGACTTGAATGCAAACATCACAAAGAAGTTCCTGAGAATGCTTCTCTCTAGATTTTATATGTAATCCCGTTTCCAACGAAATCCTCAAAGCTATCCAAATATCCACTTTCAGATTCCACAAAAAGAGTGTTTCAAAACTGCTCTGTAAAAAGAAAGGTTCATCTCTGTTAGTTGAATACACACATCACAAACAAGTTTCTGAGAATGCTTCTGTCTAGTTTTTATGGGAAGATATTTCCTTTTTCATCATAGGCCTCAAAGCGCTCCAAATGTCCACTTCCAGATAGTGCAGAAAGAGTGTCTCAAACCTGGTATATAAAAGGGAACATTCTACTCTGTGACTTGAATGAAAATATCACAAAGCAGTTTCTGAGAATGCTTCCGTCTAGATTTTATATGAAGATATTCCCGTTTCCAACGAAACCTTCAAAGCTATCCGAATATCCACCTGCAGATTCTACAAAAAGAGTGTTTCCAAAATGCCGTATCAAAACAAAGGTTCAACTCTGTTAGTTGAGAACACACATGGCAAATAAGTTTCTGAGAATGCTTCTGTCTAGTTTTTACTTGAAGATATTTCCTTTCTCACCATAGGCCTGAAAGCGCTTGAAACGTCAGCTTGCAGATACTACAGAAAGAGTGTTTCAAACCTGCTCTATGAAAGGGAATGTTCAGTTCTGTGACTTGAATGCAAACATCACAAAGAAGTTCCTGAGAATGCTTCTCTCTAGGTTTTATATGTAATCCCGTTTCCAACGAAATCCTCAAAGCTATCCAAATATCCACTTTCAGATTCCACAAAAAGAGTGTTTCAAAACTGCTCTGTAAAAAGAAAGGTTCATCTCTGTTAGTTGAATACACACATCACAAACAAGTTTCTGAGAATGCTTCTGTCTAGTTTTTATGGGAAGATATTTCCTTTTTCATCATAGGCCTCAAAGCGCTGCAAATGTCCACTTCCAGGTAGTGCAGAAAGAGTGTCTGAAACTTGGTATATAACAGGGAAGATTCTACTCTGTGACTTGAATGAAAACATCACAAAGCACTTTCTGAGAATGCTTCCGTCTAGATTTTATATGAAGATATTCCCGTTTCCAACGAAACCTTCAAAGCTATCCGAATATCCACCTGCAGATTCTACAAAAAGAGTGTTTCCAAAATGCCGTATCAAAACAAAGGTTCAACTCTGTTAGTTGAGAACACACATGGCAAATAAGTTTCTGAGAATGCTTCTGTCTAGTTTTTATTTGAAGATATTTCCTTTCTTACCATAGGCCTGAAAGCGCTTGAAATGTCCGTTTGCAGATACTACAGAAAGAGTGTTTCAAACATGCTCTATGAAAGGGAATGTTCAGTTCTGTGACGTGAATGCAAACATCACAAAGAAGTTCCTGAGAATGCTCCTCTCTAGATTTTATAGGTAATCCCGTTTCCAACGAAATCCTCAAAGCTATCCAAATATCCACTTTCAGATTCCACAAAAAGAGTGTTTCAAAACTGCTCTGTAAAAAGAAAGGTTCATCTCTGTTAGTTGAATACACACATCACAAACAAGTTTCTGAGAATGCTTCTGTCTAGTTTTTATGGGAAGATATTTCCTTTTTCATCATAGGCCTCAAAGCGCTGCAAATGTCCACTTCCAAATATTACAAAAAGAGTGTTTCAAACCTGCTGTATGAAGGGAAGTGTTCAACTCTATGAGTTGAATGCAAACATCACAGAGAAGTTTCTGAGAATGCTTCTGTCTTGATTTTATATGAAGATATTCCCGTTTCCAACGAAACCTTCAAAGCTATTCAAATATCCACTTGCAGATTCTACAAAAAGAGTGTTTCCAAAATGTTGTATCAAAAGAAAGGTTCAACTCTGATAGTTGAGGACACACATCGCAAATAAGTTTCTGAGAATGCTTCTGTCTAGTTTTTATTTGAAGATATTTCCTTTCTCACCATAGGCCTGAAAGCGTTTGAAATGTCCGTTTGCAGATACTACAGAAAGAGTGTTTCAAACATGCTCTATGAAAGGGAATGTTCAGTTCTGTGACGTGAATGCAAACATCACAAAGAAGTTCCTGAGAATGCTTCTCTCTAGGTTTTATACGTAATCCCGTTTCCAACGAAATCCTCAAAGCTATCCAAATATCCACTTTCAGATTCCACAAAAAGAGTGTTTCAAAACTGCTCTGTAAAAAGAAAGGTTCATCTCTGTTAGTTGAATACACACATCACAAACAAGTTTCTGAGAATGCTTCTGTCTAGTTTTTATGGGAAGATATTTCCTTTTTCATCATAGGCCTCAAAGCGCTGCAAATGTCCACTTCCAGGTAGTGCAGAAAGAGTGTCTCAAACCTGGTATATAACAGGGAACATTCTACTGTGTGACTTGAATGAAAACATCACAAAGCAGTTTCTGAGAATGCTTCCGTCTAGATTTTATATGAAGATATTCCCGTTTCCAACGAAACCTTCAAAGCTATCCGAATATCCACCTGCAGATTCTACAAAAAGAGTGTTTCCAAAATGCCATATCAAAACAAAGGTTCAACTCTGTTAGTTGAGAACACACATCGCAAATAAGTTTCTGAGAATGCTTCTGTCTAGTTTTTACTTGAAGATATTTCCTTTCTCACCATAGGCCTGAAAGCGCTTGAAACGTCAGCTTGCAGATACTACAGAAAGAGTGTTTCAAACCTGCTCTATGAAAGGGAATGTTGAGTTCTGCGACTTGAATGCAAACATCACAAAGAAGTTCCTGAGAATGCTTCTCTCTAGATTTTATATGTAATCCCGTTTCCAACGAAATCCTCAAAGCTATCCAAATATCCACTTTCAGATTCCACAAAAAGAGTGTTTCAAAACTGCTCTGTAAAAAGAAAGGTTCATCTCTGTTAGTTGAATACACACATCACAAACAAGTTTCTGAGAATGCTTCTGTCTAGTTTTTATGGGAAGATATTTCCTTTTTCATCATAGGCCTCAAAGCGCTCCAAATGTCCACTTCCAGATAGTGCAGAAAGAGTGTCTCAAACCTGGTATATAAAAGGGAACATTCTACTCTGTGACTGGAATGAAAACATCACAAAGCAGTTTCTGAGAATGCTTCCGTCTAGATTTTATATGAAGATATTCCCGTTTCCAACGAAACCTTCAAAGCTATCCGAATATGCACCTGCAGATTCTACAAAAAGAGTGTTTCCAAAATGCCGTATCAAAACAAAGGTTCAATTCTGTTAGTTGAGAACACACATGGCAAATAAGTTTCTGAGAATGCTTCTGTCTAGTTTTTACTTGAAGATATTTCCTTTCTCACCATAGGCCTGAAAGCGCTTGAAACGTCCGCTTGCAGATACTACAGAAAGAGTGTTTCAAACATGCTCTATGAAAGGGAATGTTCAGTTCTGTGACTTGAATGCAAACATCACAAAGAAGTTCCTGAGAATGCTTCTCTCTAGATTTTATATGTAATCCCGTTTCCAACGAAATCCTCAAAGCTATCCAAATATCCACTTTCAGATTCCACAAAAAGAGTGTTTCAAAACTGCTCTGTAAAAAGAAAGGTTCATCTCTGTTAGTTGAATACACACATCACAAACAAGTTTCTGAGAATGCTTCTGTCTAGTTTTTATGGGAAGATATTTCCTTTTTCAACATAGGCGTCAAAGCGCTCCAAACGTCCACTTCCAGGTAGTGCAGAAAGAGTGTCTCAAACCTGGTATATAACAGGGAACATTCTACTCTGTGACTTGAATGAAAACATCACAAAGCAGTTTCTGAGAATGCTTCTGTCTAGTTTTTATTTGAAGATATTCCCGTTTCCAACGAAACCTTCAAAGCTATTCAAATATCCACTTGCAGATTCTACAAAAAGAGTGTTTCCAAAATGTTGTATCAAAAGAAAGGTTCAACTCTGTTAGTTGAGGACACACATCGCAAATAAGTTTCTGAGAATGCTTCTGTCTAGTTTTTATTTGAAGATATTTCCTTTCTCACCATAGGCCTGAAAGCGTTTGAAATGTCCGTTTGCAGATACTACAGAAAGAGTGTTTCAAACATGCTCTATGAAAGGGAATGTTCAGTTCTGTGACGTGAATGCAAACATCACAAAGAAGTTCCTGAGAATGCTTCCCTCTAGATTTTATATGTAATCCCGTTTCCAACGAAATCCTCTAAGCTATCCAAATATCCACTTTCAGATTCCACAAAAAGAGTGTTTCAAAACTGCTCTGTAAAAAGAAATGTTCATCTCTGTTAGTTGAATACACACATCACAAACAAGTTTCTGAGAATGCTTCTGTCTAGTTTTTATGGGAAGATATTTCCTTTTTCATCATAGGCCTCAAAGCGCTGCAAATGTCCACTTCCAGGTAGTGCAGAAAGAGTGTCTCAAACCTGGTATATAACAGGGAACATTCTACTCTGTGACTTGAATGAAAACATCACAAAGCAGTTTCTGAGAATGCTTCCGTCTAGACTTTATATGAAGATATTCCCGTTTCCAACGAAACCTTCAAAGCTATCCGTATATCCACCTGCAGATTCTACAAAAAGAGTGTTTCCAAAATGCCGTATCAAAACAAAGGTTCAACTCTGTTAGTTGAGAACACACATGGCAAATAAGTTTCTGAGAATGCTTCTGTCTAGTTTTTACTTGAAGATATTTCCTTTCTCACCATAGGCCTGAAAGCGCTTGAAACGTCAGCTTGCAGATACTACAGAAAGAGTGTTTCAAACCTGCTCTATGAAAGGGAATGTTCAGTTCTGTGACTTGAATGCAAACATCACAAAGAAGTTCCTGAGAATGCTTCTCTCTAGGTTTTATATGTAATCCCGTTTCCAACGAAATCCTCAAAGCTATCCAAATATCCACTTTCAGATTCCACAAAATAGTGTTTCAAAACTGCTCTGTAAAAAGAAAGGTTCATCTCTGTTAGTTGAATACACACATCACAAACAAGTTTCTGAGAATGCTTCCTGTCTAGTTTTTATGGGAAGATATTTCCTTTTTCATCATAGGCCTCAAAGCGCTGCAAATGTCCACTTCCAAATATTACAAAAAGAGTGTTTCAAACCTGCTGTATGAAGGGAAGTGTTCAACTCTATGAGTTGAATGCAAACATCACAGAGAAGTTTCTGAGAATGCTTCTGTCTTGATTTTATATGAAGATATTCCCGTTTCCAACGAAACCTTCAAAGCTATTCAAATATCCACTTGCAGATTCTACAAAAAGAGTGTTTCCAAAATGTTGTATCAAAAGAAAGGTTCAACTCTGTTAGTTGAGGACACACATCGCAAATAAGTTTCTGAGAATGCTTCTGTCTAGTTTTTACTTGAAGATATTTCCTTTCTCTCCATAGGCCTGAAAGCGCTTGAAACGTCCGCTTGCAGATACTACAGAAAGAGTGTTTCAAACATGCTCTATGACAGGGAATGTTCAGTTCTGTGACTTGAATGCAAACATCACAAAGAAGTTCCTGAGAATGCTTCTCTCTAGATTTTATATGTAATCCCGTTTCCAACGAAATCCTCAAAGCTATCCAAATATCCACTTTCAGATTCCACAAAAAGAGTGTTTCAAAACTGCTCTGTAAAAAGAAAGGTTCATCTCTGTTAGTTGAATACACACATCACAAACAAGTTTCTGAGAATGCTTCTGTCTAGTTTTTATGGGAAGATATTACCTTTTTCATCATAGGCCTCAAAGCGCTGCAAATGTCCACTTCCAAATATTACAAAAAGAGTGTTTCAAACCTGCTGTATGAAGGGAAGTGTTCAACTCTATGAGTTGAATGCAAACATCACAGAGAAGTTTCTGAGAATGCTTCTGTCTTGATTTTATATGAAGATATTCCCGTTTCCAACGAAACCTTCAAAGCTATTCAAATATCCACTTGCAGATTCTACAAAAAGAGTGTTTCCAAAATGTTGTATCAAAAGAAAGGTTCAACTCTGTTAGTTGAGGACACACATCGCAAATAAGTTACTGAGAATGTTTCTGTCTAGTTTTTATTTGAAGATATTTCCTTTCTCACCATAGGCCTGAAAGCGTTTGAAATGTCCGTTTGCAGATACTACAGAAAGAGTGTTTCAAACATGCTCTATGAAAGGGAATGTTCAGTTCTGTGACGTGAATGCAAACATCACAAAGAAGTTCCTGAGAATGCTTCTCTCTAGGTTTTATATGTAATCCCGTTTCCAACGAAATCCTCAAAGCTATCCAAATATCCACTTTCAGATTCCACAAAAACAGTGTTTCAAAACTGCTCTGTAAAAAGAAAGGTTCATCTCTGTTAGTTGAATACACACATCACAAACAAGTTTCTGAGAATGCTTCTGTCTAGTTTTTATGGGAAGATATTTCCTTTTTCAACATAGGCCTCAAAGCGCTCCAAATGTCCACTTCCAGGTAGTGCAGAAAGAGTGTTTCAAACCTGCTCTATAAAAGGGAATATTCAACTCTGTGACTTGAATGCAAACATCACAAAGCACTTTCTGAGAATGCTTCTGTCTTGATTTTATATGAAGATATTCCCGTTTCCAACGAAACCTTCAAAGCTATCAAAATATCCACTTGCAGATTCTACAAAAAGAGTGTTTCCAAAATGTTGTATCAAAACAAAGGTTCAACTCTGTTAGTTGAGAACACACATCGCAAATAAGTTTCTGAGAATGCTTCCTGTCTAGTTTTTACTTGAAGATATTTCCTTTCTCACCATAGGCCTGAAAGCGCTTGAAACGTCAGCTTGCAGATACTACAGAAAGAGTGTTTCAAACCTGCTCTATGAAAGGGAATGTTCAGTCCTGTGACTTGAAGGCAAACATCACAAAGAAGTTCCTGAGAATGCTTCTCTCTAGATTTTATATGTAATCCCGTTTCCAACGAAATCCTCAAAGCTATCCAAATATCCACTTTCAGATTCCACAAAAAGAGTGTTTCAAAACTGCTCTGTAAAAAGAAAGGTTCATCTCTGTTAGTTGAATACACACATCACAAACAAGTTTCTGAGAATGCTTCTGTCTAGTTTTTATGGGAAGATATTTCCTTTTTCAACATAGGCCTCAAAGCGCTCCAAACATCCACTTCCGGGTAGTGCAGAAAGAGTGTCTCAAACCTGGTATATAACAGGGAACATTCTACTCTGTGACTTGAATGAAAACATCACAAAGCAGTTTCTGAGAATGCTTCCGTCTAGATTTTATATGAAGATATTCCCGTTTCCAACGAAACCTTCAAAGCTATCCGAATATCCACCTGCAGATTCTACAAAAAGAGTGTTTCCAAAATGCCGTATCAAAACAAAGGTTCAACTATGTTAGTTGAGAACACACATGGCAAATAAGTTTCTGAGAATGCTTCTGTCTAGTTTTTACTTGAAGATATTTCCTTTCTCACCATAGGCCTGAAAGCGCTTGAAACGTCAGCTTGCAGATACTACAGAAAGAGTGTTTCAAACCTGCTCTATGAAAGGGAATGTTCAGTTCTGTGACTTGAATGCAAACATCACAAAGAAGTTCCTGAGAATGCTTCTCCCTAGATTTTATATGTAATCCCGTTTCCAACGAAATCCTCAAAGCTATCCAAATATCCACTTTCAGATTCCACAAAAAGAGTGTTTCAAAACTGCTCTGTAAAAAGAAAGGTTCATCTCTGTTAGTTGAATACACACATCACAAACAAGTTTCTGAGAATGATTCTGTCTAGTTTTTATGGGAAGATATTACCTTTTTCATCATAGGCCTCAAAGCGCTGCAAATGTCCACTTCCAAATATTACAAAAAGAGTGTTTCAAACCTGCTGTATGAAGGGAAGTGTTCAACTCTATGAGTTGAATGCAAACATCACAGAGAAGTTTCTGAGAATGCTTCTGTCTTGATTTTATATGAAGATATTCCCGTTTCCAACGAAATCTTCAAAGCTATCCAAATATCCACTTGCAGATTCCACAAAAAGAGTGTTTCCAAAATGTTGTATCAAATGAAAGGTTCAACTCTGTTAGTTGAGGACACACATCGCAAATAAGTTTCTGAGAATGCTTCTGTCTAGTTTTTATTTGAAGATATTTCCTTTCTCACCATAGGCCTGAAAGCGTTTGAAATGTCCGTTTGCAGATACTACAGAAAGAGTGTTTCAAACATGCTCTATGAAAGGGAATGTTCAGTTCTGTGACGTGAATGCAAACATCACAAAGAAGTTCCTGAGAATGCTTCTCTCTAGGTTTTATATGTAATCCCGTTTCCAACGAAATCCTCAAAGCTATCCAAATATCCACTTTCAGATTCCACAAAAAGAGTGTTTCAAAACTGCTCTGTAAAAAGAAAGGTTCATCTCTGTTAGTTGAATACACACATCACAAACAACTTTCTGAGAATGCTTCTGTCTAGTTTTTTGGGAAGATATATCCTTTTTCATCATAGGCCTCAAAGCGCTCCAAATGTCCACTTCCAGGTAGTGCAGAAAGAGTGTCTCAAACCTGGTATATAACAGGGAACATTCTACTCTGTGACTTGAATGAAAACATCACAAAGCAGTTTCTGAAAATGCTTCCGTCTAGATTTTATATGAAGATATTCCCGTTTCCAACGAAACCTTCAAAGCTATCCGAATATCCACCTGCAGATTCTACAAAAAGAGTGTTTCCAAAATGCCGTATCAAAACAAAGGTTCAACTCTGTTAGTTGAGAACACACATGGCAAATAAGTTTCTGAGAATGCTTCTGTCTAGTTTTTACTTGAAGATATTTCCTTTCTCACCATAGGCCTGAAAGCGCTTGAAACGTCAGCTTGCAGATACTACAGAAAGAGTGTTTCAAACCTGCTCTATGAAAGGGAATGTTCAGTCCTGTGACTTGAAGGCAAACATCACAAAGAAGTTCCTGAGAATGCTTCTCTCTAGGTTTTATATGTAATCCCGTTTCCAACGAAATCCTCAAAGCTATCCAAATATCCACTTTCAGATTCCACAAAAAGAGTGTTTCAAAACTGCTCTGTAAAAAGAAAGGTTCATCTCTGTTAGTTGAATACACACATCACAAACAAGTTTCTGAGAATGCTTCTGTCTAGTTTTTATGGGAAGATATTTCCTTTTTCAACATAGGCCTCAAAGCGCTCCAAATGTCCACTTCCAGGTAGTGCAGAAAGAGTGTTTCAAACCTGCTCTATAAAAGGGAATATTCAACTCTGTGACTTGAATGCAAACATCACAAAGCACTTTCTGAGAATGCTTCTGTCTTGATTTCATATGAAGATATTCCCGTTTCCAACGAAACCTTCAAAGCTATCCAAATATCCACTTGCAGATTCTACAAAAAGAGTGTTTCCAAAATGTTGTATCAAAAGAAAGGTTCAACTCTGTTAGTTGAGGACACACATCGCAAATAAGTTTCTGAGAATGCTTCTGTCTAGTTTTTATTTGAAGATATTTCCTTTCTCACCACAGGCCTGAAAGCGCTTAAAACGTCCGCTTGCAGATACTACAGAAAGAGTGTTTCAAACATGCTCTATGAAAGGGAATGTTCAGTTCTGTGACTTGAATGCAAACATCACAAAGAAGTTCCTGAGAATGCTTCTCCCTAGGTTTTATATGTAATCCCGTTTCCAACGAAGTCCTCAAAGCTATCCAAATATCCACTTTCAGATTCCACAAAAAGAGTGTTTCAAAACTGCACTGTAATAAGAAAGGTTCATCCCTGTTAGTTGAATACACACATCACAAACAAGTTTGCTGAGAATGCTTCTGTCTGGTTTTTAGGAGAAGATATTTCCTTTTTCAACATAGGCCTCAAAGCGCTGCAAATGTCCACTTCCAAATATTAGAAAAAGAGTGTTTCAAACCTGCTGTATGAAGGGAAGTGTTCAACTCTATGAGTTGAATGCAAACATCACAGAGAAGTTTCTGAGAATGCTTCTGTCTTGATTTCATATGAAGATATTCCCGTTTCCAACGAAACCTTCAAAGCTATCCAAATATCCACTTGCAGATTCTACAAAAAGAGTGTTTCCAAAATGTTGTATCAAAAGAAAGGTTCAACTCTGTTAGTTGAGGACACACATCGCAAATAAGTTTCTGAGAATGCTTCTGTCTAGTTTTTGTTTGAAGATATTTCCTTTCTCACCACAGGCCTGAAAGCGCTTAAAACGTCCGCTTGCAGATACTACAGAAAGAGTGTTTCAAACCTGCTCTATGAAAGGGAATGTTCAGTTCTGTGACTTGAATGCAAACATCACAAAGAAGTTCCTGAGAATGCTTCTCCCTAGATTTTATATGTAATCCCGTTTCCAACGAAATCCGCAAAGCTATCCAAATATCCACGTTCAGATTCCACAAAAAGAGTGTTTCAAAACTGCTCTGTAAAAAGAAAGGTTCATCTCTGTTAGTTGAATACACACATCACAAACAAGTTTCTGAGAATGCTTCTGTCTAGTTTTTATGGGAAGATATTTCCTTTTTCAACATAGGCCTCAAAGCGCTCCAAACGTCCACTTCCAGGTAGTGCAGAAAGAGTGTCTCAAACCTGGTATATAACAGGGAACATTCTACTCTGTGACTTGAATGAAAACATCACAAAGCAGTTTCTGAGAATGCTTCCGTCTAGATTTTATATGAAGATATTCCCGTTTCCAACGAAACCTTCAAAGCTATCCGAATATCCACCTGCAGATTCTACAAAAAGAGTGTTTCCAAAATGCCATATCAAAACAAAGGTTCAACTCTGTTAGTTGAGAACACACATCGCAAATAAGTTTCTGAGAATGCTTCTGTCTAGTTTTTATTTGAAGATATTTCCTTTCTCACCATAGGCCTGAAAGCGCTTGAAATGTCCGCTTGCAGATACTACAGAAAGAGTGTTTCAAACCTGCTCTATGAAAGGGAAAGTTCAGTTCTGTGACTTGAATGCAAACATCACAAAGAAGTTCCTGAGAATGCTTCTGTCTAGATTTTATATGAAGATATCCCGTTTCCAAAGAAATCCTCAAAGGTATCCAAATATCTACTTCCAGATTCTACAAAAAGACTGTTTCAAAACGGCTCTGTCAAAAGGAAGGTTCAACTCTGTTACTTGAGTACACACATCACAAGGAAGTTTCTGAGAATGCTTCTGTCTGGTTTTTAGGAGAAGATATTTCCTTTTTCAACATAGGCTTCAAAGCGCTGCCAATGTCCACTTCCAAATATTACAAAAAGAGTATTTCAAACCAGCTCTATGAAAGGAAGTGTTCAACTCTATGAGTTGAATGCAAACATCGCAGAGAAGTTTCTGAGAATGCTTCTGTGTTGATTTTATATGAAGATATTCCCGTTTCCAACGAAACCTTCAAACCTATCCAAATATCCACCTGCAGATCCTACAAAAAGAGTGTTTCCAAAATGCTGTATCAAAACAAAGGTTCAACTGTGTTAGTTGAGGACACACATCGCAAATAAGTTTCTGAGAATGCTTCTGTCTAGTTTTTATTTGAAGATATTTCCTTTCTCACCATAGGCCTGAAAGCGTATGAAATGTCCGTTTGCAAATACTACAGAAAGAGTGTTTCAAACATGCTCTATGAAAGGGAATGTTCAGTTCTGTGACTTGAATGCAAACATCACAAAGAAGTTCCTGAGAATGCTTCTTTCTAGCGTTCTATGAAGAAATCCCGTTTCCAACGAAGGCCCCAAAGAGGTCCAAATATCTGCTTGCAGACTTTACAGACAGAGTGTTTCCAAACTACTCTATGAAAAGAAAGCTTAAACTCCTTGACTTGAATGAAAACATCACAAAGCAGTTTCTGAGAATGCTTCCGTCTAGATTTTATATGAAGATATTCCCGTTTCCAACGAAACCTTCAAAGCTATCCGAATATCCACCTGCAGATTCTACAAAAAGAGTGTTTCCAAAATGCCATATCAAAACAAAGGTTCAACTCTGTTAGTTGAGAACACACATCGCAAATAAGTTTCTGAGAATGCTTCTGTCTAGTTTTTACTTGAAGATATTTCCTTTGTCACCATAGGCCTGAAAGCGCTTGAAACGTCAGCTTGCAGATACTACAGAAAGAGTGTTTCAAACCTGCTCTATGAAAGGGAATGTTCAGTCCTGTGACTTGAAGGCAAACATCACAAAGAAGTTCCTGAGAATGCTTCTCTCTAGGTTTTATATGTAATCCCGTTTCCAACGAAATCCTCAAAGCTATCCAAATATCCACTTTCAGATTCCACAAAAAGAGTGTTTCAAAACTGCTCTGTAAAAAGAAAGGTTCATCTCTGTTAGTTGAATACACACATCACAAACAAGTTTCTGAGAATGCTTCTGTCTAGTTTTTATGGGAAGATATTTCCTTTTTCAACATAGGCCTCAAAGCGCTCCAAACGTCCACTTCCAGGTAGTGCAGAAAGAGTGTCTCAAACCTGGTATATAACAGGGAAGATTCTACTCTGTGACTTGAATGAAAACATCACAAAGCAGTTTCTGAGAATGCTTCCGTCAAGATTTTATATGAAGATATTCCCGTTTCCAACGAAACCTTCAAAGCTATCCGAATATCCACCTGCAGATTCTACAAAAAGAGTGTTTCCAAAATGCCGTATCAAAACAAAGGTTCAACTCTGTTAGTTGAGAACACACATGGCAAATAAGTTTCGGAGAATGCTTCTGTCTAGTTTTTACTTGAAGATATTTCCTTTCTCACCATAGGCCTGAAAGCGCTTGAAACGTCAGCTTGCAGATACTACAGAAAGAGTGTTTCAAACCTGCTCTATGAAAGGGAATGTTCAGTCCTGTGACTTGAAGGCAAACATCACAAAGAAGTTCCTGAGAATGCTTCTCTCTAGGTTTTATATGTAATCCCGTTTCCAACGAAATCCTCAAAGCTATCCAAATATCCACTTTCAGATTCCACAAAAAGAGTGTTTCAAAACTGCTCTGTAAAAAGAAAGGTTCATCTCTGTTAGTTGAATACACACATCACAAACAAGTTTCTGAGAATGCTTCTGTCTAGTTTTTATGGGAAGATATTTCCTTTTTCATCATAGGCCTCAAAGCGCTCCAAATGTCCACTTCCAGGTAGTGCAGAAAGAGTGTCTCAAACCTGGTATATAACAGGGAAGATTCTACTCTGTGACTTGAATGAAAACATCACAAAGCAGTTTCTGAGAATGCTTCCGTCCAGATTTTATATGAAGATATTCCCGTTTCCAACGAAACCTTCAAAGCTATCCGAATATCCACCTGCAGATTCTACAAAAAGAGTGTTTCCAAAATGCCGTATCAAAACAAATGTTCAACTCTGTTAGTTGAGAACACACATGGCAAATAAGTTTCTGAGAATGCTTCTGTCTAGTTTTTACTTGAAGATATTTCCTTTCTCACCATAGGCCTGAAAGCGCTTGAGACGTCCGCTTGCAGATACTACAGAAAGAGTGTTTCAAACCTGCTCTATGAAAGGGAATGTTCAGTTCTGTGACTTGAATGCAAACATCACAAAGAAGTTCCTGAGAATGCTTCTCTCTAGGTTTTATATGTAATCCCGTTTCCAACGAAATCCTCAAAGCTATCCAAATATCCACTTTCAGATTCCACAAAAAGAGTGTTTCAAAACTGCTCTGTAAAAAGAAAGGTTCATCTCTGTTAGTTGAATACACACATCACAAACAAGTTTCTGAGAATGCTTCTGTCTAGTTTTTATGGGAAGATATTTCCTTTTTCAACATAGGCCTCAAAGCGCTCCAAACGTCCACTTCCAGGTAGTGCAGAAAGAGTGTCTCAAACCTGGTATATAACAGGGAACATTCTACTCTGTGACTTGAATGAAAACATCACAAAGCAGTTTCTGAGAATGCTTCCGTGTAGATTTTATATGAAGATATTCCCGTTTCCAACGAAACCTTCAAAGCTATCCGAATATCCACCTGCAGATTCTACAAAAAGAGTGTTTCCAAAATGCCGTATCAAAACAAAGGTTCAACTCTGTTAGTTGAGAACACACATGGCAAATAAGTTTCTCAGAATGCTTCTGTCTAGTTTTTACTTGAAGATATTTCCTTTCTCACCATAGGCCTGAAAGCGCTTGAAACGTCAGCTTGCAGATACCACAGAAAGAGTGTTTCAAACCTGCTCTATGAAAGGGAATGTTCAGTCCTGTGACTTGAATGCAAACATCACAAAGAAGTTCCTGAGAATGCTTCTCTCTAGGTTTTATATGTAATCCCGTTTCCAACGAAATCCTCAAAGCTATCCAAATATCCACTTTCAGATTCCACAAAAAGAGTGTTTCAAAACTGCTCTGTAAAAAGAAAGGTTCATCTCTGTTAGTTGAATACACACATCACAAACAAGTTTCTGAGAATGCTTCTGTCTAGTTTTTATGGGAAGATATTTCCTTTTTCAACATAGGCCTCAAAGCGCTCCAAATGTCCACTTCCAGGTAGTGCAGAAAGAGTGTTTCAAACCTGCTCTATAAAAGGGAATATTCAACTCTGTGACTTGAATGCAAACATCACAAAGCACTTTCTGAGAATGCTTCTGTCTTGATTTTATATGAAGATATTCCCGTTTCCAACGAAACCTTCAAAGCTATCCAAATATCCACTTGCAGATTCTACAAAAAGAGTGTTTCCAAAATGTTGTATCAAAAGAAAGGTTCAACTCTGTTAGTTGAGGACACACATCGCAAATAAGTTTCTGAGAATGCTTCTGTCTAGTTTTTATTTGAAGATATTTCCTTTCTCACCATAGGCCTGAAAGCGTTTGAAATGTCCGTTTGCAGATACTACAGAAAGAGTGTTTCAAACATGCTCTATGAAAGGGAATGTTCAGTTCTGTGACGTGAATGCAAACATCACAAAGAAGTTCCTGAGAATGCTTCTCTCTAGATTTTATATGTAATCCCGTTTCCAACGAAATCCTCAAAGCTATCCAAATATCCACTTTCAGATTCCACAAAAAGAGTGTTTCAAAACTGCTCTGTAAAAAGAAAGGTTCATCTCTGTTAGTTGAATACACACATCACAAACAAGTTTCTGAGAATGCTTCTGTCTAGTTTTTATGGGAAGATATTTCCTTTTTCATCATAGGCCTCAAAGCGCTGCAAATGTCCACTTCCAGGTAGTGCAGAAAGAGTGTCTGAAACCTGGTATATAACAGGGAAGATTCTACTCTGTGACTTGAATGAAAACATCACAAAGCAGTTTCTGAGAATGCTTCCGTCAAGATTTTATATGAAGATATTCCCGTTTCCAACGAAACCTTCAAAGCTATCCGAATATCCACCTGCAGATTCTACAAAAAGAGTGTTTCCAAAATGCCGTATCAAAACAAAGGTTCAACTCTGTTAGTTGAGAACACACATGGCAAATAAGTTTCTGAGAATGCTTCTGTCTAGTTTTTACTTGAAGATATTTCCTTTCTCACCATAGGCCTGAAAGCGCTTGAAACGTCAGCTTGCAGATACTACAGAAAGAGTGTTTCAAACCTGCTCTATGAAAGGGAATGTTCAGTCCTGTGACTTGAAGGCAAACATCACAAAGAAGTTCCTGAGAATGCTTCTCTCTAGGTTTTATATGTAATCCCGTTTCCAACGAAATCCTCAAAGCTATCCAAATATCCACTTTCAGATTCCACAAAAAGAGTGTTTCAAAACTGCTCTGTAAAAAGAAAGGTTCATCTCTGTTAGTTGAATACACACATCACAAACAAGTTTCTGAGAATGCTTCTGTCTAGTTTTTATGGGAAGATATTTCCTTTTTCAACATAGGCCTCAAAGCGCTCCAAACGTCCACTTCCAGGTAGTGCAGAAAGAGTGTCTCAAACCTGGTGTATAACAGGGAACATTCTACTCTGTGACTTGAATGAAAACATCACAAAGCAGTTTCTGAGAATGCTTCCGTCTAGATTTTATATGAAGATATTCCCGTTTCCAACGAAACCTTCAAAGCTATCCGAATATCCACCTGCAGATTCTACAAAAAGAGTGTTTCCAAAATGCCATATCAAAACAAAGGTTCAACTCTGTTAGTTGAGAACACACATCGCAAATAAGTTTCTGAGAATGCTTCTGTCTGGTTTTTAGGAGAAGATATTTCCTTTTTCAACATAGGCCTCAAAGCGCTGCAAATGTCCACTTCCAAATATTACAAAAAGAGTGTTTCAAACCTGCTCTATGAAGGGAAGTGTTCACCTCTATGAGTTGAATGCAAACATCACAGAGAAGTTTCTGAGAATGCTTCTGTCTTGATTTTATATGAAGATATTCCCGTTTCCAACGAAACCTTCAAAGCTATCCAAATATCCACTTGCAGATTCTACTAAAAGAGTGTTTCCAAAATGTTGTATCAAAACAAAGGTTCAACTCTGTTAGTTGAGGACACACATCGCAAATAAGTTTCTGAGAATGCTTCTGTCTAGTTTTTATTTGAAGAAATTTCCTTTCTTACCATAGGCCTGAAAGCGCTTGAAATGTCCGTTTGCAGATACTACAGAAAGAGTGTTTCAAACATGCTCTATGAAAGGGAATGTTCAGTTCTGTGACGTGAATGCAAACATCACAAAGAAGTTCCTGAGAATGCTTCTCTCTAGATTTTATATGTAATCCCGTTTCCAACGAAATCCTCAAAGCTATCCAAATATGCACTTTCAGATTCCACAAAAAGAGTGTTTCAAAACTGCTCTGTAAAAAGAAAGGTTCATCTCTGTTAGTTGAATACACACATCACAAACAAGTTTCTGAGAATGCTTCTGTCTGGTTTTTAGGAGAAGATATTTCCTTTTTCAACATAGGCCTCAAAGCGCTGCAAATGTCCACTTCCAAATATTAGAAAAAGAGTGTTTCAAACCTGCTGTATGAAGGGAAGTGTTCAACTCTATGAGTTGAATGCAAACATCACAGAGAAGTTTCTGAGAATGCTTCTGTCTTGATTTCATATGAAGATATTCCCGTTTCCAACGAAACCTTCAAAGCTATCCAAATATCCACTTGCAGATTCTACAAAAAGAGTGTTTCCAAAATGTTGTATCAAAAGAAAGGTTCAACTCTGTTAGTTGAGGACACACATCGCAAATAAGTTTCTGAGAATGCTTCTGTCTAGTTTTTATTTGAAGATATTTCCTTTCTCACCACAGGCCTGAAAGCGCTTAAAACGTCCGCTTGCAGATACTACAGAAAGAGTGTTTCAAACCTGCTCTATGAAAGGGAATGTTCAGTTCTGTGACTTGAATGCAAACATCACAAAGAAGTTCCTGAGAATGCTTCTCCCTAGATTTTATATGTAATCCCGTTTCCAACGAAATCCGCAAAGCTATCCAAATATCCACTTTCAGATTCCACAAAAAGAGTGTTTCAAAACTGCTCTGTAAAAAGAAAGGTTCATCTCTGTTAGTTGAATACACACATCACAAACAAGTTTCTGAGAATGCTTCTGTCTAGTTTTTATGGGAAGATATTACCTTTTTCATCATAGGCTTCAAAGCGCTGCAAAAGTCCACTTCCAAATATTAGAAAAAGAGTGTTTCAAACCTGCTGTATGAAGGGAAGTGTTCAACTCTATGAGTTGAATGCAAACATCACAGAGAAGTTTCTGAGAATGCTTCTGTCTTGATTTTATATGAAGATATTCCCGTTTCCAACGAAACCTTCAAAGCTATTCAAATATCCACTTGCAGATTCTACAAAAAGAGTGTTTCCAAAATGTTGTATCAAAAGAAAGGTTCAACTCTGTTAGTTGAGGACACACATCGCAAATAAGTTTCTGAGAATGCTTCTGTCTAGTTTTTACTTGAAGATATTTCCTTTCTCACCATAGGCCTGAAAGCGTTTGAAATGTCCGTTTGCAGATACTACAGAAAGAGTGTTTCAAACATGCTCTATGAAAGGGAATGTTCAGTTCTGTGACGTGAATGCAAACATCACAAAGAAGTTCCTGAGAATGCTTCTCTCTAGGTTTTATATGTAATCCCGTTTCCAACGAAATCCTCAAAGCTATCCAAATATCCACTTTCAGATTCCACAAAAAGAGTGTTTCAAAACTGCTCTGTAAAAAGAAAGGTTCATCTCTGTTAGTTGAATACACACATCACAAACAAGTTTCTGAGAATGCTTCTGTCTAGTTTTTATGGGAAGATATTTCCTTTTTCATCATAGGCCTCAAAGCGCTGCAAATGTCCACTTCCAGGTAGTGCAGAAAGAGTGTCTCAAACCTCGTATATAACAGGGGAACATTCTACTCTGTGACTTGAATGAAAACATCACAAAGCAGTTTCTGAGAATGCTTCTGTCTTGATTTTATATGAAGATATTCCCGTTAACAACGAAACCTTCAAAGCTATCCAAATATCCACTTGCAGATTCTACAAAAAGAGTGTTTCCAAAATGTTGTATCCAAACAAAGGTTCAACTCTGTTAGTTGAGAACACACATCGCAAATAAGTTTCTGAGAATGCTTCCTGTCTAGTTTTTACTTGAAGATATTTCCTTTCTCACCATAGGCCTGAAAGCGCTTGAAACGTCAGCTTGCAGATACTACAGAAAGAGTGTTTCAAACCTGCTCTATGAAAGGGAATGTTCAGTTCTGTGACTTGAATGCAAACATCACAAAGAAGTTCCTGAGAATGCTTCTCTCTAGGTTTTATATGTAATCCCGTTTCCAACGAAATCCTCAAAGCTATCCAAATATCCACTTTCAGATTCCACAAAAAGAGTGTTTCAAAACTGCTCTGTAAAAAGAAAGGTTCATCTCTGTTAGTTGAATACACACATCACAAACAAGTTTCTGAGAATGCTTCTGTCTAGTTTTTATGGGAAGATATTTCCTTTTTCAACATAGGCCTCAAAGCGCTCCAAATGTCCACTTCCAGGTAGTGCAGAAAGAGTGTCTCAAATCTGGTATATAACAGGGAACATTCTACTCTGTGACTTGAATGAAAACATCACAAAGCAGTTTCTGAGAATGCTTCCGTCTAGATTTTATATGAAGATATTCCCGTTTCCAACGAAACCTTCAAAGCTATCCGAATATCCACCTGCAGATTCTACAAAAAGAGTGTTTCCAAAATGCCGTATCAAAACAAAGGTTCAACTCTGTTAGTTGAGAACACACATGGCAAATAAGTTTCTGAGAATGCTTCTGTCTAGTTTTTACTTGAAGATATTTCCTTTCTCACCATAGGCCTGAAAGTGCTTGAAACGTCCGCTTGCAGATACTACAGAAAGAGTGTTTCAAACCTGCTCTATGAAAGGGAATGTTCAGTTCTGTGACTTGAATGCAAACATCACAAAGAAGTTCCTGAGAATGCTTCTCTCTAGGTTTTATATGTAATCCCGTTTCCAACGAAATCCTCAAAGCTATCCAAATATCCACTTTCAGATTCCACAAAAAGAGTGTTTCAAAACTTCTCTGTAAAAAGAAAGGTTCATCTCTGTTAGTTGAATACACACATCACAAACAAGTTTCTGAGAATGCTTCTGTCTAGTTTTTATGGGAAGATATTTCCTTTTTCATCATAGGCCTCAAAGCGCTGCAAATGTCCACTTCCAGGTAGTGCAGAAAGAGTGTCTGAAACCTGGTATATAACAGGGAAGATTCTACTCTGTGACTTGAATGAAAACATCACAAAGCAGTTTCTGAGAATGCTTCCGTCTAGATTTTATATGAAGATATTCCCGTTTCCAACGAAACCTTCAAAGCTATCCGAATATCCACCTGCAGATTCTACAAAAAGAGTGTTTCCAAAATGCCATATCAAAACAAAGGTTCAACTCTGTTAGTTGAGAACACACATCGCAAATAAGTTTCTGAGAATGCTTCTGTCTAGTTTTTACTTGAAGATATTTCCTTTCTCACCATAGGCCTGAAAGCGCTTGAAACGTCAGCTTGCAGATACTACAGAAAGAGTGTTTCAAACCTGCTCTATGAAAGGGAATGTTCAGTTCTGTGACTTGAATGCAAACATCACAAAGAAGTTCCTGAGAATGCTTCTGTCTAGATTTTATATGAAGATATCCCGTTTCCAAAGAAATCCTCAAATGTGTCCAAATATCTACTTCCAGATTCTACAAAAAGACTGTTTCAAAACGGCTCTGTCAAAAGTAAGGTTCAACTCTGTTACTTGAGTACACACATCACAAGGAAGTTTCTGAGAATGCTTCTGTCTGGTTTTTAGGAGAAGATATTTCTTTTTTCAACATAGGCCTCAAAGCGCTGCAAATGTCCACTTCCAAATATTACAAAAAGAGTGTTTCAAACCTGCTCTATGAAGGGAAGTGTTCAACTCTATGAGTTGAATGCAAACATCACAGAGAAGTTTCTGAGAATGCTTCTGTCTTGATTTTATATGAAGATATTCCCGTTTCCAACGAAACCTTCAAAGCTATTCAAATATCCACTTGCAGATTCTACAAAAAGAGTGTTTCCAAAATGTTGTATCAAAAGAAAGGTTCAACTCTGTTAGTTGAGGACACACATCGCAAATAAGTTTCTGAGAATGCTTCTGTCTAGTTTTTATGGGAAGATATTACCTTTTTCATCATAGGCCTCAAAGCGCTGCAAATGTCCACTTCCAAATATTACAAAAAGAGTGTTTCAAACCTGCTGTATGAAGGGAAGTGTTCAACTCTATGAGTTGAATGCAAACATCACAGAGAAGTTTCTGAGAATGCTTCTGTCTTGATTTTATATGAAGATATTCCCGTTTCCAACGAAACCTTCAAAGCTATCCGAATATCCACCTGCAGATTCTACAAAAAGAGTGTTTCCAAAATGCCGTATCAAAACAAAGGTTCAACTCTGTTAGTTGAGGACACACATGGCAAATAAGTTTCTGAGAATGCTTCTGTCTAGTTTTTACTTGAAGATATTTCCTTTCTCACCATAGGCCTGAAAGCGCTTAAAACGTCCGCTTGCAGATACTACAGAAAGAGTGTTTCAAACCTGATCTATGAAAGGGAATGTTCAGTTCTGTGACTTGAATGCAAACATCACAAAGAAGTTCCTGAGAATGCTTCTCCCTAGATTTTATGTGTAATCCCGTTTCCAACGAAATCCGCAAAGCTATCCAAATATCCACTTTCAGATTCCACAAAAAGAGTGTTTCAAAACTGCTCTGTAAAAAGAAAGGTTCATCTCTGTTAGTTGAATACACACATCTCAAACAAGTTTCTGAGAATGCTTCTGTCTAGTTTTTATGGGAAGATATTACCTTTTTCATCATAGGCCTCAAAGCGCTGCAAATGTCCACTTCCAAATATTACAAAAAGAGTGTTTCAAACCTGCTGTATGAAGGGAAGTGTTCAACTCTATGAGTTGAATGCAAACATCAAAGAGAAGTTTCTGAGAATGCTTCTGTCTTGATTTTATATGAAGATATTCCCGTTTCCAACGAAACCTTCAAACCTATCCAAATGTCCACTTACAGATTCTACAAAAAGAGTGTTTCCAAAATGTTGTATCAAAAGAAAGGTTCAACTCTGTTAGTTGAGGACACACATCGCAAATAAGTTTCTGAGAATGCTTCTGTCTGGTTTTTAGGAGAAGATATCTCCTTTTTCACCATAGGCTTCAAAGCGCTGCCAATGTCCACTTCCAAATATTACAAAAAGAGTATTTCAAACCAGCTCTATGAAAGGAAGTGTTCAACTCTATGAGTTGAATGCAAACATCACAGAGAAGTTTCTGAGAATGCTTCTGTCTTGATTTTATATGAAGATATTCCCGTTTCCAACGAAACCTTCAAAGCTATCCAAATATCCACTTGCAGATTCTACAAAAAGAGTGTTTCCAAAATGTTGTATCAAAACAAAGGTTCAACTCTGTTAGTTGAGGACACACATCGCAAATAAGTTTCTGAGAATGCTTCTGTCTAGTTTTTATTTGAAGATATTTCCTTTCTCACCACAGGCCTGAAAGCGCTTAAAACGTCCGCTTGCTGATACTACAGAAAGAGTGTTTCAAACCTGCTCTATGAAAGGGAATGTTCAGTTCTGTGACTTGAATGCAAACATCACAAAGAAGTTCCTGAGAATGCTTCTCCCTAGATTTTATATGTAATCCCGTTTCCAACGAAATCCGCAAAGCTATCCAAATATCCACTTTCAGATTCCACAAAAAGAGTGTTTCAAAACTGCTCTGTAAAAAGAAAGGTTCATCTCTGTTAGTTGAATACACACATCACAAACAAGTTTCTGAGAATGCTTCTGTCTAGTTTTTATGGGAAGATATTACCTTTTTCATCATAGGCCTCAAAGCGCTGCAAATGTCCACTTCCAAATATTACAAAAAGAGTGTTTCAAACCTGCTGTATGAAGGGAAGTGTTCAACTCTATGAGTTGAATGCAAACATCACAGAGAAGTTTCTGAGAATGCTTCTGTCTTGATTTTATATGAAGATATTCCCGTTTCCAACGAAACCTTCAAAGCTATTCAAATATCCACTTGCAGATTCTACAAAAAGAGTGTTTCCAAAATGTTGTATCAAAAGAAAGGTTCAACTCTGTTAGTTGAGGACACACATCGCAAATAAGTTTCTGAGAATGCTTCTGTCTAGTTTTTACATGAAGATATTTCCTTTCTCACCATAGGCCTGAAAGCGTTTGAAATGTCCGTTTGCAGATACTACAGAAAGAGTGTTTCAAACATGCTCTATGAAAGGGAATGTTCAGTTCTGTGACGTGAATGCAAACATCACAAAGAAGTTCCTGAGAATGCTTCTCTCTAGATTTTATATGTAATCCCGTTTCCAACGAAATCCTCAAAGCTATCCAAATATCCACTTTCAGATTCCACAAAAAGAGTGTTTCAAAACTGCTCTGTAAAAAGAAAGGTTCATCTCTGTTAGTTGAATACACACATCACAAACAAGTTTCTGAGAATGCTTCTGTCTAGTTTTTATGGGAAGATATTTCCTTTTTCAACATAGGCCTCAAAGCGCTAAAAACGTCCACTTCCGGGTAGTGCAGAAAGAGTGTCTCAAACCTGGTATATAACAGGGAACATTCTACTCTGTGACTTGAATGAAAACATCACAAAGCAGTTTCTGAGAATGCTTCCGTCTAGATTTTATATGAAGATATTCCCGTTTCCAACGAAACCTTCAAAGCTATCCGAATATCCACCTGCAGATTCTACAAAAAGAGTGTTTCCAAAATGCCGTATCAAAACAAAGGTTCAACTCTGTTAGTTGAGAACACACATGGCAAATAAGTTTCTGAGAATGCTTCTGTCTAGTTTTTACTTGAAGATATTTCCTTTCTCACCATAGGCCTGAAAGCGCTTGAAACGTCAGCTTGCAGATACTACAGAAAGAGTGTTTCAAACCTGCTCTATGAAAGGGAATGTTCAGTCCTGTGACTTGAAGGCAAACATCACAAAGAAGTTCCTGGGAATGCTTCTCTCTAGATTTTATATGTAATCCCGTTTCCAACGAAATCCTCAAAGCTATCCAAATATCCACTTTCAGATTCCACAAAAAGAGTGTTTCAAAACTGCTCTGTAAAAAGAAAGGTTCATCTCTGTTAGTTGAATACACACATCACAAACAAGTTTCTGAGAATGCTTCTGTCTAGTTTTTATGGGAAGATATTTCCTTTTTCAACATAGGCCTCAAAGCGCTCCAAACGTCCACTTCCAGGTAGTGCAGAAAGAGTGTCTCAAACCTGGTGTATAACAGGGAACATTCTACTCTGTGACTTGAATGAAAACATCACAAAGCAGTTTCTGAGAATGCTTCCGTCTAGATTTTATATGAAGATATTCCCGTTTCCAACGAAACCTTCAAAGCTATCCGAATATCCACCTGCAGATTCTACAAAAAGAGTGTTTCCAAAATGCCGTATCAAAACAAAGGTTCAACTCTGTTAGTTGAGAACACACATGGCAAATAAGTTTCTGAGAATGCTTCTGTCTAGTTTTTATTTGAAGATATTTCCTTTCTTACCATAGGCCTGAAAGCACTTGAAATGTCCGTTTGCAGATACTACAGAAAGAGTGTTTCAAACATGCTCTATGAAAGGGAATGTTCAGTTCTGTGACTTGAATGCAAACATCACAAAGAAGTTCCTGAGAATGCTTCTCAATAGATCTTAAATGTAATCCCGTTTCCAACGAAATCCTCAAAGTTATCCAAATATCCACTTTCAGATTCCACAAAAAGAGTGTTTCAAAACTGCTCTGTAAAAAGAAAGGTTCATCTCTGTTAGTTGAATACACACATCACAAACAAGTTTCTGAGAATGCTTCTGTCTAGTTTTTATGGGAAGATATTTCCTTTTTCAACATAGGCCTCAAAGCGCTCCAAACGTCCACTTCCAGGTAGTGCAGAAAGAGTGTCTCAAACCTGTTATATAACAGGGAACATTCTACACTGTGACTTGAATGAAAACATCACAAAGCAGTTTCTGAGAATGCTTCCGTCTAGATTTTATATGAAGATATTCCCGTTTCCAACGAAACCTTCAAAGCTATCCGAATATCCACCTGCAGATCCTACAAAAAGAGTGTTTCCAAAATGCCGTATCAAAACAAATGTTCAACTCTGTTAGTTGAGAACACACATGGCAAATAAGTTTCTGACAATGCTTCTGTCTAGTTTTTACTTGAAGATATTTCCTTTCTCACCATAGGCCTGAAAGCGCATGAAACGTCAGCTTGCAGATACTACAGAAAGAGTGTTTCAAACCTGCTCTATGAAAGGGAATGTTCAGTCCTGTGACTTGAAGGCAAACATCACAAAGAAGTTCCTGAGAATGCTTCTCTCTAGGTTTTATATGTAATCCCGTTTCCAACGAAATCCTCAAAGCTATCCAAATATCCACTTTCAGATTCCACAAAAAGAGTGTTTCAAAACTGCTCTGTAAAAAGAAAGGTTCATCTCTGTTAGTTGAATACACACATCACAAACAAGTTTCTGAGAATGCTTCTGTCTAGTTTTTATGGGAAGATATTTCCTTTTTCAACATAGGCCTCAAAGCGCTCCAAATGTCCACTTCCATGTAGTGCAGAAAGAGTGTTTCAAACCTGCTCTATAAAAGGGAATACTCAACTCTGTGACTTGAATGCAAACATCACAAAGCAGTTTCTGAGAATGCTTCTGTCTTGATTTCATATGAAGATATTCCCGTTTCCAACGAAACCTTCAAAGCTATCCAAATATCCACTTGCAGATTCTACAAAAAGAGTGTTTCCAAAATGTTGTATCAAAAGAAAGGTTCAACTCTGTTAGTTGAGGACACACATCGCAAATAAGTTTCTGAGAATGCTTCTGTCTAGTTTTTATTTGAAGATATTTCCTTTCCCACCACAGGCCTGAAAGCGCTTAAAACGTCCGCTTGCAGATACTACAGAAAGAGTGTTTCAAACCTGCTCTATGAAAGGGAATGTTCAGTTCTGTGACTTGAATGCAAACATCACAAAGAAGTTCCTGAGAATGCTTCTCTCTAGATTTTATATGTAATCCCGTTTCCAACGAAATCCTCAAAGCTATCCAAATATCCACTTTCAGATTCCACAAAAAGAGTGTTTCAAAACTGCTCTGTAAAAAGAAAGGTTCATCTCTGTTAGTTGAATACACACATCACAAACAAGTTTCTGAGAATGCTTCTGTCTAGTTTTTATGGGAAGATATTTCCTTTTTCAACATAGGCCTCAAAGCGCTCCAAATGTCCACTTCCAGGTAGTGCAGAAAGAGTGTTTCAAACCTGCTCTATAAAAGGGAATATTCAACTCTGTGACTTGAATGCAAACATCACAAAGCACTTTCTGAGAATGCTTCCGTCTAGCATTTTATATGAAGATATTCCCGTTTCCAACGAAACCTTCAAAGCTATCCGAATATCCACCTGCAGATTCTACAAAAAGAGTGTTTCCAAAATGCCGTATCAAAACAAAGGTTCAACTCTGTTAGTTGAGAACACACATGGCAAATAAGTTTCTGAGAATGCTTCTGTCTAGTTTTTACTTGAAGATATTTCCTTTCTCACCATAGGCCTGAAAGCGCTTGAAACGTCAGCTTGCAGATACTACAGAAAGAGTGTTTCAAACCTGCTCTATGAAAGGGAATGTTCAGTCCTGTGACTAGAAGGCAAACATCACAAAGAAGTTCCTGAGAATGCTCTTCTCCCTAGGATTTTATATGTAATCCCGTTTCCAACGAAATCCGCAAAGCTATCCAAATATCCACTTTCAGATTCCACAAAAAGAGTGTTTCAAAACTGCTCTGTAAAAAGAAAGGTTCATCTCTGTTAGTTGAATACACACATCACAAACAAGTTTCTGAGAATGCTTCTGTATAGTTTTTATGGGAAGATATTTCCTTTTTCATCAAAGGCCTCAAAGCGCTCCAAACGTCCACTTCCAGGTAGTGCAGAAAGAGTGTCTCAAACCTGGTATATAACAGGGAACATTCTACTCTGTGACTTGAATGAAAACATCACAAAGCAGTTTCTGAGAATGCTTCTGTCTTGATTTTATATGAAGATATTCCCGTTTCCAACGAAACCTTAAAAGCTATCCAAATATCCACCTGCAGATCCTACAAAAAGAGTGTTTCCAAAATGCTGTATCAAAACAAAGGTTCAACTCTGTTAGTTGAGGACACACATCGCAAATAAGTTTCTGAGAATGCTTCTGTCTAGTTTTTATTTGAAGATATTTCCTTTGTTACCATAGGCCTGAAAGCGCTTGAAATGTCCGTTTGCAGATACTACAGAAAGAGTGTTTCAAACATGCTCTATGAAAGGGAATGTTCAGTTCTGTGACGTGAATGCAAACATCACAAAGAAGTTCCTGAGAATGCTTCTCTCTAGATTTTATATGTAATCCCGTTTCCAACGAAATCCTCAAAGCTATCCAAATATCCACTTTCAGATTCCACAAAAAGAGTGTTTCAAAACTGCTCTGTAAAAAGAAAGGTTCATCTCTGTTAGTTGAATACACACATCACAAACAAGTTTCTGAGAATGCTTCTGTCTAGTTTTTATGGGAAGATATTTCCTTTTTCATCATAGGCCTCAAAGCGCTGCAAATGTCCACTTCCAGGTAGTGCAGAAAGAGTGTCTCAAACCTGGTATATAACAGGGAACATTCTACTCTGTGACTTGAATGAAAACATCACAAAGCAGTTTCTGAGAATGCTTCCGTCTAGATTTTATATGAAGATATTCCCGTTTCCAACGAAACCTTCAAAGCTATCCGAATATCCACCTGCAGATTCTACAAAAAGAGTGTTTCCAAAATGCCATATCAAAACAAAGGTTCAACTCTGTTAGTTGAGAACACACATCGCAAATAAGTTTCTGAGAATGCTTCTGTCTAGTTTTTACTTGAAGATATTTCCTTTCTCACCATAGTCCTGAAAGCGCTTGAAACGTCAGCTTGCAGATACTACAGAAAGAGTGTTTCAAACCTGCTCTATGAAAGGGAATGTTCAGTTCTGTGACTTGAATGCAAACTTCACAAAGAAGTTCCTGAGAATGCTTCTCTCTAGATTTTATATGTAATCTCGTTTCCAGCGAAATCCTCAAAGCTATCCAAATATCCACTTTCAGATTCCACAAAAAGAGTGTTTCAAAACTGCTCTGTAAAAAGAAAGGTTCATCTCTGTTAGTTGAATACACACATCACAAACAAGTTTCTGAGAATGCTTCTGTCTAGTTGTTATGGGAAGATATTTCCTTTTTCATCATAGGCCTCAAAGCGCTCCAAAAGTCCACTTCCAGGTAGTGCAGAAAGAGTGTCTCAAACCTGGTATATAAAAGGGAACATTCTACTCTGTGACTTGAATGAAAACATCACAAAGCAGTTTCTGAGAATGCTTCCGTCTAGATTTTATATGAAGATATTCCCGTTTCCAACGAAACCTTCAAAGCTATCCGAATATCCACCTGCAGATTCTACAAAAAGAGTGTTTCCAAAATGCCGTATCAAAACAAAGGTTCAACTCTGTTAGTTGAGAACACACATGGCAAATAAGTTTCTGAGAATGCTTCTGTCTAGTTTTTACTTGAAGATATTTCCTTTCTCACCATAGGCCTGAAAGCGCTTGAAACGTCCGCTTGCAGATACTACAGAAAGAGTGTTTCAAACATGCTCTATGAAAGGGAATGTTCAGTTCTGTGACTTGAATGCAAACATCACAAAGAAGTTCCCGAGAATGCTTCTCTCTAGGTTTTATATGTAATCCCGTTTCCAACGAAATCCTCAAAGCTATCCAAATATCCACTTTCAGATTCCACAAAAAGAGTGTTTCAAAACTGCTCTGTAAAAAGAAAGGTTCATCTCTGTTAGTTGAATACACACATCACAAACAAGTTTCTGAGAATGCTTCTGTCTAGTTTTTATGGGAAGATATTTCCTTTTTCAACATAGGCCTCAAAGCGCTCCAAATGTCCACTTCCAGGTAGTGCAGAAAGAGTGTTTCAAACCTGCTCTATAAAAGGGAATATTCAACTCTGTGACTTGAATGCAAACATCACAAAGCACTTTCTGAGAATGCTTCTGTCTAGTTTTTATTTGAAGATATTCCCGTTTCCAACGAAACCTTCAAAGCTATTCAAATATCCACTTGCAGATTCTACAAAAAGAGTGTTTCCAAAATGTTGTATCAAAAGAAAGGTTCAACTCTGTTAGTTGAGGACACACATCGCAAATAAGTTTCTGAGAATGCTTCTGTCTAGTTTTTATTTGAAGATATTTCCTTTCTCACCATAGGCCGGAAAGCGTTTGAAATGTCCGTTTGCAGATACTACAGAAAGAGTGTTTCAAACATGCTCTATGAAAGGGAATGTTCAGTTCTGTGACGTGAATGCAAACATCACAAAGAAGTTCCTGAGAATGCTTCTCTCTAGGTTTTATATGTAATCCCGTTTCCAACGAAATCCTCAAAGCTATCCAAATATCCACTTTCAGATTCCACAAAAAGAGTGTTTCAAAACTGCTCTGTAAAAAGAAAGGTTCATCTCTGTTAGTTGAATACACACATCACAAACAAGTTTCTGAGAATGCTTCTGTCTAGTTTTTATGGGAAGATATTTCCTTTTTCAACATAGGCCTCAAAGCGCTCCAAATGTCCACTTCCAGGTAGTGCAGAAAGAGTGTTTCAAACCTGCTCTATAAAAGGGAACATTCAACTCTGTGACTTGAATGCAAACATCACAAAGCACTTTCTGAGAATGCTTCCGTCTAGATTTTATATGAAGATATTCCCGTTTCCAACGAAACTTTCAAAGCTATCCGAATATCCACCTGCAGATTCTACAAAAAGAGTGTTTCCAAAATGCCGTATCAAAACAAAGGTTCAACTCTGTTAGTTGAGAACACACATGGCAAATAAGTTTCTGAGAATGCTTCTGTCTAGTTTTTACTTGAAGATATTTCCTTTCTCACCATAGGCCTGAAAGCGCTTGAAACGTCTGCTTGCAGATACTACAGAAAGAGTGTTTCAAACATGCTCTATGAAAGGGAATGTTCAGTTCTGTGACTTGAATGCAAACATCACAAAGAAGTTCCTGAGAATGCTTCTCTCTAGATTTTATATGTAATCCCGTTTCCAACGAAATCCTCAAAGCTATCCAAATATCCACTTTCAGATTCCACAAAAAGAGTGTTTCAAAACTGCTCTGTAAAAAGAAAGGTTCATCTCTGTTAGTTGAATACACACATCACAAACAAGTTTCTGAGAATGCTTCTGTCTAGTTTTTATGGGAAGATATTTCCTTTTTCAACATAGGCCTCAAAGCGCTCCAAATGTCCACTTCCAGGTAGTGCAGAAAGAGTGTTTCAAACCTGCTCTATAAAAGGGAATATTCAACTCTGTGACTTGAATGCAAACATCACAAAGCACTTTCTGAGAATGCTTCCATCTAGATTTTATATGAAGATATCCCGTTTCCAAAGAAATCCTCAATTGTATCTAAATATCTACTTCCACATTCTACAAAAATACTGTTTCAAAACGGCTCTGTCAAAAGTAAGGTTCAACTCTGTTACTTGAGTACACACATCACAAGGAAGTTTCTGAGAATGCTTCTGTCTGGTTTTTAGGAGAAGATATTTCCTTTTTCAACATAGGCCTCAAAGCGCTGCAAATGTCCACTTCCAAATATTACAAAAAGAGTTTTTCAAACCTGCTCTATGAAGGGAAGTGTTCAATTCTATGAGTTGAATGCAAACATCACAGAGAAGTTTCTGAGAATGCTTCCGTCTTGATTTTATATGAAGATATTCTCGTTTCCAACGAAACCTTCAAAGCTATCCAAATATCCACTTGCAGATTCTACAAAAAGAGTGTTTCCAAAATGTTGTATCAAAACAAAGGTTCAACTCTGTTAGTTGAGAACACACATCGCAAATAAGTTTCTGAGAATGCTTCTGTCTAGTTTTTATTTGAAGATATTTCCTTTCTTACCATTGGCCTGAAAGTGCTTGAAATGTCCGTTTGCAGATACTACAGAAAGAGTGTTTCAAACATGCTCTATGAAAGGGAATGTTCAGTTCTGTGACGTGAATGCAAACATCACAAAGAAGTTCCTGAGAATGCTTCTCTCTAGATTTTATATGTAATCCCGTTTCCAACGAAATCCTCAAAGCTATCCAAATATCCACTTTCAGATTCCACAAAAAGAGTGTTTCAAAACTGCTCTGTAAAAAGAAAGGTTCATCTCTGTTAGTTGAATACACACATCACAAACAAGTTTCTGAGAATGCTTCTGTCTAGTTTTTATGGGAAGATATTTCCTTTTTCATCATAGGCCTCAAAGCGCTGCAAATGTCCACTTCCAGGTAGTGCAGAAAGAGTGTCTCAAACCTGGTATATAACAGGGAACATTCTACTCTGTGACTTGAATGAAAACATCACAAAGCAGTTTCTGAGAATGCTTCCGTCTAGACTTTATATGAAGATATTCCCGTTTCCAACGAAACCTTCAAAGCTATCCGTATATCCACCTGCAGATTCTACAAAAAGAGTGTTTCCAAAATGCCGTATCAAAACAAAGGTTCAACTCTGTTAGTTGAGAACACACATGGCAAATAAGTTTCTGAGAATGCTTCTGTCTAGTTTTTACTTGAAGATATTTCCTTTCTCACCATAGGCCTGAAAGCGCTTGAAACGTCAGCTTGCAGATACTACAGAAAGAGTGTTTCAAACCTGCTCTATGAAAGGGAATGTTCAGTTCTGTGACTTGAATGCAAACATCACAAAGAAGTTCCTGAGAATGCTTCTCTCTAGATTTTATATGTAATCCCGTTTCCAACGAAATCCTCAAAGCTGTCCAAATATCCACTTTCAGATTCCACAAAAAGAGTGTTTCAAAACTGCTCTGTAAAAAGAAAGGTTCATCTGCTGTTAGTTGAATACACACATCACAAACAAGTTTCTGAGAATGCTTCTGTCTAGTTTTTATGGGAAGATATTTCCTTTTTCAACATAGGCCTCAAAGCGCTCCAAATGTCCACTTCCAGGTAGTGCAGAAAGAGTGTTTCAAACCTACTCTATAAAAGGGAACATTCAACTCTGTGACTTGAATGCAAACATCACAAAGCACTTTCTGAGAATGCTTCTGTCTTGATTTTATATGAAGATATTCCCGTTTCCAACGAAACCTTCAAAGCTATCCAAATATCCACTTGCAGATTCTACAAAAAGAGTGTTTCCAAAATGTTGTATCCAAACAAAGGTTCAACCCTTTTAGTTGAGAACACACATCGCAAATAAGTTTCTGAGAATGCTTCTGTCTAGTTTTTATTTGAAGATATTTCCTTTTTCACCACAGGCCTGAAAGCGCTTCAAACGTCCGCTTGCAGATACTACAGAAAGAGTGTTTCAAACCTGCTCTATGAAAGGGAATGTTCAGTTCTGTGACTTGAATGCAAACATCACAAAGAAGTTCCTGAGAATGCTTCTCCCTACATTTTATATGTAATCCCGTTTCCAACGAATTCCTCAAAGCTATCCAAATATCCACTTTCGGATTCCACAAAAAGAGTGTTTCAAAACTACTCTGTAAAAAGAAAGGTTCATCTCTGTTAGTTGAATACACACATCAGAAACAAGTTTCTGAGAATGCTTCTGTCTAGTTTTTATGGGAAGATATTTCCTTTTTCAACATAGGCCTCAAAGCGCTCCAAACGTCCACTTCCAGGTAGTGCAGAAAGTGTGTCTCAAACCTGGTATATAACAGGGAACATTCTACACTGTGACTTGAATGAAAACATCACAAAGCAGTTTCTGAGAATGCTTCCGTCTAGATTTTATATGAAGATATTCCCGTTTCCAACGAAACCTTCAAAGCTATCCGAATATCCACCTGCAGATTCTACAAAAAGAGTGTTTCCAAAATGCCGTATCAAAACAAAGGTTCAACTCTGTTAGTTGAGAACACACATGGCAAATAAGTTTCTGAGAATGCTTCTGTCTAGTTTTTACTTGAAGATATTTCCTTTCTCACCATAGGCCTGAAAGCGCTTGAAACGTCAGCTTGCAGATACTACAGAAAGAGTGTTTCAAACCTGCTCTATGAAAGGGAATGTTCAGTTCTGTGACTTGAATGCAAACATCACAAAGAAGTTCCTGAGAATGCTTCTCTCTAGGTTTTATATGTAATCCCGTTTCCAACGAAATCCTCAAAGCTATCCAAATATCCACTTTCAGATTCCACAAAAAGAGTGTTTCAAAACTGCTCTGTAAAAAGAAAGGTTCATCTCTGTTAGTTGAATACACACATCACAAACAAGTTTCTGAGAATGCTTCTGTCTAGTTTCTATGGGAAGATATTTCCTTTTTCATCATAGGCCTCAAAGCGCTCCAAATGTCCACTTCCAGATAGTGCAGAAAGGGTGTCTCAAACCTGGTATATAAAAGGGAACATTCTACTCTGTGACTTGAATGAAAACATCACAAAGCAGTTTCTGAGAATGCTTCCGTCTAGATTTTATATGAAGATATTCCCGTTTCCAACGAAACCTTCAAAGCTATCCGAATATCCACCTGCAGATTCTACAAAAAGAGTGTTTCCAAAATGCCAGTATCCAAACAAAGGTTCAACTCTGTTAGTTGAGAACACACATGGCAAATAAGTTTCTGAGAATGCTTCTGTCTAGTTTTTACTAGAAAATATTTCCTTTGTCACCATAGGCCTGAAAGCGCTTGAAACGTCAGCTTGCAGATACTACAGAAAGAGTGTTTCAAACCTGCTCTATGAAAGGGAATGTTCAGTCCTGTGACTTGAAGGCAAACATCACAAAGAAGTTCCTGAGAATGCTTCTCTCTAGGTTTTATATGTAATCCCGTTTCCAACGAAATCCTCAAAGCTATCCAAATATCCACTTTCAGATTCCACAAAAAGAGTGTTTCAAAACTGCTCTGTAAAAAGAAAGGTTCATCTCTGTTAGTTGAATACACACATCACAAACAAGTTTCTGAGAATGCTTCTGTCTAGTTTTTATGGGAAGATATTACCTTTTTCATCATAGGCCTCAAAGCGCTGCAAATGTCCACTTCCAAATATTACAAAAAGAGTGTTTCAAACCTGCTGTATGAAGGGAAGTGTTCAACTCTATGAGTTGAATGCAAACATCACAGAGAAGTTTCTGAGAATGCTTCCGTCTAGATTTTATATGAAGATACTCCCGTTTCCAACGAAACCTTCAAAGCTATCCGAATATCCACCTGCAGATTCTACAAAAAGAGTGTTTCCAAAATGCCGTATCAAAACAAAGGTTCAACTCTGTTAGTTGAGAACACACATGGCAAATAAGTTTCTGAGAATGCTTCTGTCTAGTTTTTACTTGAAGATATTTCCTTTCTCACCATAGGCCTGAAAGCGCTTGAAACGTCAGCTTGCAGATACTACAGAAAGAGTGTTTCAAACCTGCTCTATGAAAGGGAATGTTCAGTTCTGTGACTTGAATGCAAACATCACAAAGAAGTTGCCTGAGAATGCTTCTCTCTAGGTTTTATATGTAATCCCGTTTCCAACGAAATCCTCAAAGCTATCCAAATATCCACTTTCAGATTCCACAAAAAGAGTGTTTCAAAACTGCTCTGTAAAAAGAAAGGTTCATCTCTGTTAGTTGAATACACACATCACAAACAAGTTTCTGAGAATGCTTCTGTCTAGTTTTTATGGGAAGATATTTCCTTTTTCAACATAGGCCTCAAAGCGCTCCAAATGTCCACTTCCAGGTAGTGCAGAAAGAGTGTTTCAAACCTGCTCTATAAAAGGGAATATTCAACTCTGTGACTTGAATGCAAACATCACAAAGCACTTTCTGAGAATGCTTCCGTCTAGATTTTATATGAAGATATTCCCGATTCCAACGAAACCTTCAAAGCTATCCGAATATCCACCTGCAGATTCTACAAAAAGAGTGTTTCCAAAATGCCGTATCAAAACAAAGGTTCAACTCTGTTAGTTGAGAACACACATAGCAAATAAGTTTCTGAGAATGCTTCTGTCTAGTTTTTACTTGAAGATATTTCCTTTCTCACCATAGGCCTGAAAGCGCTTGAAACGTCAGCTTGCAGATACTACAGAAAGAGTGTTTCAAACCTGCTCTATGAAAGGGAATGTTCAGTTCTGTGACTTGAATGCAAACATCACAAAGAAGTTCCTGAGAATGCTTCTCTCTAGGTTTTATATGTAATCCCGTTTCCAACGAAATCCTCAAAGCTATCCAAATATCCACTTTCAGATTCCACAAAAAGAGTGTTTCAAAACTGCTCTGTAAAAAGAAAGGTTCATCTCTGTTAGTTGAATACACACATCACAAACAAGTTTCTGAGAATGCTTCTGTCTAGTTTTTATGGGAAGATATTTCCTTTTTCAACATAGGCCTCAAAGCGCTCCAAATGTCCACTTCCAGATAGTGCAGAAAGAGTGTTTCAAACCTGCTCTATAAAAGGGAATATTCAACTCTGTGACTTGAATGCAAACATCACAAAGCACTTTCTGAGAATGCTTCCGTCTAGATTTTATATGAAGATATTCCCGTTTCCAAGGAAATCTTCCTAGCTATCTAAATATCAACTTGCAGATTCTACTAAAGGAATGTTTCCAAAATGCTGTATCCACACAAAGGTTCAACTCTGTTAATTGAGGACATACAGCACAAAGAAGTTTCTGAGAATGCTTCTGTCTAGTTTTTATTTGAAGATATTTCCTTTCTCACCACAGGCCTGAAAGCGCTTAAAACGTCCGCTTGCAGATACTACAGAAAGAGTGTTTCAAACCTGATCTATGAAAGGGAATGTTCAGTTCTGTGACTTGAATGCAAACATCACAAAGAATTTCCTGAGAATGCTTCTCCCTAGATTTTATATGTAATCCCGTTTCCAACGAAATCCGCAAAGCTATCCAAATATCCACTTTCAGATTCCACAAAAAGAGTGCTTCAAAACTGCTCTCTAAAAAGAAAGGTTCATCTCTCTTAGTTGAATACACACATCACAAACAAGTTTCTGAGAATGCTTCTGTCTAGTTTTTATGGGAAGATATTACCTTTTTCATCATAGGCCTCAAAGCGCTGCAAATGTCCACTTCCAAATATTACAAAAAGAGTGTTTCAAACCTGCTGTATGAAGGGAAGTGTTCAACTCTATGAGTTGAATGCAAACATCACAGAGAAGTTTCTGAGAATGCTTCTGTCTTGATTTTATATGAAGATATTCCCATTTCCAACGAAACCTTCAAAGCTATTCAAATATCCACTTGCAGATTCTACAAAAAGAGTGTTTCCAAAATGTTGTATCAAAAGAAAGGTTCAACTCTGTTAGTTGAGGACACACATCGCAAATAAGTTTCTGAGAATGCTTCTGTCTAGTTTTTATTTGAAGATATTTCCTTTCTCACCATAGGCCTGAAAGCGTTTGAAATGTCCGTTTGCAGATACTACAGAAAGAGTGTTTCAAACATGCTCTATGAAAGGGAATGTTCAGTTCTGTGACGTGAATGCAAACATCACAAAGAAGTTCCTGAGAATGCTTCTCTCTAGGTTTTATATGTAATCCCGTTTCCAACGAAATCCGCAAAGCTATCCAAATATCCACTTTCAGATTCCACAAAAAGAGTGTTTCAAAACTGCTCTGTAAAAAGAAAGGTTCATCTCTGTTAGTTGAATACACACATCACAAACAAGTTTCTGAGAATGCTTCTGTCTAGTTTTTATGGGAAGATATTACCTTTTTCATCATAGGCCTCAAAGCGCTGCAAATGTCCACTTCCAAATATTACAAAAAGAGTGTTTCAAACCTGCTGTATGAAGGGAAGTGTTCAACTCTATGAGTTGAATGCAAACATCACAGAGAAGTTTCTGAGAATGCTTCTGTCTTGATTTTATATGAAGATATTCCCGTTTCCAACGAAACCTTCAAAGCTATTCAAATATCCACTTGCAGATTCTACAAAAAGAGTGTTTCCAAAATGTTGTATCAAAAGAAAGGTTCAACTCTGTTAGTTGAGGACACACATCGCAAATAAGTTTCTGAGAATGCTTCTGTCTAGTTTTTATTTGAAGATATTTCCTTTCTCACCATAGGCCTGAAAGCGTTTGAAACGTCCGCTTGCAGATACTACAGAAAGAGTGTTTCAAACCTGCTCTATGAAAGGGAATGTTCAGTTCTGTGACTTGAATGCAAACATCACAAAGAAGTTCCTGAGAATGCTTCTCCCTAGATTTTATATGTAATCCCGTTTCCAACGAAATCCTCAAAGCTATCCAAATATCCACTTTCAGATTCCACAAAAAGAGTGTTTCAAAACTGCTCTGTAAAAAGAAAGGTTCATCTCTGTTAGTTGAATACACACATCACAAACAAGTTTCTGAGAATGCTTCTGTCTAGTTTTTATGGGAAGATATTTCCTTTTTCATCATAGGCCTCAAAGCGCTGCAAATGTCCACTTCCAGGTAGTGCAGAAAGAGTGTCTCAAACCTGGTATATAACAGGGAACATTCTACTCTGTGACTTGAATGAAAACATCACAAAGCAGTTTCTGAGAATGCTTCCGTCTAGATTTTATATGAAGATATTCCCGTTTCCAACGAAACCTTCAAAGCTATCCGAATATCCACCTGCAGATTCTACAAAAAGAGTGTTTCCAAAATGCCATATCAAAACAAAGGTTCAACTCTGTTAGTTGAGAACACACATCGCAAATAAGTTTCTGAGAATGCTTCTGTCTAGTTTTTACTTGAAGAAATTTCCTTTCTCACCATAGGCCTGAAAGCGCTTGAAACGTCAGCTTGCAGATACTACAGAAAGAGTGTTTCAAACCTGCTCTATGAAAGGGAATGTTCAGTTCTGTGACTTGAATGCAAACATCGCAAAGATGTTCCTGAGAATGCTTCTCTCTAGATTTTATATGTAATCCCGTTTCCAACGAAATCCTCAAAGCTATCCAACTATCCACTTTCAGATTCCACAAAAAGAGTGTTTCAAAACTGCTCTGTAAAAAGAAAGGTTCATCTCTGTTAGTTGAATACACACATCACAAACAAGTTTCTGAGAATGCTTCTGTCTAGTTTTTATGGGAAGATATTACCTTTTTCATCATAGGCCTCAAAGCGCTGCAAATGTCCACTTCCAAATATTACAAAAAGAGTGTTTCAAACCTGCTGTATGAAGGGAAGTGTTCAACTCTATGAGTTGAATGCAAACATCACAGAGAAGTTTCTGAGAATGCTTCTGTCTTGATTTCATATGAAGATATTCCCGTTTCCAACGAAACCTTCAAAGCTATCCAAATATCCACTTGCAGATTCTACAAAAAGAGTGTTTCCAAAATGTTGTATCAAAAGAAAGGTTCAACTCTGTTAGTTGAGGACACACATCGCAAATAAGTTTCTGAGAATGCTTCTGTCTAGTTTTTACTTGAAGATATTTCCTTTCTCACCATAGGCCTGAAAGCGTTTGAAATGTCCGTTTGCAGATACTACAGAAAGAGTGTTTCAAACATGCTCTATGAAAGGGAATGTTCAGTTCTGTGACGTGAATGCAAACATCACAAAGAAGTTCCTGAGAATGCTTCTCTATAGATTTTATATGTAATCCCGTTTCCAACGAAATCCTCAAAGCTATCCAAATATCCACTTTCAGATTCCACAAAAAGAGTGTTTCAAAACTGCTCTGTAAAAAGAAAGGTTCATCTCTGTTACTTGAGTACACACATCACAAGGAAGTTTCTGAGAATGCTTCTGTCTAGTTTTTATGGGAAGATATTTCCTTTTTCATCATAGGCCTCAAAGCGCTCCAAATGTCCACTTCCAGATAGTGCAGAAAGAGTGTCTCAAACCTGGTATATAAAAGGGAACATTCTACTCTGTGACTTGAATGAAAACATCACAAAGCAGTTTCTCAGAATGCTTCTGTCTTGATTTCATATGAAGATATTCCCGTTTCCAAAGAAACCTTCAAAGCTATCCAAACATCCACCTGCAGATCCTACAAAAAGAGTGTTTCCAAAATGCTGTATCAAAACAAAGGTTCAACTCTGTTAGCTGAGAACACACATCGCAAATAAGTTTCTGAGAATGCTTCTGTCTAGTTTTTATTTGAAGATATTTCCTTTCTCACCATAGGCCTGAAAGCGTTTGAAATGTCCGTTTGCAGATACTACAGAAAGAGTGTTTCAAACATGCTGTATGAAAGGGAATGTTGAGTTTTGTGACGTGAATGCAAACATCACAAAGAAGTTCCTGAGAATGCTTTTCTCTAGATTTTATATGTAATCCCTTTTCAAACGAAATCCTCAAAGCTATCCAAATAACCACTTTCAGATTCCACAAAAAGAGTGTTTCAAAACTGCTCTGTAAAAAGAAAGGTTCATCTCTGTTAGTTGAATACACACATCACAAACAAGTTTCTGAGAATGCTTCTGTCTAGTTTTTATGGGAAGATATTTCCTTTTTCAACATACGCCTCAAAGCGCTCCAAACGTCCACTTCCAGGTAGTGCAGAAAGAGTGTCTCAAACCTGGTATATAACAGGGAACATCTACTCTGTGACTTGAATGAAAACATCACAAAGCAGTTTCTGAGAATGCTTCCGTCTAGATTTTATATGAAGATATTCCCGTTTCCAACGAAACCTTCAAAGCTATCCGAATATCCACCTGCAGATTCTACAAAAAGAGTGTTTCCAAAATGCCGTATCAAAACAAAGGTTCAACTCTGTTAGTTGAGAACACACATGGCAAATAAGTTTCTGAGAATGCTTCTGTCTAGTTTTTACTTGAAGATATTTCCTTTCTCACCATAGGCCTGAAAGCGCTTGAAACGTCAGCTTGCAGATACTACAGAAAGAGTGTTTCAAACCTGCTCTATGAAAGGGAATGTTCAGTTCTGTGACTTGAATGCAAACATCACAAAGAAGTTCCTGAGAATGCTTCTCCCTAGATTTTATATGTAATCCCGTTTCCAACGAAATCCGCAAAGCTATCCAAATATCCACTTTCAGATTCCACAAAAAGAGTGTTTCAAAACTACTCTGTAAAAAGAAAGGTTCATCTCTGTTAGTTGAATACACACATCAGAAACAAGTTTCTGAGAATGCTTCTGTCTAGTTTTTATGGGAAGATATTTCCTTTTTCAACATAGGCCTCAAAGCGCTCCAAACGTCCACTTCCAGGTAGTGCAGAAAGAGTGTCTCAAACCTGGTATATAACAGGGAACATTCTACTCTGTGACTTGAATGAAAACATCACAAAGCAGTTTCTGAGAATTTTTCCGTCTAGATTTTATATGAAGATATTCCCGTTTCCAACGAAACCTTCAAAGCTATCCGAATATCCACCTGCAGATTCTACAAAAAGAGTGTTTCCAAAATGCCGTATCAAAACAAAGGTTCAACTCTGTTAGTTGAGAACACACATGGCAAATAAGTTTCTGAGAATGCTTCTGTCTAGTTTTTACTTGAAGATATTTCCTTTCTCACCATAGGCCTGAAAGCGCTTGAAACGTCAGCTTGCAGATACTACAGAAAGAGTGTTTCAAACCTGCGCTATGAAAGGGAATGTTCAGTCCTGTGACTTGAAGGCAAACATCACAAAGAAGTTCCTGAGAATGCTTCTCTCTAGGTTTTATATGTAATCCCGTTTCCAACGAAATCCTCAAAGCTATCCAAATATCCACTTTCAGATTCCACAAAAAGAGTGTTTCAAAACTGCTCTGTAAAAAGAAAGGTTCATCTCTGTTAGTTGAATACACACATCACAAACAAGTTTCTGAGAATGCTTCTGTCTAGTTTTTATGGGAAGATATTTCCTTTTTCAACATAGGCCTCAAAGCGCTCCAAATGTCCACTTCCAGGTAGTGCAGAAAGAGTGTTTCAAACCTGCTCTATAAAAGGGAATATTCAACTCTGTGACTTGAATGCAAACATCACAAAGCACTTTCTGAGAATGCTTCTGTCTTGATTTCATATGAAGATATTCCCGTTTCCAACGAAACCTTCAAAGCTATCCAAATATCCACTTGCAGATTCTACAAAAAGAGTGTTTCCAAAATGTTGTATCAAAAGAAAGGTTCAACTCTGTTAGTTGAGGACACACATCGCAAATAAGTTTCTGAGAATGCTTCTGTCTAGTTTTTATTTGAAGATATTTCCTTTCTCACCACAGGCCTGAAAGCGCTTAAAACGTCCGCTTGCAGATAATACAGAAAGAGTGTTTCAAACCTGCTCTATGAAAGGGAATGTTCAGTTCTGTGACTTGAATGCAAACATCACAAAGAAGTTCCTGAGAGTGCTTCTCTCTAGATTTTATATGTAATCCCGTTTCCAACGAAATCCTCAAAGCTATCCAAACATCCACTTTCAGATTCCACAAAAAGAGTGTTTCAAAACTGCTCTGTAAAAAGAAAGGTTCATCTCTGTTAGTTGAATACACACATCACAAACAAGTTTCTGAGAATGCTTCTGTCTAGTTTTTATGGGAAGATATTTCCTTTTTCATCATAGGCCTCAAAGCGCTGCAAATGTCCACTTCCAGGTAGTGCAGAAAGAGTGTCTGAAACCTGGTATATAACAGGGAAGATTCTACTCTGTGACTTGAATGAAAACATCACAAAGCAGTTTCTGAGAATGCTTCCGTCAAGATTTTATATGAAGATATTCCCGTTTCCAACGAAACCTTCAAAGCTATCCGAATATCCACCTGCAGATTCTACAAAAAGAGTGTTTCCAAAATGCCGTATCAAAACAAAGGTTCAACTCTGTTAGTTGAGAACACACATGGCAAATAAGTTTCTGAGAATGCTTCTGTCTAGTTTTTACTTGAAGATATTTCCTTTCTCACCATAGGCCTGAAAGCGCTTGAAACGTCAGCTTGCAGATACTACAGAAAGAGTGTTTCAAACCTGCTCTATGAAAGGGAATGTTCAGTTCTGTGACTTGAATGCAAACATCACAAAGAAGTTCCTGAGAATGCTTCTCTCTAGGTTTTATATGTAATCCCGTTTCCAACGAAATCCTCAAAGCTATCCAAATATCCACTTTCAGATTCCACAAAAAGAGTGTTTCAAAACTGCTCTGTAAAAAGAAAGGTTCATCTCTGTTAGTTGAATACACACATCACAAACAAGTTTCTGAGAATGCTTCTGTCTAGTTTTTATGGGAAGATATTTCCTTTTTCAACATAGGCCTCAAAGCGCTCCAAACGTCCACTTCCAGGTAGTGCAGAAAGAGTGTCTCAAACCTGGTATATAACAGGGAACATTCTACTCTGTGACTTGAATGAAAACATCACAAAGCAGTTTCTGAGAATGCTTCCGTCTAGATTTTATATGAAGATATTCCCGTTTCCAACGAAACCTTCAAAGCTATCCGAATATCCACCTGCAGATTCTACAAAAAGAGTGTTTCCAAAATGCCGTATCAAAACAAAGGTTCAACTCTGTTAGTTGAGAACACACATGGCAAATAAGTTTCTGAGAATGCTTCTGTCTAGTTTTTACTTGAAGATATTTCCTTTGTCACCATAGGCCTGAAAGCGCTTGAAACGTCAGCTTGCAGATACTACAGAAAGAGTGTTTCAAACCTGCTCTATGAAAGGGAATGTTCAGTCCTGTGACTTGAAGGCAAACATCACAAAGAAGTTCCTGAGAATGCTTCTCTCTAGGTTTTATATGTAATCCCGTTTCCAACGAAATCCTCAAAGCTATCCAAATATCCACTTTCAGATTCCACAAAAAGAGTGTTTCAAAACTGCTCTGTAAAAAGAAAGGTTCATCTCTGTTAGTTGAATACACACATCACAAACAAGTTTCTGAGAATGCTTCTCTCTAGTTTTTATGGGAAGATATTTCCTTTTTCAACATAGGCCTCAAAGCACTCCAAATGTCCACTTCCAGGTAGTGCAGAAAGAGTGTTTCAAACGTGCTCTATAAAAGGGAATATTCAACTCTGTGACTTGAATGCAAACATCACAAAGCACTTTCTGAGAATGCTTCTGTCTTGATTTTATATGAAGATATTCCCGTTTCCAAAGAAACCTTCAAAGCTATCCAAATATCCACCTGCAGATCCTACAAAAAGAGTGTTTCCAAAATGCTGTATCAAAACAAAGGTTGAACTCTGTTAGCTGAGAACACACATCGCAAATAAGTTTCTGAGAATGCTTCTGTCTAGTTTTTATTTGAAGATATTTCCTTTTTCACCACAGGCCTGAAAGCGCTTGAAACGTCCACTTGCAGATACTACAGAAAGAGTGTTTCAAACCTGCTCTATGAAAGGGAATGTTCAGTTCTGTGACTTGAATGCAAACATCACAAAGAAGTTCCTGAGAATGCTTCTCCCTAGATTTTATATGTAATCCCGTTTCCAACGAAATCCGCAAAGCTATCCAAATATCCACTTTCAGATTCCACAAAAAGAGTGTTTCAAAACTGCTCTGTAAAAAGAAAGGTTCATCTCTGTTAGTTGAATACACACATCACAAACAAGTTTCTGAGAATGCTTCTGTCTAGTTTTTATGGGAAGATATTTCCTTTTTCATCATAGGCCTCAAAGCGCTGCAAATGTCCACTTCCAAATATTACAAAAAGAGTGTTTCAAACCTGCTGTATGAAGGGAAGTGTTCAACTCTATGAGTTGAATGCAAACATCACAGAGAAGTTTCTGAGAATGCTTCTGTCTTGATTTTATATGAAGATATTCCCGTTTCCAACGAAACCTTCAAAGCTATTCAAATATCCACTTGCAGATTCTACAAAAAGAGTGGTTCCAAAATGTTGTATCAAAAGAAAGGTTCAACTCTGATAGTTGAGGACACACATCGCAAATAAGTTTCTGAGAATGCTTCTGTCTAGTTTTTATTTGAAGATATTTCCTTTCTCACCATAGGCCTGAAAGCGTTTGAAATGTCCGTTTGCAGATACTACAGAAAGAGTGTTTCAAACATGCTCTATGAAAGGGAATGTTCAGTTCTGTGACGTGAATGCAAACATCACAAAGAAGTTCCTGAGAATGCTTCTCCCTAGATTTTATATGTAATCCCGTTTCCAATGAAATCCTCAAAGCTATCCAAATATCCTCTTTCAGATTCCACAAAAAGAGTGTTTCAAAACTGCTCTGTAAAAAGAAAGGTTCATCTCTGTTAGTTGAATACACACATCACAAACAAGTTTCTGAGAATGCTTCTGTCTAGTTTTTATGGGAAGATATTTCCTTTTTCAACATAGGCCTCAAAGCGCTCCAAACGTCCACTTCCAGGTAGTGCAGAAAGAGTGTCTCAAACCTGGTATATAACAGGGAACATTCTACTCTGTGACTTGAATGAAAACATCACAAAGCAGTTTCTGAGAATGCTTCCGTCTAGATTTTATATGAAGATATTCCCGTTTCCAACGAAACCTTCAAAGCTATCCGAATATCCACCTGCAGATTCTACAAAAAGAGTGTTTCCAAAATGCCGTATCAAAACAAAGGTTCAACTCTGTTAGTTGAGAACACACATGGCAAATAAGTTTCTGAGAATGCTTCTGTCTAGTTTTTACTTGAAGATATTTCCTTTCTCACCATAGGCCTGAAAGCGCTTGAAACGTGAGCTTGCAGATACTACAGAAAGAGTGTTTCAAACCTGCTCTATGAAAGGGAATGTTCAGTCCTGTGACTTGAAGGCAAACATCACAAAGAAGTTCCTGAGAATGCTTCTCTCTAGGTTTTATATGTAATCCCGTTTCCAACGAAATCCTCAAAGCTATCCAAATATCCACTTTCAGATTCCACAAAAAGAGTGTTTCAAAACTGCTCTGTAAAAAGAAAGGTTCATCTCTGTTAGTTGAATACACACATCACAAACAAGTTTCTGAGAATGCTTCTGTCTAGTTTTTATGGGAAGATATTTCCTTTTTCTACATAGGCCTCAAAGCGCTCCAAAGGTCCACTTCCAGGTAGTGCAGAAAGAGTGTTTCAAACCTGCTCTATAAAAGGGAATATTCAACTCTGTGACTTGAATGCAAACATCACAAAGCACTTTCTGAGAATGCTTCCGTCTAGATTTTATATGAAGATATTCCCGTTTCCAACGAAACCTTCAAAGCTATCCGAATATCCACCTGCAGATTCTACAAAAAGAGTGTTTCCAAAATGCCATATCAAAACAAAGGTTCAACTCTGCTAGTTGAGAACACACATCGCAAATAAGTTTCTGAGAATGCTTCTGTCTAGTTTTTACTTGAAGATATTTCCTTTCTCACCATAGGCCTGAAAGCGCTTGAAACGTCAGCTTGCAGATACTACAGAAAGAGTGTTTCAAACCTGCTCTATGAAAGGGAATGTTCAGTTCTGTGACTTGAATGCAAACATCACAAAGAAGTTCCTGAGAATGCTTCTCCCTAGGTTTTTATATGTAATCCCGTTTCCAACGAAATCCTCAAAGCTATCCAAATATCCACTTTCAGATTCCACAAAAAGAGTGTTTCAAAACTGCTCTGTAAAAAGAAAGGTTCATCTCTGTTAGTTGAATACACACATCACAAACAAGTTTCTGAGAATGCTTCTGTCTAGTTTTTGTGGGAAGATATTTCCTTTTTCAACCTAGGCCTCAAATCGCTCCAAACGTCCACTTCCAGGTAGTGCAGAAAGAGTGTCTCAAACCTGGTATATAACAGGGAACATTCTACTCTGTGACTTGAATGAAAACATCACAAAGCAGTTTCTGAGAATGCTTCCGTCTAGATTTTATATGAAGATATTCCCGTTTCCAACGAAACCTTCAAAGCTATCCGAATATCCACCTGCAGATTCTACAAAAAGAGTGTTTCCAAAATGCCGTATCAAAACAAAGGTTCAACTCTGTTAGTTGAGAACACACATGGCAAATAAGTTTCTGAGAATGCTTCTGTCTAGTTTTTATTTGAAGATATTTCCTTTCTCACCATAGGCCTGAAAGCGCTTGAAACGTCAGCTTGCAGATACTACAGAAAGAGTGTTTCAAACCTGCTCTATGAAAGGGAATGTTCAGTCCTGTGACTTGAATGGAAACATCACAAAGAAGTTCCTGAGAATGCTTCTCTCTAGGTTTTATATGTAATCCCGTTTCCAACGAAATCCTCAAAGCTATCCAAATATCCACTTTCAGATTCCACAAAAAGAGTGTTTCAAAACTGCTCTGTAAAAAGAAAGGTTCATCTCTGTTAGTTGAATACACACATCACAAACAAGTTTCTGAGAATGCTTCTGTCTAGTTTTTATGGGAAGATATTTCCTTTTTCAACATAGGCCTCAAAGCGCTCCAAACGTCCACTTCCAGGTAGTGCAGAAAGAGTGTCTCAAACCTGGTATATAACAGGGAACATTCTACTCTGTGACTTGAATGAAAACATCACAAAGCAGTTTCTGAGAATGCTTCCGTCTAGATTTTATATGAAGATATTCCCGTTTCCAACGAAACCTTCAAAGCTATCCGAATATCCACCTGCAGATTCTACAAAAAGAGTGTTTCCAAAATGCCATATCAAAACAAAGGTTCAACTCTGTTAGTTGAGAACACACATCGCAAATAAGTTTCTGAGAATGCTTCTGTCTAGTTTTTATTTGAAGATATTTCCTTTCTCACCACAGGCCTGAAAGCGCTTAAAACGTCCGCTTGCAGATACTACAGAAAGAGTGTTTCAAACATGCTCTATGAAAGGGAATGTTCAGTTCTGTGACTTGAATGCAAACATCACAAAGAAGTTCCTGAGAATGCTTCTCTCTAGGTTTTATATGTAATCCCGTTTCCAACGAAATCCTCAAAGCTATCCAAATATCCACTTTCAGATTCCACAAAAAGAGTGTTTCAAAACTGCTCTGTAAAAAGAAAGGTTCATCTCTGTTAGTTGAATACACACATCACAAACAAGTTTCTGAGAATGCTTCTGTCTGGTTTTTAGGAGAAGATATTTCCTTTTTCAACATAGGCCTCAAAGCGCTGCAAATGTCCACTTCCAAATATTACAAAAAGAGTGTTTCAAACCTGCTGTATGAAGGGAAGTGTTCAACTCTATGAGTTGAATGCAAACATCACAGAGAAGTTTCTGAGAATGCTTCTGTCTTGATTTTATATGAAGATATTCCCGTTTCCAACGAAACCTTCAAAGCTATTCAAATATCCACTTGCAGATTCTACAAAAAGAGTGTTTCCAAAATGTTGTATCAAAAGAAAGGTTCAACTCTGTTAGTTGAGGACACACATCGCAAATAAGTTTCTGAGAATGCTTCTGTCTAGTTTTTATTTGAAGATATTTCCTTTCTCACCATAGGCCTGAAAGCGTTTGAAATGTCCGTTTGCAGATACTACAGAAAGAGTGTTTCAAACATGCTCTATGAAAGGGAATGTTCAGTTCTGTGACGTGAATGCAAACATCACAAAGAAGTTCCTGAGAATGCTTCTCTCTAGATTTTATATGTAATCCCGTTTCCAACGAAATCCTCAAAGCTATCCAAATATCCACTTTCAGATTCCACAAAAAGAGTGTTTCAAAACTGCTCTGTAAAAAGAAAGGTTCATCTCTGTTAGTTGAATACACACATCACAAACAAGTTTCTGAGAATGCTTCTGTCTAGTTTTTATGGGAAGATATTTCCTTTTTCAACATAGGCCTCAAAGCGCTCCAAACGTCCACTTCCAGGTAGTGCAGAAAGAGTGTCTCAAACCTGGTATATAACAGGGAACATTCTACTCTGTGACTTGAATGAAAACATCACAAAGCAGTTTCTGAGAATGCTTCCGTCTAGATTTTATATGAAGATATTCCCGTTTCCAAGGAAATCTTCCTAGCTATCTAAATATCAACTTGCAGATTCTACTAAAGGAATGTTTCCAAAATGCTGTATCCACACAAATGTTCAACTCTGTTAATTGAGGACATACAGCACAAAGAAGTTTCTGAGAATGCTTCTGTCTAGTTTTTATTTGAAGATATTTCCTTTTTCACCACAGGCCTGAAAGCGCTTCAAACGTCCGCTTGCAGATACTACAGAAAGAGTGTTTCAAACCTGCTCTATGAAAGGGAATGTTCAGTTCTGTGACTTGAATGCAAACATCACAAAGAAGTTCCTGAGACTGCTTCTCCCTAGATTTTATATGTAATCCCGTTTCCAACGAAATCCGCAAAGCTATCCAAATATCCACTTTCAGATTCCACAAAAAGAGTGTTTCAAAACTGCTCTGTAAAAAGAAGGGTTCATCTCTGTTAGCTGAATACACACATCACAAACAAGTTTCTGAGAATGCTTCTGTCTGGTTTTTAGGAGAAGATATTTCCTTTTTCAACATAGGCCTCAAAGCGCTGCAAATGTCCACTTCCAAATATTACAAAAAGAGTGTTTCAAACCTGCTGTATGAAGGGAAGTGTTCAACTCTATGAGTTGAATGCAAACATCACAGAGAAGTTTCTGAGAATGCTTCTGTGTTGATTTTATATGAAGATATTCCCGTTTCCAACGAAACCTTCAAATCTATCCAAATATCCACCTGCAGATCCTACAAAAAGAGTGTTTCCAAAATGCTGTATCAAAACAAAGGTTCAACTCTGTTAGTTGAGAACACACATCGCAAATAAGTTTCTGAGAATGCTTCTGTCTAGTTTTTACTTGAAGATATTTCCTTTGTCACCATAGGCCTGAAAGCGCTTGAAACGTCAGCTTGCAGATACTACAGAAGGAGTGTTTCAAACCTGCTCTATGAAAGGGAATGTTCAGTCCTGTGACTTGAAGGCAAACATCACAAAGAAGTTCCTGAGAATGCTTCTCTCTAGGTTTTATATGTAATCCCGTTTCCAACGAAATCCTCAAAGCTATCCAAATATCCACTTTCAGATTCCACAAAAAGAGTGTTTCAAAACTGCTCTGTAAAAAGAAAGGTTCATCTCTGTTAGTTGAATACACACATCACAAACAAGTTTCTGAGAATGCTTCTGTCTAGTTTTTATGGGAAGATATTTCCTTCTTCATCATAGGCCTCAAAGCGCTCCAAATGTCCACTTCCAGGTAGTGCAGAAAGAGTGTCTCAAACCTGGTATATAACAGGGAACATTCTACTCTGTGACTTGAATGAAAACATCACAAAGCAGTTTCTGAGAATGCTTCCGTCTAGATTTTATATGAAGATATTCCCGTTTCCAACGAAACCTTCAAAGCTATCCGAATATCCACCTGCAGATTCTACAAAAAGAGTGTTTCCAAAATGCCATATCAAAACAAAGGTTCAACTCTGTTAGTTGAGAACACACATCGCAAATAAGTTTCTGAGAATGCTTCTGTCTAGTTTTTACTTGAAGATATTTCCTTTCTCACCATAGGCCTGAAAGCGTTTGAAATGTCCGTTTGCAGATACTACAGAAAGAGTGTTTCAAACATGCTCTATGAAAGGGAATGTTCAGTTCTGTGACTTGAATGCAAACATCACAAAGAAGTTCCTGAGAGTGCTTCTCCCTAGATTTTATATGTAATCCCGTTTCCAACGAAATCCGCAAAGCTATCCAAATATCCACTTTCAGATTCCACAAAAAGAGTGTTTCAAAACTGCTCTGTAAAAAGAAAGGTTCATCTCTGTTAGTTGAATACACACATCACAAACAAGTTTCTGAGAATGCTTCTGTCTAGTTTTTATGGGAAGATATTACCTTTTTCATCATAGGCCTCAAAGCGCTGCAAATGTCCACTTCCAAATATTACAAAAAGAGTGTTTCAAACCTGCTGTATGAAGGGAAGTGTTCAACTCTATGAGTTGAATGCAAACATCACAGAGAAGTTTCTGAGAATGCTTCTGTCTTGATTTTATATGAAGATATTCCCGTTTCCAACGAAACCTTCAAAGCTATTCAAATATCCACTTGCAGATTCTACAAAAAGAGTGTTTCCAAAATGTTGTATCAAAAGAAAGGTTCAACTCTGTTAGTTGAGGACACACATCGCAAATAAGTTTCTGAGAATGCTTCTGTCTAGTTTTTATTTGAAGATATTTCCTTTCTCACCATAGGCCTGAAAGCGTTTGAAATGTCCGTTTGCAGATACTACAGAAAGAGTGTTTCAAACATGCTCTATGAAAGGGAATGTTCAGTTCTGTGACGTGAATGCAAACATCACAAAGAAGTTCCTGAGAATGCTTCTCTCTAGATTTTATATGTAATCCCGTTTCCAACGAAATCCTCAAAGCTATCCAAATATCCACTTTCAGATTCCACAAAAAGAGTGTTTCAAAACTGCTCTGTAAAAAGAAAGGTTCATCTCTGTTAGTTGAATACACACATCACAAACAAGTTTCTGAGAATGCTTCTGTCTAGTTTTTATGGGAAGATATTACCTTTTTCATCATAGGCCTCAAAGCGCTGCAAATGTCCACTTCCAAATATTACAAAAAGAGTGTTTCAAACCTGCTGTATGAAGGGAAGTGTTCAACTCTATGAGTTGAATGCAAACATCACAGAGAAGTTTCTGAGAATGCTTCTGTCTTGATTTTATATGAAGATATTCCCGTTTCCAACGAAACCTTAAAAGCTATCCAAATATCCACCTGCAGATCCTACAAAAAGAGTGTTTCCAAAATGCTGTATCAAAACAAAGGTTCAACTCTGTTAGTTGAGGACACACATCGCAAATAAGTTTCTGAGAATGCTTCTGTCTAGTTTTTATTTGAAGATATTTCCTTTCTCACCATAGGCCTGAAAGCGTTTGAAATGTCCGTTTGCAGATACTACAGAAAGAGTGTTTCAAACATGCTCTATGAAAGGGAATGTTCAGTTCTGTGACGTGAATGCAAACATCACAAAGAAGTTCCTGAGAATGCTTCTCCCTAGATTTTATATGTAATCCCGTTTCCAACGAAATCCGCAAAGCTATCCAAATGTCCACTTTCAGATTCCACAAAAAGAGTGTTTCAAAACTGCTCTGTAAAAAGAAGGGTTCATCTCTGTTAGTTGAATACACACATCACAAACAAGTTTCTGAGAATGCTTCTGTCTGGTTTTTAGGAGAAGATATTTCCTTTTTCAACATAGGCCTCAAAGCGCTGCAAATGTCCACTTCCAAATATTACAAAAAGAGTGTTTCAAACCTGCTCTATGAAGGGAAGTGTTCAACTCTATGAGTTGAATGCAAACATCACAGAGAAGTTTCTGAGAATGCTTCTGTCTTGATTTTATATGAAGATATTCCCGTTTCCAACGAAACCTTCAAAGCTATCCAAATATCCACTTGCAGATTCTACAAAAAGAGTGTTTCCAAAATGTTGTATCAAAACAAAGGTTCAACTCTGTTAGTTGAGGACACACATCGCAAATAAGTTTCTGAGAATGCTTCTGTCTAGTTTTTATTTGAAGAAATTTCCTTTCTTACCATAGGCCTGAAAGCGCTTGAAATGTCCGTTTGCAGATACTACAGAAAGAGTGTTTCAAACATGCTCTATGAAAGGGAATGTTCAGTTCTGTGACGTGAATGCAAACATCACAAAGAAGTTCCAGGGAATGCTTCTCTCTAGATTTTATATGTAATCCCGTTTCCAACAAAATCCTCAAAGCTATCCAAATATCCACTTTCAGATTCCACAAAAAGAGTGTTTCAAAACTGCTCTGTAAAAAGAAAGGTTCATCTCTGTTAGTTGAGTACACACATCACAAACAAGTTTCTGAGAATGCTTCTGTCTAGTTTTTATGGGAAGATATTACCTTTTTCATCATAGGCTTCAAAGCGCTGCAAAAGTCCACTTCCAAATATTAGAAAAAGAGTGTTTCAAACCTGCTGTATGAAGGGAAGTGTTCAACTCTATGAGTTGAATGCAAACATCACAGAGAAGTTTCTGAGAATGCTTCTGTCTTGATTTTATATGAAGATATTCCCGTTTCCAACGAAACCTTCAAAGCTATCCAAATATCCACTTGCAGATTCCACAAAAAGAGTGTTTCCAAAATGTTGTATCAAAAGAAAGGTTCAACTCTGTTAGTTGAGGACACACATCGCAAATAAGTTTCTGAGAATGCTTCTGTCTAGTTTTTATTTGAAGATATTTCCTTTCTCACCATAGGCCTGAAAGCGTTTGAAATGTCCGTTTGCAGATACTACAGAAAGAGTGTTTCAAACATGCTCTATGAAAGGGAATGTTCAGTTCTGTGACGTGAATGCAAACATCACAAAGAAGTTCCTGAGAATGCTTCTGTCTAGATTTTATATGAAGATATCCCGTGTCCAACGAAATCCTCAAAGGTATCAAAATATCCACTTGCAGATTCTACAAAAAGAGTGCTTCAAAACTGCTCTGTCAAAAGGAAGGTTCAACTCTGTTACTTGAGTACACACATCACAAGGAAGTTTCTGAGAATGCTTCTGTCTGGTTTTTAGGAGAAGATATTTCCTTTTTCAACATAGGCCTCAAAGCGCTGCAAATGTCCACTTCCAAATATTAGAAAAAGAGTGTTTCAAACCTGCTGAATGAAGGGAAGTGTTCAACTCTATGAGTTGAATGCAAACATCACAGAGAAGTTTCTGAGAATGCTTCTGTCTTGATTTCATATGAAGATATTCCCGTTTCCAACGAAACCTTCAAAGCTATCCAAATATCCACTTGCAGATTCTACAAAAAGAGTGTTTCCAAAATGTTGTATCAAAAGAAAGGTTCAACTCTGTTAGTTGAGGACACACATCGCAAATAAGTTTCTGAGAATGCTTCTGTCTAGTTTTTATTTGAAGATATTTCCTTTCTCACCATAGGCCTGAAAGCGTTTGAAATGTCCGTTTGCACATACTACAGAAAGAGTGTTTCAAACATGCTCTATGAAAGGGAATGTTCAGTTCTGTGACTTGAATGCAAACATCACAAAGAAGTTCCTGAGAATGCTTTCTCCCTAGATTTTATATGTAATCCCGTTTCCAACGAAATCCGCAAAGCTATCCAAATATCCACTTTCAGATTCCACAAAAAGAGTGTTTCAAAACTGCTCTGTAAAAAGAAAGGTTCATCTCTGTTAGTTGAATACACACATCACAAACAAGTTTCTGAGAATGCTTCTGTCTAGTTTTTATGGGAAGATATTTCCTTTTTCATCATAGGCCTCAAAGCGCTGCAAATGTCCACTTCCAAATATTACAAAAAGAGTGTTTCAAACCTGCTGTATGAAGGGAAGTGTTCAACTCTATGAGTTGAATGCAAACATCACAGAGAAGTTTCTGAGAATGCTTCCGTCTAGCATTTTATATGAAGATATTCCCGTTTCCAACGAAACCTTCAAAGCTATCCGAATATCCACCTGCAGATTCTACAAAAAGAGTGTTTCCAAAATGCCGTATCAAAACAAAGGTTCAACTCTGTTAGTTGAGAACACACATGGCAAATAAGTTTCTGAGAATGCTTCTGTCTAGTTTTTACTTGAAGATATTTCCTTTCTCACCATAGGCCTGAAAGCGCTTGAAACGTCAGCTTGCAGATACTACAGAAAGAGTGTTTCAAACCTGCTCTATGAAAGGGAATGTTCAGTCCTGTGACTTGAAGGCAAACATCACAAAGAAGTTCCTGAGAATGCTTCTCTCTAGGTTTTATATGTAATCCCGTTTCCAACGAAATCCTCAAAGCTATCCAAATATCCACTTTCAGATTCCACAAAAAGAGTGTTTCAAAACTGCTCTGTAAAAAGAAAGGTTCATCTCTGTTAGTTGAATACACACATCACAAACAAGTTTCTGAGAATGCTTCTGTCTGGTTTTTAGGAGAAGATATTTCCTTTTTCAACATAGGCCTCAAAGCGCTGCAAATGTCCACTTCCAAATATTAGAAAAAGAGTGTTTCAAACCTGCTGTATGAAGGGAAGTGTTCAACTCTATGAGTTGAATGCAAACATCACAGAGAAGTTTCTGAGAATGCTTCTGTCTTGATTTCATATGAAGATATTCCCGTTTCCAACGAAACCTTCAAAGCTATCCAAATATCCACTTGCAGATTCTACAAAAAGAGTGTTTCCAAAATGTTGTATCAAAAGAAAGGTTCAACTCTGTTAGTTGAGGACACACATCGCAAATAAGTTTCTGAGAATGCTTCTGTCTAGTTTTTATTTGAAGATATTTCCTTTCTCACCACAGGCCTGAAAGGGCTTAAAACGTCCGCTTGCAGATACTACAGAAAGAGTGTTTCAAACCTGCTCTATGAAAGGGAATGTTCAGTTCTGTGACTTGAATGCAAACATCGCAAAGAAGTTCCTGAGAATGCTTCTCTCTAGGTTTTATATGTAATCCCGTTTCCAACGAAATCCGCAAAGCTATCCAAATATCCACTTTCAGATTCCACATAAAGAGTGTTTCAAAACTGCTCTGTAAAAAGAAAGGTTCATCTCTGTTAGTTGAATACACACATCACAAACAAGTTTCTGAGAATGCTTCTGTCTGGTTTTTAGGAGAAGATATTTCCTTTTTCAACATAGGCCTCAAAGCGCTGCAAATGTCCACTTCCAAATATTAGAAAAAGAGTGTTTCAAACCTGCTGTATGAAGGGAAGTGTTCAACTCTATGAGTTGAATGCAAACATCACAGAGAAGTTTCTGAGAATGCTTCTGTCTTGATTTCATATGAAGATATTCCCGTTTCCAACGAAACCTTCAAAGCTATCCAAATATCCACTTGCAGATTCTACAAAAAGAGTGTTTCCAAAATGTTGTATCAAAAGAAAGGTTCAACTCTGTTAGTTGAGGACACACATCGCAAATACGTTTCTGAGAATGCTTCTGTCTAGTTTTTATTTGAAGATATTTCCTTTCTCACCACAGGCCTGAAAGCGCTTAAAACGTCCGCTTGCAGATACTACAGAAAGAGTGTTTCAAACCTGCTCTATGAAAGGGAATGTTCAGTTCTGTGACTTGAATGCAAACATCACAAAGAAGTTCCTGAGAATGCTTCTCTCTAGGTTTTATATGTAATCCCGTTTCCAACGAAATCCTCAAAGCTATCCAAATATCCACTTTCAGATTCCACAAAAAGAGTGTTTCAAAACTGCTCTGTAAAAAGAAAGGTTCATGCTCTGTTAGTTGAATACACACATCACAAACAAGTTTCTGAGAATGCTTCTGTCTAGTTTTTATAGGAAGATATTTCCTTTTTCAACATAGGCCTCAAAGCGCTCCAAACGTCCACTTCCAGGTAGTGCAGAAAGAGTGTCTCAAACCTGGTATATAACAGGGAACATTCTACTCTGTGACTTGAATGAAAACATCCCAAAGCAGTTTCTGAGAATGCTTCCGTCTAGATTTTATATGAAGATATTCCCGTTTCCAACGAAACCTTCAAAGCTATCCGAATATCCACCTGCAGATTCTACAAAAAGAGTGTTTCCAAAATGCCGTATCAAAACAAAGGTTCAACTCCGTTAGTTGAGAACACACATGGCAAATAAGTTTCTGAGAATGCTTCTCTCTAGTTTTTATTTGAAGATATTTCCTTTCTTACCATAGGCCTGAAAGCGCTTGAAATGTCCGTTTTCAGATACTACAGAAAGAGTGTTTCAAACATGCTCTATGAAAGGGAATGTTCAGTTCTGTGACGTGAATGCAAACATCACAAAGAAGTTCCCTGAGAATGCTTCTGTCTAGATTTTATATGAAGATATCCCGTGTCCAACGAAATCCTCAAAGATATCAAAATATCCACTTGCAGATTCTACAAAAAGAGTGCTTCAAAACTGCTCTGTCAAAATGAAGGTTCAACTCTGTTACTTGAGTACACACATCACAAGAAAGATTCTGAGAATGCTTCTGTCTAGTTTTTATGGGAAGATATTTCCTTTTTCATCATAGGCCTCAAAGCGCTGCAAATGTCCACTTCCAAATATTACAAAAAGAGTGTTTCAAACCTGCTGTATGAAGGGAAGTGTTCAACTCTATGAGTTGAATGCAAACATCACAGAGAAGTTTCTGAGAATGCTTCTGTCTTGATTTTATATGAAGATATTCCCGTTTCCAACGAAACCTTCAAAGCTATCCAAATATCCACTTGCAGATTCTACAAAAAGAGTGGTTCCAAAATGTTGTATCAAAAGAAAGGTTCAACTGCTGTTAGTTGAGGACACACATCGCAAATAAGTTTCCTGAGAATGCTTTCTGTCTAGTTTTTATTTGAAGATATTTCCTTTCTCACCACAGGCCTGAAAGCGCTTAAAACGTCCGCTTGCAGATACTACAGAAAGAGTGTTTCAAACCTGCTCTATGAAAGGGAATGTTCAGTCCTGTGACTTGAAGGCAAACATCACAAAGAAGTTCCTGAGAATGCTTCTCCCTACTTTTTATATGTAATCCCGTTTCCAAAGAATTCCTCAAAGCTATCCAAATATCCACTTTCGGATTCCACAAAAAGAGTGTTTCAAAACTACTCTGTAAAAAGAAAGGTTCATCTCTGTTAGTTGAATACACACATCACAAACAAGTTTCTGAGAATGCTTCTGTCTAGTTTTTATGGGAAGATATTTCCTTTTTCATCATAGGCCTCAAAGCGCTGCAAATGTCCACTTCCAAATATTACAAAAAGAGTGTTTCAAACCTGCTGTATGAAGGGAAGTGTTCAACTCTATGAGTTGAATGCAAACATCACAGAGAAGCTTCTGAGAATGCTTCTGTCTTGATTTTATATGAAGATATTCCCGTTTCCAACGAAACCTTCAAAGCTATCCAAATATCCACTTGCAGATTCTACAAAAAGAGTGGTTCCAAAATGTTGTATCAAAAGCAAAGGTTCAACTCTGTTAGTTGAGGACACACATCGCAAATAAGTTTCTGAGAATGCTTCTGTCTAGTTTTTATTTGAAGATATTTCCTTTCTCACCATAGGCCTGAAAGCGTTTGAAATGTCCGTTTGCAGATACTACAGAAAGAGTGTTTCAAACATGCTCTATGAAAGGGAATGTTCAGTTCTGTGACGTGAATGCAAACATCACAAAGAAGTTCCTGAGAATGCTTCTCTCTAGATTTTATATGTAATCCCGTTTCCAACGAAATCCTCAAAGCTATCCAAATATCCACTTTCAGATTCCACAAAAAGAGTGTTTCAAAACTGCTCTGTAAAAAGAAAGGTTCATCTCTGTTAGTTGAATACACACATCACAAACAAGTTTCTGAGAATGCTTCTGTCTAGTTTTTATGGAAAGATATTTCCTTTTTCATCATAGGCCTCAAAGCGCTGCAAATGTCCACTTCCAGGTAGTGCAGAAAGAGTGTCTGAAACCTGGTATATAACAGGGAAGATTCTACTCTGTGACTTGAATGAAAACATCACAAAGCAGTTTCTGAGAATGCTTCCGTCTAGATTTTATATGAAGATATTCCCGTTTCCAACGAAACCTTCAAAGCTATCCGAATATCCACCTGCAGATTCTACAAAAAGAGTGTTTCCAAAATGCCGTATCAAAACAAAGGTTCAACTCTGTTAGTTGAGAACACACATGGCAAATAAGTTTCTGAGAATGCTTCTGTCTAGTTTTTACTTGAAGATATTTCCTTTGTCACCATAGGCCTGAAAGCGCTTGAAACGTCAGCTTGCAGATACTACAGAAAGAGTGTTTCAAACCTGCTCTATGAAAGGGAATGTTCAGTCCTGTGACTAGAAGGCAAACATCACAAAGAAGTTCCTGAGAATGCTTCTCTCTAGGTTTTATATGTAATCCCGTTTCCAACGAAATCCTCAAAGCTATCCAAATATCCACTTTCAGATTCCACAAAAAGAGTGTTTCAAAACTGCTCTGTAAAAAGAAAGGTTCATCTCTGTTAGTTGAATACACACATCACAAACAAGTTTCTGAGAATGCTTCTGTCTAGTTTTTATGGGAAGATATTACCTTTTTCATCATAGGCCTCAAAGCGCTGCAAATGTCCACTTCCAAATATTACAAAAAGAGTGTTTCAAACCTGCTGTATGAAGGGAAGTGTTCAACTCTATGAGTTGAATGCAAACATCACAGAGAAGTTTCTGAGAATGCTTCTGTCTTGATTTCATATGAAGATATTCCCGTTTCCAACGAAACCTTCAAAGCTATCCAAATATCCACTTGCAGATTCTACAAAAAGAGTGTTTCCAAAATGTTGTATCAAAAGAAAGGTTCAACTCTGTTAGTTGAGGACACACATCGCAAATAAGTTTCTGAGAATGCTTCTGTCTAGTTTTTATTTGAAGATATTTCCTTTCTCACCACAGGCCTGAAAGCGCTTAAAACGTCCGCTTGCAGATACTACAGAAAGAGTGTTTCAAACATGCTCTATGAAAGGGAATGTTCAGTTCTGTGACTTGAATGCAAACATCACAAAGAAGTTCCTGAGAATGCTTCTCTCTAGATTTTATATGTAATCCCGTTTCCAACGAAATCCTCAAAGCTATCCAAATATCCACTTTCAGATTCCACAAAAAGAGTGTTTCAAAACTGCTCTGTAAAAAGAAAGGTTCATCTCTGTTAGTTTAATACACACATCACAAACAAGTTTCTGAGAATGCTTCTGTCTAGTTTTTATGGGAAGATATTTCCTTTTTCATCATAGGCCTCAAAGCGCTGCAAATGTCCACTTCCAGGTAGTGCAGAAAGAGTGTCTGAAACCTGGTATATAACAGGGAAGATTCTACTCTGTGACTTGAATGAAAACATCACAAAGCAGTTTCTGAGAATGCTTCCGTCAAGATTTTATATGAAGATATTCCCGTTTCCAACGAAACCTTCAGAGCTATCCGAATATCCACCTGCAGATTCTACAAAAAGAGTGTTTCCAAAATGCCGTATCAAAACAAAGGTTCAACTCTGTTAGTTGAGAACACACATGGCAAATAAGTTTCTGAGAATGCTTCTGTCTAGTTTTTACTTGAAGATATTTCCTTTCTCACCATAGGCCTGAAAGCGCTTGAAACGTCAGCTTGCAGATACTACAGAAAGAGTGTTTCAAACCTGCTCTATGAAAGGGAATGTTCAGTCCTGTGACTTGAAGGCAAACATCACAAAGAAGTTCCTGAGAATGCTTCTCTCTAGGTTTTATATGTAATCCCGTTTCCAACGAAATCCTCAAAGCTATCCAAATATCCACTTTCAGATTCCACAAAAAGAGTGTTTCAAAACTGCTCTGTAAAAAGAAAGGTTCATCTCTGTTAGTTGAATACACACATCACAAACAAGTTTCTGAGAATGCTTCTGTCTAGTTTTTATGGGAAGATATTTCCTTTTTCAACGTAGGCCTCAAAGCGCTCCAAATGTCCACTTCCAGGTAGTGCAGAAAGAGTGTTTCAAACCTGCTCTATAAAAGGGAATATTCAACTCTGTGACTTGAATGCAAACATCACAAAGCACTTTCTGAGAATGCTTCCGTCTAGATTTTATATGAAGATATTCCCGTTTCCAAGGAAATCTTCCTAGCTATCTAAATATCAACTTGCAGATTCTACTAAAGGAATGTTTCCAAAATGCTGTATCCACACAAAGGTTCAACTCTGTTAATTGAGGACATACAGCACAAAGAAGTTTCTGAGAATGCTTCTGTCTAGTTTTTATTTGAAGATATTTCCTTTCTCACCATACGCCTGAAAGCGTTTGAAATGTCCGTTTGCAGATACTACAGAAAGAGTGTTTCAAACATGCTCTATGAAAGGGAATGTTCAGTTCTGTGACGTGAATGCAAACATCACAAAGAAGTTCCTGAGAATGCTTCTCTCTAGATTTTATATGTAATCCCGTTTCCAACGAAATCCTCAAAGCTATCCAAATATCCACTTTCAGATTCCACAAAAAGAGTGTTTCAAAACTGCTCTGTAAAAAGAAAGGTTCATCTCTGTTAGTTGAATACACACATCACAAACAAGTTTCTGAGAATGCTTCTGTCTAGTTTTTATGGGAAGATATTACCTTTTTCATCATAGGCCTCAAAGCGCTGCAAATGTCCACTTCCAAATATTACAAAAAGAGTGTTTCAAACCTGCTGTATGAAGGGAAGTGTTCAACTCTATGAGTTGAATGCAAACATCACAGAGAAGTTTCTGAGAATGCTTCTGTCTTGATTTTATATGAAGATATTCCCGTTTCCAACGAAACCTTCAAAGCTATTCAAATATCCACTTTCAGATTCCACAAAAAGAGTGTTTCAAAACTGCTCTGTAAAAAGAAAGGTTCATCTCTGTTAGTTGAATACACACATCACAAACAAGTTTCTGAGAATGCTTCTGTCTAGTTTTTATTTGAAGATATTTCCTTTCTCACCATAGGCCTGAAAGCGTTTGAAATGTCCGTTTGCAGATACTACAGAAAGAGTGTTTCAAACATGCTCTATGAAAGGGAATGTTCAGTTCTGTGACGTGAATGCAAACATCACAAAGAAGTTCCTGAGAATGCTTCTCCCTAGATTTTATAAGTAATCCCGTTTCCAACGAAATCCTCAAAGCTATCCAAATATCCACTTTCAGATTCCACAAAAAGAGTGTTTCAAAACTGCTCTGTAAAAAGAAAGATTCATCTCTGTTAGTTGAATACACACATCACAAACAAGTTTCTGAGAATGCTTCTGTCTAGTTTTTATGGGAAGATATTTCCTTTTTCAACATAGGCCTCAAAGCGCTCCAAACGTCCACTTCCAGGTAGTGCAGAAAGAGTGTCTCAAACCTGGTATATAAAAGGGAACATTCTACTCTGTGACTTGAATGAAAACATCACAAAGCAGTTTCTGAGAATGCTTCCGTCTAGATTTTATATGAAGATATTCCCGTTTCCAACGAAACCTTCAAAGCTATCCGAATATCCACCTGCAGATTCTACAAAAAGAGTGTTTCCAAAATGCCGTATCAAAACAAAGGTTCAACTCTGTTAGTTGAGAACACACATGGCAAATAAGTTTCTGAGAATGCTTCTGTCTAGTTTTTATTTGAAGATATTTCCTTTCTCACCATAGGCCTGAAAGCGTTTGAAATCTCCGTTTGCAGATACTACAGAAAGAGTGTTTCAAACATGCTCTATGAAAGGGAATGTTCAGTTCTGTGACGTGAATGCAAACATCACAAAGAAGTTCCTGAGAATGCTTCTCTCTAGGTTTTATATGTAATCCCGTTTCCAACGAAATCCTCAAAGCTATCCATATATCCACTTTCAGATTCCACAAAAAGAGTGTTTCAAAACTGCTCTGTAAAAAGAAAGGTTCATCTCTGTTAGTTGAATACACACATCACAAACAAGTTTCTGAGAATACTTCTGTCTGGTTTTTAGGAGAAGATATTTCCTTTTTCAACATAGGCCTCAAAGCGCTGCAAATGTCCACTTCCAAATATTAGAAAAAGAGTGTTTCAAACCTGCTGTATGAAGGGAAGTGTTCAACTCTATGAGTTGAATGCAAACATCACAGAGAAGTTTCTGAGAATGCTTCTGTCTTGATTTCATATGAAGATATTCCCGTTTCCAACGAAACCTTCAAAGCTATCCAAATATCCACTTGCAGATTCTACAAAAAGAGTGTTTCCAAAATGTTGTATCAAAAGAAAGGTTCAACTCTGTTAGTTGAGGACACACATCGCAAATACGTTTCTGAGAATGCTTCTGTCTAGTTTTTATTTGAAGATATTTCCTTTCTCACCACAGGCCTGAAAGCGCTTAAAACGTCCGCTTGCAGATACTACAGAAAGAGTGTTTCAAACCTGCTCTATGAAAGGGAATGTTCAGTTCTGTGACTTGAATGCAAACATCACAAAGAAGTTCCTGAGAATGCTTCTCTCTAGATTTTATATGTAATCCCGTTTCCAACGAAATCCTCAAAGCTATCCAAATATCCACTTTCAGATTCCACAAAAAGAGTGTTTCAAAACTGCTCTGTAAAAAGAATGGTTCATCTCTGTTAGTTGAATACACACATCACAAACAAGTTTCTGAGAATGCTTCTGTCTAGTTTTTATGGGAAGATATTTCCTTTTTCATCATAGGCCTCAAAGCGCTGCAAATGTCCACTTCCAGGTAGTGCAGAAAGAGTGTCTCAAACCTGGTATATAACAGGGAACATTCTACTCTGTGACTTGAATGAAAACATCACAAAGCAGTTTCTGAGAATGCTTCCGTCTAGATTTTATATGAAGATATTCCCGTTTCCAACGAAACCTTCAAAGCTATCCGAATATCCACCTGCAGATTCTACAAAAAGAGTGTTTCCAAAATGCCATATCAAAACAAAGGTTCAACTCTGTTAGTTGAGAACACACATCGCAAATAAGTTTCTGAGAATGCTTCTGTCTAGTTTTTATTTGAAGATATTTCCTTTCTCACCATAGGCCTGAAAGCGTTTGAAATGTCCGTTTGCAGATACTACAGAAAGAGTGTTTCAAACATGCTCTATGAAAGGGAATGTTCAGTTCTGTGACTTGAATGCAAACATCACAAAGAAGTTCCTGAGAATGCTTCTCCCTAGATTTTATATGTAATCCCGTTTCCAACGAAATCCTCAAAGCTATCCAAATATCCACTTTCAGATTCCACAAAAAGAGTGTTTCAAAACTGCTCTGTAAAAAGAAAGGTTCATCTCTGTTAGTTGAATACACACATCACAAACAAGTTTCTGAGAATGCTTCTGTCTAGTTTCTATGGGAAGATATTTCCTTTTTCAACATAGGCCTCAAAGCGCTCCAAATGTCCACTTCCAGGTAGTGCACAGAGTGTTTCAAACCTGCTCTATAAAAGGGAACATTCTACTCTGTGACTTGAATGAAGACATCACAAAGCAGTTTCTGAGAATGCTTCCGTCTAGATTTTATATGAAGATATTCCCGTTTCCAAGGAAATCTTCCTAGCTATCTAAATATCAACTTGCAGATTCTACTAAAGGAATGTTTCCAAAATGCTGTATCCACACAAAGGTTCAACTCTGTTAATTGAGGACATACAGCACAAAGAAGTTTCTGAGAATGCTTCTGTCTAGTTTTTATTTGAAGATATTTCCTTTCTTACCATAGGCCTGAAAGCCCTTGAAATGTCCGTTTGCAGATACTACAGAAAGAGTTTTTCAAACATGCTCTATGAAAGGGAATGTTCAGTTCTTTGACGTGAATGCAAACATCACAAAGAAGTTCCTGAGAATGCTTCTCTCTAGATTTTATATGTAATCCCGTTTCCAACGAAACCTTCAAAGCTATCCAAATATCCACTTGCAGATTCTACAAAAACAGTGTTTCCAAAATGTTGTATCAAAACAAAGGTTCAACTCTGTTAGTTGAGGACACACATCGCAAATAAGTTTCTGAGAATGCTTCTGTCTAGTTTTTATTTGAAGATATTTCCTTTCTTACCATAGGCCTGAAAGCGCTTGAAATGTCCGTTTGCAGATACTACAGAAAGAGTGTTTCAAACATGCTCTATGAAAGGGAATGTTCAGTTCTGTGACGTGAATGCAAACATCACAAAGAAGTTCCTGAGAATGTTTCTCTCTAGATTTTATATGTAATCCCGTTTCCAACGAAATCCTCAAAGCTATCCAAATATCCACTTTCAGATTCCACAAAAAGAGTGTTTCAAAACTGCTCTGTAAAAAGAAAGGTTCATCTCTGTTAGTTGAATACACACATCACAAACAAGTTTCTGAGAATGCTTCTGTCTAGTTTTTATGGGAAGATATTTCCATTTTCAACATAGCCCTCAAAGCACTCCAAATGTCCACTTCCAGGTAGTGCAGAAAGAGTGTTTCAAACCGGCTCCATAAAAGCGAATATTGTACTCTGTGACTTGAATGCAAACATCACAAAGCACTTTCTTAGAATGCTTCCGTCTAGATTTTATATGAAGATATTCCCGTTTCCAACGAAACCTTCAAAGCTATCCGAATATCCACCTGCAGATTCTACAAAAAGAGTGTGTCCAAAATGCCGTATCAAAACAAATGTTCAACTCTGTTAGTTGAGAACACACATGGCAAATAAGTTTCTGAGAATGCTTCTGTCTAGTTTTTACTTGAAGATATTTCCTTTCTCACCATAGGCCTGAAAGCGCTTGAAACGTCAGCTTGCAGATACTACAGAAAGAGTGTTTCAAACCTGCTCTATGAAAGGGAATGTTCAGTCCTGTGACTTGAAGGCAAACATCAAAAAGAAGTTCCTGAGAATGCTTCTCTCTAGGTTTTATATGTAATCCCGTTTCCAACGAAATCCTCAAAGCTATCCAAATATCCACTTTCAGATTCCACAAAAAGAGTGTTTCAAAACTGCTCTGTAAAAAGAAAGGTTCATCTCTGTTAGTTGAATACACACATCACAAACAAGTTTCTGAGAATGCTTCTGTCTAGTTTTTATGGGAAGATATTTCCTTTTTCATCATAGGCCTCAAAGCGCTCCAAATGTCCACTTCCATGTAGTGCAGAAAGAGTGTCTCAAACCTGGTATATAAAAGGGAACATTCTACTCTGTGACTTGAATGAAAACATTACAAAGCAGTTTCTGAGAATGCTTCCGTCTAGATTTTATATGAAGATATTCCCGATTCCAACGAAACCTTCAAAGCTATCCGAATATCCACCTGCAGATTCTACAAAAAGAGTGTTTCCAAAATGCCGTATCAAAACAAAGGTTCAACTCTGTTAGTTGAGAACACACATAGCAAATAAGTTTCTGAGAATGCTTCTGTCTAGTTTTTACTTGAAGATATTTCCTTTCTCACCATAGGCCTGAAAGCGCTTGAAACGTCAGCTTGCAGATACTACAGAAAGAGTGTTTCAAACCTGCTCTATGAAAGGGAATGTTCAGTTCTGTGACTTGAATGCAAACATCACAAAGAAGTTCCTGAGAATGCTTCTCCCTAGATTTTATATGTAATCCCGTTTCCAACGAAATCCGCAAAGCTATCCAAATATCCACTTTCAGATTCCACAAAAAGAGTGTTTCAAAACTACTCTGTAAAAAGAAAGGTTCATCTCTGTTAGTTGAATACACACATCAGAAACAAGTTTACTGAGAATGCTTCTGTCTAGTTTTTATGGGAAGATATTTCCTTTTTCAACATAGGCCTCAAAGCGCTCCAAATGTCCACTTCCAGGTAGTGCAGAAAGAGTGTTTCAAACCTGCTCTATAAAAGGGAATATTCAAGTCTGTGACTTGAATGCAAACATCACAAAGCACTTTCTGAGAATGCTTCCGTCTAGATTTTATATGAAGATATTCCCGTTTCCAAGGAAATCTTCCTAGCTATCTAAATATCAACTTGCAGATTCTACTAAAGGAATGTTTCCAAAATGCTGTATCCACACAAAGGTTCAACTCTGTTAATTGAGGACATACAGCACAAAGAAGTGTCTGAGAATGCTTCTGTGTAGATTTTATATAAAGATATCCCGTTTCCAAAGAAATCCTCAAAGGTATCCAAATATCTACTTCCAGATTCTACAAAAAGACTGTTTCAAAACGGCTCTGTCAAAAGTAAGGTTCAACTCTGTCACATGAGTAAACACATCACAAGGAAGTTTCTGAGAATGCTTCTGTCTGGTTTTTAGGAGAAGATATTTCCTTTTTCAACATAGGCCTCAAAGCGCTGCAAATGTCCACTTCCAAATATTTCAAAAAGAGTGTTTCAAACCTGCTCTATGAAGGGAAGTGTTCACCTCTATGAGTTGAATGCAAACATCACAGAGAAGTTTCTGAGAATGCTTCTGTCTTGATTTTATATGAAGATATTCCCGTTTCCAAAGAAACCTTCAAAGCTATCCAAGTATTCACCTGCAGATTCTCCCAAAAGAGTGTTTGCAAAATGTTGTATCAAAACAAAGGTCCTCTGTTAGTTGAGAACACACATCGCAAATAAGTTTCTGAGAATGCTTCTGTCTAGTTTTTATTTGAAGATATTTCCTTTTTCACCACAGGCCTGAAAGCGCTTGAAACGTCCACTTGCAGATACTACAGAAAGAGTGTTTCAAACCTGCTCTATGAAAGGGAATGTTCAGTTCTGTGACTTGAATGCAAACATCAGAAAGAAGTTCCTGAGAATGCTTCTCCCTAGATTTTATATGTAATCCCGTTTCCAACGAAATCCTCAAAGCTATCCAAATATCCACTTTCAGATTCCACAAAAAGAGTGTTTCAAAACTGCTCTGTAAAAAGAAAGGTTCATCTCTGTTAGTTGAATACACACATCACAAACAAGTTTCTGAGAATGCTTCTGTCTAGTTTTTATGGGAAGATATTTCCTTTTTCAACATAGGCCTCAAAGCGCTGCAAATGTCCACTTCCAAATATTACAAAAAGAGTGTTTCAAACCTGCTGTATGAAGGGAAGTGTTCAACTCTATGAGTTGAATGCAAACATCACAGAGAAGTTTCTGAGAATGCTTCTGTGTTGATTTTATATGAAGATATTCCCGTTTCCAACGAAACCTTCAAAGCTATCCAAATATCCACCTGCACATCCTACAAAAAGAGTGTTTCCAAAATGCTGTATCAAAACAAAGGTTCAACTCTGTTAGTTGAGAACACACATCGCAAATAAGTTTCTGAGAATGCTTCTGTCTAATTTTTATTTGAAGATATTTCCTTTTTCACCACAGGCCTTAAAGCGCTTGAAACGTCCACTTGCAGATACTACAGAAAGAGTGTTTCAAACCTACTCTATGAAAGGGAATGTTCAGTTCTGTGACTTGAATGCAAACATCACACAGAAGTTCCTGAGAATGCTTCTCCCTAGATTTTATATGTAATCCCGTTTCCAATGAAATCCTCAAAGCTATCCAAATATCCACTTTCAGATTCCACAAAAAGAGTGTTTCCAAACTGCTCTGTAAAAAGAAAGGTTCATCTCTGATAGTTGAATAAACACATCACAAACAAGTTTCTGAGAATGCTTCTGTCTAGTTTTTATGGGAAGATATTACCTTTTTCATCATAGGCCTCAAAGCGCTGCAAATGTCCACTTCCAAATATTACAAAAAGAGTGTTTCAAACCTGCTGTATGAAGGGAAGTGTTCAACTCTATGAGTTGAATGCAAACATCACAGAGAAGTTTCTGAGAATGCTTCTGTCTTGATTTTATATGAAGATATTCCCGTTTCCAACGAAATCTTCAAAGCTATCCAAATATCCACTTGCAGATTCCACAAAAAGAGTGTTTCCAAAATGTTGTATCAAAAGAAAGGTTCAACTCTGTTAGTTGAGGACACACATCGCAAATAAGTTTCTGAGAATGCTTCTGTCTAGTTTTTATTTGAAGATATTTCCTTTCTCACCATAGGCCTGAAAGCGTTTGAAATGTCCGTTTGCAGATACTACAGAAAGAGTGTTTCAAACATGCTCTATGAAAGAGAATGTTCAGTTCTGTGACGTGAATGCAAACATCACAAAGAAGTTCCTGAGAATGCTTCTCTCTAGGTTTTATATGTAATCCCGTTTCCAACGAAATTCCTCAAAGCTATCCAAATATCCACTTTCAGATTCCACAAAAAGAGTGTTTCAAAACTGCTCTGTAAAAAGAAAGGTTCATCTCTGTTAGTTGAATACACACATCACAAACAAGTTTCTGAGAATGCTTCTGTCTAGTTTTTATGGGAAGATATTTCCTTTTTCAACATTGGCCTCAAAGCGCTCCAAACGTCCACTTCCGGGTAGTGCAGAAAGAGTGTCTCAAACCTGGTATATAACAGGGAACATTCAACTCTGTGACTTGAATGAAAACATCACAAAGCAGTTTCTGAGAATGCTTCCTTCTAGATTTTATATGAAGATATTCCCGTTTCCAAGGAAATCTTCCTAGGTATCTAAATATCAACTTGCAGATTCTACTAAAGGAATGTTTCCAAAATGCTGTATCCACACAAAGGTTCAACTCTGTTAATTGAGGACATACAGCACAAAGAAGTTTCTGAGAATGCTTCTGTCTAGTTTTTACTTGAAGATATTTCCTTTCTCACCATAGGCCTGAAAGCGCTTGAAACGTCAGCTTGCAGATACTACAGAAAGAGTGTTTCAAACCTGCTCTATGAAAGGGAATGTTCAGTTCTGTGACTTGAATGCAAACATTACAAAGAAGTTCCTGAGAATGCTTCTGTCTAGATTTTATATGAAGATATCCCGTGTCCAACGAAATCCTCAAAGGTATCAAAATATCCACTTGCAGATTCTACAAAAAGAGTGCTTCAAAACTGCTCTGTCAAAAGGAAGGTTCAACTCTGTTACTTGAGTACACACATCACAAGGAAGTTTCTGAGAATGCTTCCTGTCTGGTTTTTAGGAGAAGATATTTCCTTTTTCAACATAGGCCTCAAAGCGCTGCAAATGTCCACTTCCAAATATTAGAAAAAGAGTGTTTCAAACCTGCTGTATGAAGGGAAGTGTTCAACTCTATGAGTTGAATGCAAACATCACAGAGAAGTTTCTGAGAATGCTTCTGTCTTGATTTTATATGAAGATATTCCCGTTTCCAACGAAACCTTCAAAGCTATCCAAATATCCACTTGCAGATTCTACAAAAAGAGTGTTTCCAAAATGTTGTATCCAAACAAAGCTTCAACTCTTTTAGTTGAGAACACACATCGCAAATAAGTTTCTGAGAATGCCTCTGTCTAGTTTTTATTTGAAGATATTTCCTTTTTCACCACAGGCCTGAAAGCGCTTGAAACGTCTGCTTGCAGATACTACAGAAAGAGTGTTTCAAACCTGCTCTATGAAAGGGAATGTTCAGTTCTGTGACTTGAATGCAAACATCACAAAGAAGTTCCTGAGAATGCTTCTCCCTAGATTTTATATGTAATCCCGTTTCCAACGAAATCCGCAAAGCTATCCAAATATCCACTTTCAGATTCCACAAAAAGAGTGTTTCAAAACTGCTCTGTAAAAAGAAAGGTTCATCTCTGTTAGTTGAATACACACATCACAAACAAGTTTCTGAGAATGCTTCTGTCTAGTTTTTATGGGAAGATATTACCTTTTTCATCATAGGCCTCAAAGCGCTGCAAATGTCCACTTCCAAATATTACAAAAAGAGTGTTTCAAACCTGCTGTATGAAGGGAAGTGTTCAACTCTATGAGTTGAATGCAAACATCACAGAGAAGTTTCTGAGAATGCTTCTGTCTTATTTTTATATGAAGATATTCCCGTTTCCAACGAAACCTTCAAAGCTATCCAAATATCCACTTGCAGATTCTACAAAAAGAGTGTTTCCAAAATGTTGTCTCAAAAGAAAGGTTCAACTCTGTTAGTTGAGGACACACATCGCAAATAAGTTTCTGAGAATGCTTCAGTCTAGTTTTTATTTGAAGATATTTCCTTTCTCACCATAGGCCTGAAAGCGTTTGAAATGTCCGTTTGCAGATACTACAGAAAGAGTGTTTCAAACATGCTCTATGAAAGGGAATGTTCAGTTCTGTGACGTGAATGCAAACATCACGAAGAAGTTCCTGAGAATGCTTCTCTCTAGATTTTATATGTAATCCCGTTTCCAACGAAATCCTCAAAGCTATCCAAATATCCACTTTCAGATTCCACAAAAAGAGTGTTTCAAAACTGCTCTGTAAAAAGAAAGGTTCATCTCTGTTAGTTGAATACACACATCACAAACAAGTTTCTGAGAATGCTTCTGTCTAGTTTTTATGGGAAGATATTTCCTTTTTTATCATAGGCCTCAAAGCGCTCCAAATGTCCACTTCCAGATAGTGCAGAAAGAGTGTCTCAAACCTGGTATATAAAAGGGAACATTCTACTCTGTGACTTCAATGAAAACATCACAAAGCAGTTTCTGAGAATGCTTCCGTCTAGATTTTATATGAAGATATTCCCGTTTCCAAGGAAATCTTCCTAGCTATCTAAATATCAACTTGCAGATTCTACTAAAGGAATTTTTCCAAAATGCTGTATCCACACAAAGGTTCAACTCTGTTAATTAAGGACATACAGCACAAAGAAGTTTCTGAGAATGCTTCTGTCTAGATTTTATATGAAGATATCCCGTGTCTAACGAAATCCTCAAAGGTATCAAAATATCCACTTGCAGATTCTACAAAAAGAGTGCTTCACAACTGCTCTGTCAAAATGAAGATCCACCTCTGTTACTTGAGTACACACATCACAAGAAATATTCTGAGAATGCTTCTGTCTGGTTTTTAGGAGAAGATATCTCCTTTTTCACCATAGGCTTCAAAGCGCAGCCAATGTCCACTTCCAAATATTACAAAAAGAGAATTTCAAACCAGCTCTATGAAAGGAAGTGTTCAACTCTATGAGTTGAATGCAAACATCACAGAGAAGTTTCTGAGAATGCTTCTGTCTAGTTTTTATGGGAAGATATTTCCTTTTTCAACATAGGCCTCAAAGCGCTCCAAACGTCCACTTCCAGGTAGTGCAGAAAGAGTGTCTCAAACCTGGTATATAACAGGGAACATTCTACTCTGTGACTTGAATGAAAACATCACAAAGCAGTTTCTGAGAATGCTTCCGTCTAGATTTTATATGAAGATATTCCCGTTTCCAACGAAACCTTCAAAGCTATCCGAATATCCACCTGCAGATTCTACAAAAAGAGTGTTTCCAAAATGCCGTATCAAAACAAAGGTTCAACTCTGTTAGTTGAGAACACACATGGCAAATAAGTTTCTGAGAATGCTTCTGTCTAGTTTTTATTTGAAGATATTTCCTTTCTCACCATAGGCCTGAAAGCGTTTGAAACGTCAGCTTGCAGATACTACAGAAAGAGTGTTTCAAACCTGCTCTATGAAAGGGAATGTTCAGTCTTGTGACTTGAAGGCAAACATCACAAAGAAGTTCCTGAGAATGCTTCTCTCTAGGTTTTATATGTAATCCCGTTTCCAACGAAATCCTCAAAGCTATCCAAATATCCACTTTCAGATTCCACAAAAAGAGTGTTTCAAAACTGCTCTGTAAAAAGAAAGGTTCATCTCTGTTAGTTGAATACACACATCACAAACAAGTTTCTGAGAATGCTTCTGTCCAGTTTTTATGGGAACATATTTCCTTTTTCAACATAGGCCTCAAAGCGCTCCAAATGTCCACTTCCAGGTAGTGCAGAAAGAGTGTTTCAAACCTGCTCTATAAAAGGGAATATTCAACTCTGTGACTTGAATGCAAACATCACAAAGCACTTTCTGAGAATGCTTCCGTCTAGATTTTATATGAAGATATTCCCGTTTCCAAGGAAATCTTCCTAGCTATCTAAATATCAACTTGCAGATTCTACTAAAGGAATGTTTCCAAAATGCTGTATCCACACAAAGGTTCAACTCTGTTAATTGAGGACATACAGCACAAAGAAGTTTCTGAGAATGCTTCTGTCTAGTTTTTATTTGAAGATATTTCCTTTTTCACCACAGGCCTGAAAGCGCTTGAAACGTCCGCTTGCAGATACTACAGAAAGAGAGTTTCAAAGCTGCTCTATGAAAGGGAATGTTCAGTTCTGTGACTTGAATGCAAACATCACAAAGAAGATCCTGAGAATGCTTCTGTCTAGATTTTATATGAAGATATCCCGTGTCTAACGAAATCCTCAAAGGTATCAAAATATCCACTTGCAGATTCTACAAAAAGAGTGCTTCAAAACTGCTCTGTCAAAATGAAGGTTCAACTCTGTTACTTGAGTACACACATCACAAGAAAGATTCTGAGAATGCTTCCGTCTAGTTTTTATGGGAAGATATTTCCTTTTTCATCATAGGCCTCAAAGCGCTCCAAATGTCCACTTCCAGATAGTGCAGAAAGAGTGTCTCAAACCTGGTATATAAAAGGGAACATTCTACTCTGTGACTTCAATGAAAACATCACAAACCAGTTTCTGAGAATGCTTCCGTCTAGATTTTATATGAAGATATTCCCGTTTCCAACGAAACCTTCAAAGCTATCCGAATATCCACCTGCAGATTCTACAAAAAGAGTGTTTCCAAAATGCCGTTTCAAAATAAAGGTTCAACTCTGTTAGTTGAGAACACACATGGCAAATAAGTTTCTGAGAATGCTTCTGTCTAGTTTTTACTTGAAGATATTTCCTTTCTCACCATAGGCCTGAAAGCTCTTGAAACGTCCGCTTGCAGATACTACAGAAAGAGTGTTTCAAACATGCTCTATGAAAGGGAATGTTCAGTTCTGTGACTTGAATGCAAACATCACAAAGAAGTTCCTGAGAATGCTTCCGTCTAGATTTTATATGAAGATATCCCGTTTCCAAAGAAATCCTCAAAGGTATCCAAATATCTACTTCCAGATTCTACAACAAGACTGTTTCAAAACGGCTCTGTCAAAAGTAAGGTTCAACTCTGTTACTTGAGTACACACATCACAAGGAAGTTTCTGAGAATGCTTCTGTCTGGTTTTTAGGAGAAGATATTTCCTTTTTCAACATAGGCCTCAAAGCGCTGCAAATGTCCACTTCAAAATATTACAAAAAGAGTGTTTCAAACCTGCTCTATGAAGGGAAGTGTTCAACTCTATGAGTTGAATGCAAACATCACAGAGAAGTTTCTGAGAATGCTTCTGTCTTGATTTTATATGAAGATATTCCCGTTTCCAACGAAACCTTCAAAGCTATCCAAATATCCACTTGCAGATTCTACAACAAGAGTGTTTCCAAAATGTTGTATCAAAACAAAGGTTCAACTCTGTTAGTTGAGGACACACATCGCAAATAAGTTTCTGAGAATGCTTCTGTCTAGTTTTTATTTGAAGATATTTCCTTTCTTACCATAGGCCTGAAAGCGCTTGAAATGTCCGTTTGCAGATACTACAGAAAGAGTGTTTCAAACATGCTCTATGAAAGGGAATGTTCAGTTCTGTGACTTGAATGCAAACATCACAAAAAAGTTCCTGAGAATGCTTCTCTCTAGATTTTATATGTAATCCCGTTTCCAACGAAATCCTCAAAGCTATCCAAATATCCACTCTCAGATTCCACAAAAAGAGTGTTTCAAAACTGCTCTGTAAAAAGAAAGGTTCATCTCTGTTAGTTGAATACACACATCACAAACAAGTTTCCTGAGAATGCTTCTGTCTAGTTTTTATGGGAAGATATTACCTTTTTCATCATAGGCCTCAAAGCGCTGCAAATGTCCACTTCCAAATATTACAAAAAGAGTGTTTCAAACCTGCTGTATGAAGGGAAGTGTTCAACTCTATGAGTTGAATGCAAGCATCACAGAGAAGTTTCTGAGAATGCTTCTGTCTTGATTTTATATGAAGATATTCCCGTTTCCAACGAAACCTTCAAAGCTATCCAAATATCCACTTGCAGATTCTACAAAAAGAGTGTTTCCAAAATGTTGTATCAAAAGAAAGGTTCAACTCTGTTAGTTGAGGACACACATCGCAAATAAGTTTCTGAGAATGCTTCTGTCTAGTTTTTATTTGAAGATATTTCCTTTCTCACCACAGGCCTGAAAGCGCTTAAAACGTCCGCTTGCAGATACTACAGAAAGAGTGTTTCAAACCTGCTCTATGAAAGGGAATGTTCAGTTCTGTGACTTGAATGCAAACATCACAAAGAAGTTCCTGAGAATGCTTCTGTCTAGATTTTATATGAAGATATCCCGTTTCCAAAGAAATCCTCAAAGGTGTCCAAATATCTACTTCCAGATTCTACAAAAAGACTGTTTCAAAACGGCTCTGTCAAAAGTAAGGTTCAACTCTGTTACTTGAGTACACACATCACAAGGAAGTTTCTGAGAATGCTTCTGTCTGGTTTTTAGGAGAAGATATTTCCTTTTTCAACATAGGCCTCAAAGCGCTGCAAATGTCCACTTCCAAATATTAGAAAAAGAGTGTTTCAAACCTGCTGTATGAAGGGAAGTGTTCAACTCTATGAGTTGAATGCACACATCACAGAGAAGTTTCTGAGAATGCTTCTGTCTTGATTTCATATGAAGATATTCCCGTTTCCAACGAAACCTTCAAAGCTATCCAAATATCCACTTGCAGATTCTACAAAAAGAGTGTTTCCAAAATGTTGTATCAAAAGAAAGGTTCAACTCTGTTAGTTGAGGACACACATCGCAAATAAGTTTCTGAGAATGCTTCTGTCTAGTTTTTATTTGAAGATATTTCCTTTCTCACCACAGGCCTGAAAGCGCTTAAAACGTCCGCTTGCAGATACTACAGAAAGAGTGTTTCAAACCTGCTCTATGAAAGGGAATGTTCAGTTCTGTGACTTGAATGCAAACATCACAAAGAAGTTCCTGAGAATGCTTCTCTCTAGGTTTTATATGTAATCCCGTTTCCAACGAAATCCTCAAAGCTATCCAAATATCCACTTTCAGATTCCACAAAAAGAGTGTTTCAAAACTGCTCTGTAAAAAGAAAGGTTCATGCTCTGTTAGTTGAATACACACATCACAAACAAGTTTCTGAGAATGCTTCTGTCTAGTTTTTATGGGAAGATATTACCTTTTTCATCATAGGCCTCAAAGCGCTGCAAATGTCCACTTCCAAATATTACAAAAAGAGTGTTTCAAACCTGCTGTATGAAGGGAAGTGTTCAACTCTATGAGTTGAATGCAAACATCACAGAGAAGTTTCTGAGAATGCTTCTGTCTTGATTTCATATGAAGATATTCCCGTTTCCAACGAAACCTTCAAAGCTATCCAAATATCCACTTGCAGATTCTACAAAAAGAGTGTTTCCAAAATGTTGTATCAAAAGAAAGGTTCAACTCTGTTAGTTGAGGACACACATCGCAAATAAGTTTCTGAGAATGCTTCTGTCTAGTTTTTATTTGAAGATATTTCCTTTCTTACCATAGGCCTGAAAGCGCTTGAAATGTCCGTTTGCAGATACTACAGAAAGAGTGTTTCAAACATGCTCTATGAAAGGGAATGTTCAGATCTGTGACGTGAATGCAAACATCACAAAGAAGTTCCTGAGAATGCTTCTCTCTAGATTTTATATGTAATCCCGTTTCCAACGAAATCCTCAAAGCTATCCAAATATCCACTTTCAGATTCCACAAAAAGAGTGTTTCAAAACTGCTCTGTAAAAAGAAAGGTTCATCTCTGTTAGTTGAATACACACATCACAAACAAGTTTCTGAGAATGCTTCTGTCCAGTTTTTATGGGAAGATATTTCCTTTTTCATCATAGGCCTCAAAGCGCTCCAAATGTCCACTTCCAGATAGTGCAGAAAGAGTGTCTCAAACCTGGTATATAAAAGGGAACATTCTACTCTGTGACTTCAATGAAAACATCACAAAGCAGTTTCTGAGAATGCTTCCGTCTAGATTTTATATGAAGATATTCCCGTTTCCAACGAAACCTTCAAAGCTATCCGAATATCCACCTGCAGATTCTACAAAAAGAGTGTTTCCAAAATTCCGTATCAAAACAAAGGTTCAACTCTGTTAGTTGAGAACACACATGGCAAATAAGTTTCTGAGAATGCTTCTGTCTAAGTTTTACTTGAAGATATTTCCTTTCTCACCATAGGGCTGAAAGCGCTTGAAACGTCAGCTTGCAGATACTACAGAAAGAGTGTTTCAAACCTGCTCTATGAAAGGGAATGTTCAGTTCTGTGACTTGAATGCAAACATCACAAAGAAGTTCCTGAGAATGCTTCTCTCTAGGTTTTATATGTAATCCCGTTTCCAACGAAATCCTCAAAGCTATCCAAATATCCACTTTCAGATTCCACAAAAAGAGTGTTTCAAAACTGCTCTGTAAAAAGAAAGGTTCATCTCTGTTAGTTGAATACACACATCACAAACAAGTTTCTGAGAATGCTTCTGTCTAGTTTTTATGGGAAGATATTTCCTTTTTCAACATAGGCCTCAAAGCCCTCCAAACGTCCACTTCCAGGTAGTGCAGAAAGAGTGTCTCAAACCTGGTATATAACAGGGAACATTCTACTCTGTGACTTGAATGAAAACATCACAAAGCAGTTTCTGAGAATGCTTCCGTCTAGATTTTATATGAAGATATTCCCGTTTCCAAGGAAATCTTCCTAGCTATCTAAATATCAACTTGCAGATTCTACTAAAGGAATGTTTCCAAAATGCTGTATCCACACAAAGGTTCAACTCTGTTAATTGAGGACATACAGCACAAAGAAGTTTCTGAGAATGCTTCTGTCTAGTTTTTATTTGAAGAGATTTCCTTTTTCACCACAGGCCTGAAAGCGCTTGAAACGTCCGCTTGCAGATACCACAGAAAGAGTGTTTCAAACCTGCTCTATGAAAGGGAATGTTCAGTTCTGTGACTTGAATGCAAACATCACAAAGAAGTTCCTGAGAATGCTTCTCTCTAGATTTTATATGTAATCCCGTTTTCAACGAAATCCTCAAAGCTATCCAAATATCCACTTTCAGATTCCACAAAAAGAGTGTTTCAAAACTGCTCTGTAAAAAGAAAGGTTCATCTCTGTTAGTTGAATACACACATCACAAACAAGTTTCTGAGAATGCTTCTGTCTAGTTTTTATGGGAAGATATTTCCTTTTTCATCATAGGCCTCAAAGCGCTCCAAATGTCCACTTCCAGATAGCGCAGAAAGAGTGTCTCAAACGTGGTATATAAAAGGGAACATTCTACTCTGTGACTTCAATGGAAACATCACAAAGCAGTTTCTGAGAATGCTTCCGTCTAGATTTTATATGAAGATATTCCCGTTTCCAACGAAACCTTCAAAGCTATCCGAATATCCACCTGCAGATTCTACAAAAAGAGTGTTTCCAAAATGCCGTATCAAAACAAAGGTTCAACTCTGTTAGTTGAGAACACACATGGCAAATAAGTTTCTGAGAATGCTTCTGTCTAGTTTTTACTTGAAGATATTTCCTTTCTCTCCATAGGCCTGAAAGCGCTTGAAACGTCCGCTTGCAGATACTACAGAAAGAGTGTTTCAAACATGCTCTATGACAGGGAATGTTCAGTTCTGTGACTTGAATGCAAACATCACAAAGAAGTTCCTGAGAATGCTTCTCTCTAGATTTTATATGTAATCCCGTTTCCAACGAAATCCTCAAAGCTATCCAAATATCCACTTTCAGATTCCACAAAAAGAGTGTTTCAAAACTGCTCTGTAAAAAGAAAGGTTCATCTCTGTTAGTTGAATACACACATCACAAACAAGTTTCTGAGAATGCTTCTGTCTGGTTTTTAGGAGAAGATATTTCCTTTTTCAACATAGGCCTCAAAGCGCTGCAAATGTCCACTTCCAAATATTACAAAAAGAGTGTTTCAAACCTGCTCTATGAAGGGAAGTGTTCAACTCTATGAGTTGAATGCAAACATCACAGAGAAGTTTCTGAGAATGCTTCTGTCTTGATTTTATATGAAGATATTCCCGTTTCCAACGAAACCTTCAAAGCTATCCAAATATCCACTTGCAGATTCTACAAAAAGAGTGTTTCCAAAATGTTGTATCAAAACAAAGGTTCAACTCTGTTAGTTGAGGACACACATCGCAAATAAGTTTCTGAGAATGCTTCTGTCTAGTTTTTACTTGAAGATATTTCCTTTCTTACCATAGGCCTGAAAGCGCTTGAAATGTCCGTTTGCAGATACTACAGAAAGAGTGTTTCAAACATGCTCTATGAAAGGGAATGTTCAGTTCTGTGACGTGAATGCAAACATCACAAAGAAGTTCCTGAGAATGCTTCTCTCTAGATTTTATATGTAATCCCGTTTCCAACGAAATCCTCAAAGCTATCCAAATATCCACTTTCAGATTCCACAAAAAGAGTGTTTCAAAACTGCTCTGTAAAAAGAAAGGTTCATCTCTGTTAGTTGAATACACACATCACAAACAAGTTTCTGAGAATGCTTCTGTCTAGTTTTTATGGGAAGATATTTCCTTTTTCAACATAGGCCTCAAAGCGCTCCAAATGTCCACTTCCAGGTAGTGCAGAAAGAGTGTTTCAAACCTGCTCTATAAAAGGGAATATTCAACTCTGTGACTTGAATGCAAACATCACAAAGCACTTTCTGAGAATGCTTCCGTCTAGATTTTATATGAAGATATTCCCGTTTCCAACGAAACCTTCAAAGCTATCCGAATATCCACCTGCAGATTCTACAAAAAGAGTGTTTCCAAAATGCCGTATCCAAACAAAGGTTCAACTCTGTTAGTTGAGAACACACATGGCAAATAAGTTTCTGAGAATGCTTCTGTCTAGTTTTTACTTGAAGATATTTCCTTTCTCACCATAGGCCTGAAAGTGCTTGAAACGTCCGCTTGCAGATACTACAGAAAGAGTGTTTCAAACCTGCTCTATGAAAGGGAATGTTCAGTTCTGTGACTTGAATGCAAACATCACAAAGAAGTTCCTGAGAATGCTTCTCTCTAGGTTTTATATGTAATCCCGTTTCCAACGAAATCCTCAAAGCTATCCAAATATCCACTTTCAGATTCCACAAAAAGAGTGTTTCAAAACTGCTCTGTAAAAAGAAAGGTTCATCTCTGTTAGTTGAATACACACATCACAAACAAGTTTCTGAGAATGCTTCTGTCTAGTTTTTATGGGAAGATATTTCCTTTTTCAACATAGGCCTCAAAGCGCTCCAAACGTCCACTTCCAGGTAGTGCAGAAAGAGTGTCTCAAACCTGGTATATAACAGGCAACATTCTACTCTGTGACTTGAATGAAAACATCACAAAGCAGTTTCTGAGAATGCTTTCCGTCTAGATTTTATATGAAGATATTGCCGTTTCCAACGAAACCTTCAAAGCTATCCGAATATCCACCTGCAGATTCTACAAAAAGAGTGTTTCCAAAATGCCGTATCAAAACAAAGGTTCAACTCTGTTAGTTGAGAACACACATGGCAAATAAGTTTCTGAGAATGTTTCTGTCTAGTTTTTACTTGAAGATATTTCCTTTCTCACCATAGGCCTGAAAGCGCTTGAAACGTCAGCTTGCAGATACTACAGAAAGAGTGTTTCAAACATGCTCTATGAAAGGGAATGTTCAGTTCTGTGACTTGAATGCAAACATCACAAAGAAGTTCCTGAGAATGCTTCTCTCTAGATTTTATATGTAATCCCGTTTCCAACGAAATCCTCAAAGCTATCCAAATATCCACTTTCAGATTCCACAAAAAGAGTGTTTCAAAACTGCTCTGTAAAAAGAAAGGTTCATCTCTGTTAGTTGAATACACACATCACAAACAAGTTTCTGAGAATGCTTCTGTCTAGTTTTTATGGGAAGATATTTCCTTTATCATCATAGGCCTCAAAGCGCTCCAAATGTCCACTTCCAGATAGTGCATAAAGAGTGTCTCAAACCTGGTGTATAAAAGCGAAGATTCTACTCTGTGACTTGAATGAAAACATCACAAAGCAGTTTCTGAGAATGCTTCCGTCTAGATTTTATATGAAGATATTCCCGTTTCCAACGAAACCTTCAAAGCTATCCGAATATCCACCTGCAGATTCTACAAAAAGAGTGTTTCCAAAATGCCGTATCAAAACAAAGGTTCAACTCTGTTAGTTGAGAACACACATGGCAAATAAGTTTCTCAGAATGCTTGTCTAGTTTTTACTTGAAGATATTTCCTTTCTCACCATAGGCCTGAAAGCGCTTGAAACGTCCGCTTGCAGATACTACAGAAGGAGTGTTTCAAACATGCTCTATGAAAGGGAATGTTCAGTTCTGTGACTTGAATGCAAACATCACAAAGAAGTTCCTGAGAATGCTTCTCTCTAGATTTTATATGTAATCCCGTTTCCAAAGAAATCCTCAAAGCTATCCAAATATCCACTTTCAGATTCCACAAAAAGAGTGTTTCAAAACTGCTCTGTAAAAAGAAAGGTTCATCTCTGTTAGTTGAATACACACATCACAAACAAGTTTCTGAGAATGCTTCTGTCTAGTTTTTATGGGAAGATATTTCCTTTTTCAACATAGGCCTCAAAGCGCTCCAAATGTCCACTTCCAGGTAGTGCAGAAAGAGTGTTTCAAACCTGCTCTATAAAAGGGAATATTCAACTCTGTGACTTGAATGCAAACATCACAAAGCACTTTCTGAGAATGCTTCTGTCTTGATTTCATATGAAGATATTCCCGTTTCCAACGAAACCTTCAAAGTTATCCAAATATCCACTTGCAGATTCTACAAAAAGAGTGTTTCCAAAATGTTGTATCAAAAGAAAGGTTCAACTCTGTTAGTTGAGGACACACATCGCAAATAAGTTTCTGAGAATGCTTCTGTCTAGTTTTTATTTGAAGATATTTCCTTTCTCACCACAGGCCTGAAAGCGCTTAAAACGTCCGCTTGCAGATACTACAGAAAGAGTGTTTCAAACCTGCTCTATGAAAGGGAATGTTCAGTTCTGTGACTTGAATGCAAACATCACAAAGAAGTTCCTGAGAATGCTTCTCCCTAGATTTTATATGTAATCCCGTTTCCAACGAAATCCGCAAAGCAATCCAAATATCCACTTTCAGATTCCACAAAAAGAGTGTTTCAAAACTGCTCTGTAAAAAGAAAGGTTCATCTCTGTTAGTTGAATACACACATCACCAACAAGTTTCTGAGAATGCTTCTGTCTGGTTTTTAGGAGAAGATATTTCCTTTTTCAACATAGGCCTCAAAGCGCTGCAAATGTCCACTTCCAAATATTACAAAAAGAGTGTTTCAAACCTGCTGTATGAAGGGAAGTGTTCAACTCTATGAGTTGAATGCAAACATCACAGAGAAGTTTCTGAGAATGCTTCTGTCTTGATTTCATATGAAGATATTCCCGTTTCCAACGAAACTTTCAAAGCTATCCAAATATCCACTTGCAGATTCTACAAAAAGAGTGTTTCCAAAATGTTGTATCAAAAGAAAGGTTCAACTCTGTTAGTTGAGGACACACATCGCAAATAAGTTTCTGAGAATGCTTCTGTCTAGTTTTTATTTGAAGATATTTCCTTTCTCACCACAGGCCTGAAAGCGCTTAAAACGTCCGCTTGCAGATACTACAGAAAGAGTGTTTCAAACATGCTCTATGAAAGGGAATGTTCAGTTCTGTGACTTGAATGCAAACATCACAAAGAAGTTCCTGAGAATGCTTCTCTCTAGATTTTATATGTAATCCCGTTTCCAACGAAATCCTCAAAGATATCCAAATATCCACTTTCAGATTCCACAAAAAGAGTGTTTCAAAACTGTTCTGTAAAAAGAAAGGTTCATGTCTGTTAGTTGAATACACACATCACAAACAAATTTCTGAGAATGCTTCTGTCTAGTTTTTATGGGAAGATATTTCCTTTTTCAACATAGGCCTCAAAGCGCTCCAAATGTCCACTTCCAGGTAGTGCAGAAAGAGTGTTTCAAACCTGCTCTATAAAAGGGAATATTCAACTCTGTGACTTGAATGCAAACATCACAAAGCACTTTCTGAGAATGCTTCTGTCTTGATTTCATATGAAGATATTCCCGTTTCCAACGAAACCTTCAAAGCTATCCAAATATCCACTTGCAGATTCTACAAAAAGAGTGTTTCCAAAATGTTGTATCAAAAGAAAGGTTCAACTCTGTTAGTTGAGGACACACATCGCAAATAAGTTTCTGAGAATGCTTCTGTCTAGTTTTTATTTGAAGATATTTCCTTTCTCACAATAGGCCTGAAAGCGTTTGAAATGTCCGTTTGCAGATACTACAGAAAGAGTGTTTCACACATGCTCTATGAAAGGGAATGTTCAGTTCTGTGACTTGAATGCAAACATCACAAAGAAGTTCCTGAGAATTATTCTCTCTAGGTTTTATATGTAATCCCGTTTCCAACGAAATCCTCAAAGCTATCCAAATAACCACTTTCAGATTCCACAAAAAAAGTGTTTCAAAACTGCTCTGTAAAAAGAAAGATTCATCTCTGTTAGTTGAATACACACATCACAAACAAGTTTCTGAGAATGCTTCTTTCTAGTTTTTATGGGAAGATATTTCCTTTTTCAACATAGGCCTCAAAGCGCTCCAAATGTCCACTTCCAGGTAGTGCAGAAAGAGTGTTTCAAACCTGCTCTATAAAAGGGAATATTCAACTCTGTGACTTGAATGCAAACATCACAAAGCACTTTCTGAGAATGCTTCCGTCTAGATTTTATATGAAGATATTCCCGTTTCCAACGAAACCTTCAAAGCTATCCGAATATCCACCTGCAGATTCTACAAAAAGAGTGTTTCCAAAATGCCATATCAAAACAAAGGTTCAACTCTGTTAGTTGAGAACACACATCGCAAATAAGTTTCTGAGAATGCTTCTGTCTAGTTTTTACTTGAAGATATTTCCTTTCTCACCATAGGCCTGAAAGCGCTTGAAACGTCAGCTTGCAGATACTACAGAAAGAGTGTTTCAAACCTGCTCTATGAAAGGGAATGTTCAGTTCTGTGACTTGAATGAAAACATCACAAAGAAGTTCCTGAGAATGCTTCTGTCTAGATTTTATATGAAGATATCCCGTTTCCAAAGAAATCCTCAAAGGTATCCAAATATCTACTTCCAGATTCTACAAAAAGACTGTTTCAAAACGGCTCTGTCAAAAGTAAGGTTCAACTCTGTTACTTGAGTACACACATCACAAGAAAGTTTCTGAGAATGCTTCTGTCTGGTTTTTAGGAGAAGATATTTCCTTTTTCAACATAGGCCTCAAAGCGCTGCAAATGTCCACTTCCAAATATTACAAAAAGAGTGTTTCAAACCTGCTGTATGAAGGGAAGTGTTCAACTCTATGAGTTGAATGCAAACATCACAGAGAAGTTTCTGAGAATGCTTCTGTCTTGATTTTATATGAAGATATTCCCGTTTCCAACGAAACCTTCAAAGCTATCCAAATATCCACTTGCAGATTCTACAAAAAGAGTGTTTCCAAAATGTTGTATCAAAACAAAGGTTCAACTCTGTTAGTTGAGGACACACATCGCAAATAAGTTTCTGAGAATGCTTCTGTCTAGTTTTTATTTGAAGATATTTCCTTTTTCACCACAGGCCTGAAAGCGCTTCAAACGTCCGCTTGCAGATACTACAGAAAGAGTGTTTCAAACCTGCTCTATGAAAGGGAATGTTCAGTTCTGTGACTTGAATGCAAACATCACAAAGAAGTTCCTGAGAATGCTTCTCCCTAGATTTTATATGTAATCCCGTTTCCAACGAAATCCTCAAAGCAATCCAAATATCCACTTTCGGATTCCACAAAAAGAGTGTTTCAAAACTACTCTGTAAAAAGAAAGGTTCATCTCTGTTAGTTGAATACACACATCACAAACAAGTTTCTGAGAATGCTTCTGTCTAGTTTTTATGGGAAGATATTTCCTTTTTCAACATAGGCCTCAAAGCGCTCCAAAGGTCCACTTCCAGGTAGTGCACAGAGTGTTTCAAACCTGCTCTATGAAAGGAAGTGTTCAACTCTATGAGTTGAATGCAAACATCACAGAGAAGTTTCTGAGAATGCTTCTGTCTTGATTTTATATGAGGATATTCCCGTTTCCAACGAAACCTTCAAAGCTATCCAAATATCCACCTGCAGATCCTACAAAAAGTGTGTTTCCAAAATGCTGTATCAAAACAAAGGTTCAACTCTGTTAGTTGAGAACACACATCGCAAATTAGTTTCTGAGAATGCTTCTGTCTAGTTTTTATTTGAACATATTTCCTTTCTCACCATAGGCCTGAAAGCGTTTGAAATGTCCGTTTGCAGATACTACAGAAAGAGTGTTTCAAACATGCTCTATGAAAGGGAATGTTCAGTTCTGTGACGTGAATGCAAACATCACAAAGAAGTTCCTGAGAATGCTTCTCTCTAGATTTTATATGTAATCCCGTTTCCAACGAAATCCTCAAAGCTATCCAAATATCCACTTTCAGATTCCACAAAAAGAGTGTTTCAAAACTGCTCTGTAAAAAGAAAGGTTCATCTCTGTTAGTTGAATACACACATCACAAACAAGTTTCTGAGAATGCTTCTGTCTAGTTTTTATGGGAAGATATTTCCTTTTTCATCATAGGCCTCAAAGCGCTGCAAATGTCCACTTCCAGGTAGTGCAGAAAGAGTGTCTGAAACCTGGTATATAACAGGGAAGATTCTACTCTGTGACTTGAATGAAAACATCACAAAGCAGTTTCTGAGAATGCTTCTGTCTTGATTTTATATGAAGATATTCCCGTTTCCAAAGAAACCTTCAAAGCTATCCAAATATCCACTTGCAGATTCTACAAAAAGAGTGTTTCCAAAATGTTGTATCAAAAGAAAGGTTCAACTCTGTTAGTTGAGGAAACACATCGCAAACAAGTTTCTGAGAATGCTTCTGTCTAGTTTTTATTTGAAGATATTTCCTTTCTCACCATAGGCCTGAAAGCGTTTGAAATGTCCGTTTGCAGATACTACAGAAAGAGTGTTTCAAACATGCTCTATGAAAGGGAATGTTCAGTTCTGTGACTTGAATGCAAACATCACAAAGAAGTTCCTGAGAATGCTTCTCTCTAGGTTTTATATGTAATCCCGTTTCCAACGAAATCCTCAAAGCTATCCAAATATCCACTTTCAGATTCCACAAAAAGAGTGTTTCAAAACTGCACTGTAATAAGAAAGGTTCATCCCTGTTAGTTGAATACACACATCACAAACAAGTTTCTGAGAATGCTTCTGTCTAGTTTTTATGGGAAGATATTTCCTTTTTCAACATAGGCCTCAAAGCGCTCCAAACGTCCACTTCCAGGTAGTGCAGAAAGAGTGTCTCAAACCTGGTATATAACAGGGAACATTCTACTCTGTGACTTGAATGAAAACATCACAAAGCAGTTTCTGAGAATGCTTCCGTCTAGATTTTATATGAAGATATTCCCGTTTCCAACGAAACCTTCAAAGCTATCCGAATATCCACCTGCAGATTCTACAAAAAGAGTGTTTCCAAAATGCCATATCAAAACAAAGGTTCAACTCTGTTAGTTGAGAACACACATCGCAAATAAGTTTCTGAGAATGCTTCTGTCTAGTTTTTACTTGAAGATATTTCCTTTCTCACCATAGGCCTGAAAGCGCTTGAAACGTCAGCTTGCAGATACTACAGAAAGAGTGTTTCAAACCTGCTCTATGAAAGGGAATGTTCAGTTCTGTGACTTGAATGCAAACATCACAAAGAAGTTCCTGAGAATGCTTCTCTCTAGGTTTTATATGTAATCCCGTTTCCAACGAAATCCTCAAAGCTATCCAAATATCCACTTTCAGATTCCACAAAAAGAGTGTTTCAAAACTGCTCTGTAAAAAGAAAGGTTCATCTCTGTTAGTTGAATACACACATCACAAACAAGTTTCTGAGAATGCTTCTGTCTAGTTTTTATGGGAAGATATTACCTTTTTCATCATAGGCCTCAAAGCGCTGCAAATGTCCACTTCCAAATATTACAAAAAGAGTGTTTCAAACCTGCTGTATGAAGGGAAGTGTTCAACTCTATGAGTTGAATGCAAACATCACAGAGAAGTTTCTGAGAATGCTTCTGTCTTGATTTCATATGAAGATATTCCCGTTTCCAACGAAACCTTCAAAGCTATCCAAATATCCACTTGCAGATTCTACAAAAAGAGTGTTTCCAAAATGTTGTATCAAAAGAAAGGTTCAACTCTGTTAGTTGAGGACACACATCGCAAATAAGTTTCTGAGAATGCTTCTGTCTAGTTTTTATTTGAAGATATTTCCTTTCTCACCACAGGCCTGAAAGCGCTTAAAACGTCCGCTTGCAGATACTACAGAAAGAGTGTTTCAAACATGCTCTATGAAAGGGAATGTTCAGTTCTGTGACGTGAATGCAAACATCACAAAGAAGTTCCTGAGAATGCTTCTCTCTAGATTTTATATGTAATCCCGTTTCCAACGAAATCCTCAAAGCTATCCAAATATCCACTTTCAGATTCCACAAAAAGAGTGTTTCAAAACTGCTCTGTAAAAAGAAAGGTTCATCTCTGTTAGTTGAATACACACATCACAAACAAGTTTCTGAGAATGCTTCTGTCTAGTTTTTATGGGAAGATATTTCCTTTTTCAACATAGGCCTCAAAGCGCTCCAAATGTCCACTTCCAGGTAGTGCAGAAAGAGTGTTTCAAACCTGCTCTATAAAAGGGAATATTCACCTCTGTGACTTGAATGCAAACATCACAAAGCACTTTCTGAGAATCCTTCCGTCTAGATTTTATATGAAGATATTCCCGTTTCCAACGAAACCTTCAAAGCTATCCGAATATCCACCTGCAGATTCTACAAAAAGAGTGTTTACAAAATGCCGTATCAAAACAAAGGTTCAACTCTGTTAGTTGAGAACACACATGGCAAATAAGTTTCTGAGAATGCTTCTGTCTAGTTTTTACTTGAAGATATTTCCTTTCTCACCATAGGCCTGAAGCGCTTGAAACGTCAGCTTGCAGATACTACAGAAAGAGTGTTTCAAACCTGCTCTATGAAAGGGAATGTTCAGTTCTGTGACTTGAATGCAAACATCACAAAGAAGTTCCTGAGAATGCTTCTCTCTAGGTTTTATATGTAATCCCGTTTCCAACGAAATCCTCAAAGCTATCCAAATATCCACTTTCAGATTCCACAAAAAGAGTGTTTCAAAACTGCTCTGTAAAAAGAAAGGTTCATCTCTGTTAGTTGAATACACACATCACAAACAAGTTTCTGAGAATGCTTCTGTCTAGTTTTTATGGGAAGATATTTCCTTTTTCAACATAGGCCTCAAAGCGTTCCAAATGTCCACTTCCAGGTAGTGCAGAAAGAGTGTTTCAGACCTGCTCTATAAAAGGGAATATTCAACTCTGTGACTTGAATGCAAACATCACAAAGCACTTTCTGAGAATGCTTCTGTCTTGATTTTATATGAAGATATTCCCGTTTCCAAAGAAACCTTCAAAGCTATCCAAATATCCACTTGCAGATTCTACAAAAAGAGTGTTTCCAAAATGTTGTATCAAAAGAAAGGTTCAACTCTGTTAGTTGAGGAAACACATCGCAAACAAGTTTCTGAGAATGCTTCTGTCTAGTTTTTATTTGAAGATATTTCCTTTCTCACCATAGGCCTGAAAGCGTTTGAAATGTCCGTTTGCAGATACTACAGAAAGAGTGTTTCAAACATGCTCTATGAAAGGGAATGTTCAGTTCTGTGACTTGAATGCAAACATCACAAAGAAGTTCCTGAGAATGCTTCTCTCTAGATTTTATATGTAATCCCGTTTCCAACGAAATCCTCAAAGCTATCCAAATATCCACTTTCAGATTCCACAAAAAGAGTGTTTCAAAACTGCTCTGTAATAAGAAAGGTTCATCCCTGTTAGTTGAATACACACATCACAAACAAGTTTCTGAGAATGCTTCTGTCTAGTTTTTATGGGAAGATATTTCCTTTTTCAACATAGGCCTCAAAGCGCTCCAAACGTCCACTTCCAGGTAGTGCAGAAAGAGTGTCTCAAACCTGGTATATAACAGGGAACATTCTACTCTGTGACTTGAATGAAAACATCACAAAGCAGTTTCTGAGAATGCTTCCGTCCAGATTTTATATGAAGATATTCCCGTTTCCAACGAAACCTTCAAAGCTATCCGAATATCCACCTGCAGATTCTACAAAAAGAGTGTTTCCAAAATGCCGCATCAGAACAAAGGTTCAACTCTGTTAGTTGAGAACACACATGGCAAATAAGTTTCTGAGAATGCTTCTGTCTAGTTTTTACTTGAAGATATTTCCTTTCTCACCATAGGCCTGAAAGCGCTTGAAACGTCAGCTTGCAGATACTACAGAAAGAGTGTTTCAAACCTGCTCCATGAAAGGGAATGTTCAGTCCTGTGACTTGAAGGCCAACATCACAAAGAAGTTCCTGAGAATGCTTCTCTCTAGGTTTTATATGTAATCCCGTTTCCAACGAAATCCTCAAAGCTATCCAAATATCCACTTTCAGATTCCACAAAAAGAGTGTTTCAAAACTGCTCTGTAAAAAGAAAGGTTCATCTCTGTTAGTTGAATACACACATCACAAACAAGTTTCTGAGAATGCTTCTGTCTAGTTTTTATGGGAAGATATTTCCTTTTTCAACATAGGCCTCAAAGCGCTCCAAACGTCCACTTCCAGGTAGTGCAGAAAGAGTGTCTCAAACCTGGTATATAACAGGGAACATTCTACACTGTGACTTGAATGAAAACATCACAAAGCAGTTTCTGAGAATGCTTCCGTCTAGATTTTATATGAAGATATTCCCGTTTCCAACGAAACCTTCAAAGCTATCCGAATATCCACCTGCAGATTCTACAAAAAGAGTGTTTCCAAAATGCCGTATCAAAACAAAGGTTCAACTCTGTTAGTTGAGAACACACATGGCAAATAAGTTTCTGACAATGCTTCTGTCTAGTTTTTACTTGAAGATATTTCCTTTCTCACCATAGGCCTGAAAGCGCTTGAAACGTCAGCTTGCAGATACTACAGAAAGAGTGTTTCAAACCTGCTCTATGAAAGGGAATGTTCAGTCCTGTGACTTGAAGGCAAACATCACAAAGAAGTTCCTGAGAATGCTTCTCCCTAGATTTTATATGTAATCCCGTTTCCAACGAAATCCGCAAAGCTATCCAAATATCCACATTCAGATTCCACAAAAAGAGTGTTTCAAAACTGCTCTGTAAAAAGAAAGGTTCATCTCTGTTAGTTGAATACACACATCACAAACAAGTTTCTGAGAATGCTTCTGTCTAGTTTTTATGGGAAGATATTTCCTTTTTCATCATAGGCCTCAAAGCGCTGCAAATGTCCACTTCCAAATATTACAAAAAGAGTGTTTCAAACCTGCTGTATGAAGGGAAGTGTTCAACTCTATGAGTTGAATGCAAACATCACAGAGAAGTTTCTGAGAATGCTTCTGTCTTGATTTTATATGAAGATATTCCCGTTTCCAACGAAACCTTCAAAGCTATTCAAATATCCACTTGCAGATTCTACAAAAAGAGTGGTTCCAAAATGTTGTATCAAAAGAAAGGTTCAACTCTGATAGTTGAGGACACACATCGCAAATAAGTTTCTGAGAATGCTTCTGTCTGGTTTTTATTTGAAGATATTTCCTTTCTCACCATAGGCCTGAAAGCGCTTGGAATGTCCGTTTGCAGATACTACAGAAAGAGTGTTTCAAACCTGCTCTATGAAAGGGAATGTTCAGTTCTGTGACGAGAATGCAAACATCACAAAAAAATTCCTGAGAGTGCTAATCTCTAGATTTTATATGTAATCCCGTTTCCAACGAAATCCTCAAAGCTATCCAAATATCCACTTTCAGATTCCACAAAAAGAGTGTTTCCAACCTGCTCTGTAAAAAGAATGGTTCATCTCTGTTAGTTGAATATACACATCACAAATAAGTTTCTGAGAATGCTTCTGTCTAGTTTTTATGGGAAGATATTTCCTTTTTCAACATAGGCCTCAAAGCGCTCCAAACGTCCACTTCCAGGTAGTGCAGAAAGAGTGTCTCAAACCTGGTATATAACAGGGAACATTCTACACTGTGACTTGAATGAAAACATCACAAAGCAGTTTCTGAGAATGCTTCCGTCTAGATTTTATATGAAGATATTCCCGTTTCCAACGAAACCTTCAAAGCTATCCGAATATCCACCTGCAGATTCTACAAAAAGAGTGTTTCCAAAATGCCGTATCAAAACAAAGGTTCAACTCTGTTAGTTGAGAACACACATGGCAAATAAGTTTCTGACAATGCTTCTGTCTAGTTTTTACTTGAAGATATTTCCTTTCTCACCATAGGCCTGAAAGCGCATGAAACGTCAGCTTGCAGATACTACAGAAAGAGTGTTTCAAACCTGCTCTATGAATGGGAATGTTCAGTCCTGTGACTTGAAGGCAAACATCACAAAGAAGTTCCTGAGAATGCTTCTCTCTAGGTTTTATATGTAATCCCGTTTCCAACGAAATCCTCAAAGCTATCCAAATATCCACTTTCAGATTCCACAAAAAGAGTGTTTCAAAACTGCTCTGTAAAAAGAAAGGTTCATCTCTGTTAGTTGAATACACACATCACAAACAAGTTTCTGAGAATGCTTCTGTCTAGTTTTTATGGGAAGATATTTCCTTTTTCATCATAGGCCTCAAAGCGCTCCAAATGTCCACTTCCAGATAGTGCAGAAAGAGTGTCTCAAACCTGGTATATAAAAGGGAACATTCTACTCTGTGACTTCAATGAAAACATCACAAAGCAGTTTCTGAGAATGCTTCCGTCTAGATTTTATATGAAGATATTCCCGTTTCCAACGAAACCTTCAAAGCTATCCGAATATCCACCTGCAGATCCTACAAAAAGAGTGTTTCCAAAATGCCGTATCCAAACAAAGGTTCAACTCTGTTAGTTGAGAACACACATGGCAAATAAGTTTCTGAGAATGCTTCTGTCTAGTTTTTACTTGAAGATATTTCCTTTCTCACCATAGGCCTGAAAGCGCTTGAAACGTCCGCTTGCAGATACTACAGAAAGAGTGTTTCAAACATGCTCTATGAAAGGGAATGTTCAGTTCTTTGACTTGAATGCAAACATCACAAAGAAGTTCCTGAGAATGCTTCTCCCTAGATTTTATATGTAATCCCGTTTCCAACGAAATCCGCAAAGCTATCCAAATATCCACTTTCAGATTCCACAAAAAGAGTGTTTCAAAACTGCTCTGTAAAAAGAAAGGTTCATCTCTGTTAGTTGAATACACACATCACAAACAAGTTTCTGAGAATGCTTCTGTCTGGTATTTAGGAGAAGATATTTCCTTTTTCAACATAGGCCTCAAAGCGCTGCAAATGTCCACTTCCAAATATTAGAAAAAGAGTGTTTCAAACCTGCTGTATGAAGGGAAGTGTTCAACTCTATGAGTTGAATGCAAACATCACAGAGAAGTTTCTGAGAATGCTTCTGTCTTGATTTTATATGAAGATATTCCCGTTTCCAACGAAACCTTCAAAGCTATTCAAATATCCACTTGCAGATTCTACAAAAAGAGTGTTTCCAAAATGTTGTATCAAAAGAAAGGTTCAACTCTGTTAGTTGAGGACACACATCGCAAATAAGTTTCTGGAGAATGCTTCTGACTAGTTTTTATTTGAAGATATTTCCTTTCTCACCATAGGCCTGAAAGCGTTTGAAATGTCCGTTTGCAGATACTACAGAAAGAGAGTTTCAAACATGCTCTATGAAAGGGAATGTTCAGTTCTGTGACGTGAATGCAAACATCACAAAGAAGTTCCTGAGAATGCTTCTCTCTAGGTTTTATATGTAATCCCGTTTCCAACGAAATCCTCAAAGCTATCCAAATATCCACTTTCAGATTCCACAAAAAGAGTGTTTCAAAACTGCTCTGTAAAAAGAAAGGTTCATCTCTGTTAGTTGAATACACACATCACAAACAAGTTTCTGAGAATGCTTCTGTCTAGTTTTTATGGGAAGATATTTCCTTTTTCATCATAGGCCTCAAAGCGCTGCAAATGTCCACTTCCAGGTAGTGCAGAAAGAGTGTCTCAAACCTGGTATATAACAGGGAACATTCTACTCTGTGACTTGAATGAAAACATCACAAAGCAGTTTCTGAGAATGCTTCCGTCTAGATTTTATATGAAGATATTCCCGTTTCCAACGAAACCTTCAAAGCTATCCGAATATCCACCTGCAGATTCTACAAAAAGAGTGTTTCCAAAATGCCATATCAAAACAAAGGTTCAACTCTGTTAGTTGAGAACACACATCGCAAATAAGTTTCTGAGAATGCTTCTGTCTGGTTTTTAGGGGAAGATATCTCCTTTTTCACCATAGGCTTCAAAGCGCTGCCAATGTCCACTTCCAAATATTACAAAAAGAGTATTTCAAACCAGCTCTATGAAAGGAAGTGTTCAACTCTATGAGTTGAATGCAAACATCACAGAGAAGTTTCTGAGAATGCTTCTGTGTTGATTTTATATAAAGATATTCCCGTTTCCAACGAAACCTTCAAATCTATCCAAATATCCACCTGCAGATCCTACAAAAAGAGTGTTTCCTAAATGCTGTATAAAAACAAAGGTTCAACTCTGTCAGTTGAGAACACACATCGCAAATAAGTTTCTGAGAATGCTTCTGTTTAGTTTTTATTTGAAGATATTTCCTTTCTCACCATAGGCCTGAAAGCGTTTGAAATGTCCGTTTGCAGATACTACAGAAAGAGTGTTTCAAACATGCTCTATGAAAGGGAATGTTCAGCTCTGTGACGTGAATGCAAACATCACAAAGAAGTTCCTGAGAATGCTTCTCTCTAGATTTTATATGTAATCCCGTTTCCAACGAAATCCTCAAAGCTATCCAAATATCCACTTTCAGATTCCACAAAAAGAGTGTTTCAAAACTGCTCTGTAAAAAGAAAGGTTCATCTCTGTTAGTTGAATACACACATCACAAACAAGTTTCTGAGAATGCTTCTGTCTAGTTTTTATGGGAAGATATTACCTTTTTCATCATAGGCCTCAAAGCGCTGCAAATGTCCACTTCCAAATATTACAAAAAGAGTGTTTCAAACCTGCTGTATGAAGGGAAGTGTTCAACTCTATGAGTTGAATGCAAACATCACAGAGAAGTTTCTGAGAATGCTTCCGTCTAGATTTTATATGAAGATATTCCCGTTTCCAACGAAACCTTCAAAGCTATCCGAATATCCACCTGCAGATTCTACAAAAAGAGTGTTTCCAAAATGCCATATCAAAACAAAGGTTCAACTCTGTTAGTTGAGAACACACATGGCAAATAAGTTTCTGAGAATGCTTCTGTCTAGTTTTTACTTGAAGATATTTCCTTTGTCACCATAGGCCTGAAAGCGCTTGAAACGTCAGCTTGCAGATACTACAGAAAGAGTGTTTCAAACCTGCTCTATGAAAGGGAATGTTCAGTCCTGTGACTTGAAGGCAAACATCACAAAGAAGTTCCTGAGAATGCTTCTGTCTAGATTTTATATGAAGATATCCCGTGTCCAACGAAATCCTCAAAGGTATCAAAATATCCACTTGCAGATTCTACAAAAAGAGTGCTTCAAAACTGCTCTGTCAAAAGGAAGGTTCAACTCTGTTACTTGAGTACACACATCACAAGGAAGTTTCTGAGAATGCTTCTGTCTGGTTTTTAGGAGAAGATATTTCCTTTTTCAACATAGGCCTCAAAGCGCTGCAAATGTCCACTTCCAAATATTAGAAAAAGAGTGTTTCAAACCTGCTGTATGAAGGGAAGTGTTCAACTCTATGAGTTGAATGCAAACATCACAGAGAAGTTTCTGAGAATGCTTCTGTCTTGATTTCATATGAAGATATTCCCGTTTCCAACGAAACCTTCAAAGCTATCCAAATATCCACTTGCAGATTCTACAAAAAGAGTGTTTCCAAAATGTTGTATCAAAAGAAAGGTTCAACTCTGTTAGTTGAGGACACACATCGCAAATACGTTTCTGAGAATGCTTCTGTCTAGTTTTTATTTGAAGATATTTCCTTTCTCACCACAGGCCTGAAAGCGCTTAAAACGTCCGCTTGCAGATACTACAGAAAGAGTGTTTCAAACATGCTCTATGAAAGGGAATGTTCAGTTCTGTGACTTGAATGCAAACATCACAAAGAAGTTCCTGAGAATGCTTCTCTCTAGATTTTATATGTAATCCCGTTTCCAACGAAATCCTCAAAGCTATCCAAATATGCACTTTCAGATTCCACAAAAAGAGTGTTTCAAAACTGCTCTGTAAAAAGAAAGGTTCATCTCTGTTAGTTGAATACACACATCACAACCAAGTTTCTGAGAATGCTTCTGTCTAGTTTTTATGGGAAGATATTTCCTTTTTCATCATAGGCCTCAAAGCGCTCCAAATGTCCACTTCCAGATAGTGCAGAAAGAGTGTCTCAAACCTGGTATATAAAAGAGAACATTCTACTCTGTGACTTGAATGAAAACATCACAAAGCAGTTTCTGAGAATGCTTCTGTCTTGATTTCATATGAAGATATTCCCGTTTCCAACGAAACCTTCAAAGTTATCCAAATATCCACTTGCAGATTCTACAAAAAGAGTGTTTCCAAAATGTTGTATCAAAAGAAAGGTTCAACTCTGTTAGTTGAGAACACACATCTCAAATAAGTTTCTGAGAATGCTTCTGTCTAGTTTTTATTTGAAGATATTTCCTTTCTCACCACAGGCCTGAAAGCGCTTAAAACGTCCGCTTGCAGATACTACAGAGTGTTTCAAACCTGCTCTATGAAAGGGAATGTTCAGTTCTGTGACTTGAATGCAAACATCACAAAGAAGTTCCTGAGAATGCTTCTCCCTAGATTTTATATGTAATCCCGTTTCCAACGAAATCCGCAAAGCTATCCAAATATCCACTTTCAGATTCCACAAAAAGAGTGTTTCAAAACTGCTCTGTAAAAAGAAAGGTTCATCTCTGTTAGTTGAATACACACATCACAAACAAGTTTCTGAGAATGCTTCTGTCTAGTTTTTATGGGAAGATATTTCCTTTTTCAACATAGGCCACAAAGCGCTCCAAATGTCCACTTCCAGATAGTGCAGAAAGTGTGTCTCAAACCTGGTATATAAAAGGGAACATTCTACTCTGTGACTTGAATGAAAACATCACAAAGCAGTTTCTGAGAGTGCTTCCGTCTAGATTTTATATGAAGATATTCCCGTTTCCAAGGAAACCTTCAAAGCTATCCGAATATCCACCTGCAGATTCTACAAAAAGAGTGTTTCCAAAATGCCGTATCAAAACAAAGTTTCAACTCTGTTAGTTGAGAACACACATGGCAAATAAGTTTCTGAGAATGCTTCTGTCTAGTTTTTACTTGAAGATATTTCCTTTCTCACCATAGGCCTGAAAGCGCTTGAAACGTCCGCTTGCAGATACTACAGAAAGAGTGTTTCAAACATGCTCTATGAAAGGGAATGTTCAGTTCTGTGACTTGAATGCATACATCACAAAAAAGATCCTGAGAATGCTTCTCTCTAGATTTTATATGTAATCCCGTTTCCAACGAAATCCTCAAAGCTATCCAAATATCCACTTTCAGATTCCACAAAAAGAGTGTTTCAAAACTGCTCTGTAAAAAGAAAGGTTCATCTCTGTTAGTTGAATACACACATCACAAACAAGTTTCTGAGAATGCTTCTGTCTAGTTTTTATGGGAAGATATTTCCTTTTTCATCATAGGCCTCAAAGCGCTCCAAATGTCCACTTCCAGGTAGTGCAGAAAGAGTGTCTCAAACCTGGTATATAACAGGGAACATTCTACTCTGTGACTTGAATGAAAACATCACAAAGCAGTTTCTGAGAATGCTTCTGTCTTGATTTCATATGAAGATATTCCCGTTTCCAACGAAACCTTCAAAGCTATCCAAATATCCACTTGCAGATTCTACAAAAAGAGTGTTTCCAAAATGTTGTATCAAAAGAAAGGTTCAACTCTGTTAGTTGAGGACACACATCGCAAATAAGTTTCTGAGAATGCTTCTGTCTAGTTTTTATTTGAAGATATTTCTTTTCTCACCACAGGCCTGAAAGCGCTTAAAACGTCCGCTTGCAGATACTACAGAAAGAGTGTTTCAAACCTGCTCTATGAAAGGGAATGTTCAGTTCTGTGACTTGAATGCAAACATCACAAAGAAGTTCCTGATAATGCTTCTCCCTAGATTTTATATGTAATCCCGTTTCCAACGAAATCCGCAAAGCTATCCAAATATCCACTTTCAGATTCCACAAAAAGAGTGTTTCAAAACTGCTCTGTAAAAAGAAAGGTTCATCTCTGTTAGTTGAATACACACATCACAAACAAGTTTCTGAGAATGCTTCTGTCTAGTTTTTATGGGAAGATATTACCTTTTTCATCATAGGCCTCAAAGCGCTGCAAATGTCCACTTCCAAATATTACAAAAAGAGTGTTTCAAGCCTGCTGTATGAAGGGAAGTGTTCAACTCTATGAGTTGAATGCAAACATCACAGAGAAGTTTCTGAGAATGCTTCTGTCTTGATTTTATATGAAGATATTCCCGTTTCCAACGAAACCTTCAAAGCTATTCAAATATCCACTTGCAGATTCTACAAAAAGAGTGTTTCAAAATGTTGTATCAAAAGAAAGGTTCAACTCTGTTAGTTGAGGACACACATCGCAAATAAGTTTCTGAGAATGCTTCTGTCTAGTTTTTATTTGAAGATATTTCCTTTCTCACCATAGGCCTGAAAGCGTTTGAAATGTCCGTTTGCAGATACTACAGAAAGAGTGTTTCAAACATGCTCTATGAAAGGGAATGTTCAGTTCTGTGACGTGAATGCAAACATCACAAAGAAGTTCCTGAGAATGCTTCTCTCTAGATTTTATATGTAATCCCGTTTCCAACGAAATCCTCAAAGCTATCCAAATATCCACTTTCAGATTCCACAAAAAGAGTGTTTCAAAACTGCTCTGTAAAAAGAAAGGTTCATCTCTGTTAGTTGAATACACACATCACAAACAAGTTTCTGAGAATGCTTCTGTCTAGTTTTTATGGGAAGATATTTCCTTTTTCATCATAGGCCTCAAAACGCTCCAAATGTCCACTTCCAGGTAGTGCAGAAAGAGTGTCTCAAACCTGGTATATAACAGGGAACATTCTACTCTGTGACTTGAATGAAAACATCACAAAGCAGTTTCTGAGAATGCTTCCGTCTAGATTTTATATGAAGATATTCCCGTTTCCAACGAAACCTTCAAAGCTATCCGAATATCCACCTGCAGATTCTACAAAAAGAGTGTTTCCAAAATGCCGTATCAAAACAAAGGTTCAACTCTGTTAGTTGAGAACACACATGGCAAATAAGTTTCTGAGAATGCTTCTGTCTAGTTTTTACTTGAAGATATTTCCTTTCTCACCATAGGCCTGAAAGCGCATGAAACGTCAGCTTGCAGATACTACAGAAAGAGTGTTTCAAACCTGCTCTATGAAAGGGAATGTTCAGTCCTGTGACTTGAAGGCAAACATCACAAAGAAGTTCCTGAGAATGCTTCTCTCTAGGTTTTATATGTAATCCCGTTTCCAACGAAATCCTCAAAGCTATCCAAATATCCACTTTCAGATTCCACAAAAAGAGTGTTTCAAAACTGCTCTGTAAAAAGAAAGGTTCATCTCTGTTAGTTGAATACACACATCACAAACAAGTTTCTGAGAATGCTTCTGTCTAGTTTTTATGGGAAGACATTTCCTTTTTCAACATAGGCCTCAAAGCGCCCCAAATGTCCACTTCCAGGTAGTGCAGAAAGAGTGTTTCAAACCTGCTCTATAAAAGGGAATACTCAACTCTGTGACTTGAATGCAAACATCACAAAGCACTTTCTGAGAATGCTTCCGTCTAGACTTTATATGAAGATATTCCCGTTTCCAACGAAACCTTCAAAGCTATCCGAATATCCACCTGCAGATTCTACAAAAAGACTGTTTCCAAAATGCCTTATCAAAACAAAGGTTCAACTCTGTTAGTTGAGAACACACATGGCAAATAAGTTTCTGAGAATGCTTCTGTCTAGTTTTTACTTGAAGATATTTCCTTTCTCACCATAGGCCTGAAAGCGCTTGAAACGTCAGCTTGCAGATACTACAGAAAGAGTGTTTCAAACCTGCTCTATGAAAGGGAATGTTCAGTTCTGTGACTTGAATGCAAACATCACAAAGAAGTTCCTGAGAATGCTTCTCTCTAGGTTTTATATGTAATCCCGTTTCCAACGAAATCCTCAAAGCTATCCAAATATCCACTTTCAGATTCCACAAAAAGAGTGTTTCAAAACTGCTCTGTAAAAAGAAAGGTTCATCTCTGTTAGTTGAATACACACATCACAAACAAGTTTCTGAGAATGCTTCTGTCTAGTTTTTATGGGAAGATATTTCCTTTTTCAACATAGGCCTCAAAGCGCTCCAAACGTCCACTTCCAGGTAGTGCAGAAAGAGTGTCTCAAACCTGGTATATAACAGGGAACATTCTACTCTGTGACTTGAATGAAAACATCACAAAGCAGTTTCTGAGAATGCTTCCGTCTAGATTTTATATGAAGATATTCCCGTTTCCAACGAAACCTTCAAAGCTATCCGAATATCCACCTGCAGATACTACAAAAAGAGTGTTTCCAAAATGCCGTATCAAAACAAAGGTTCAACTCTGTTAGTTGAGAACACACATGGCAAATAAGTTTCTGAGAATGCTTCTGTCTAGTTTTTACTTGAAGATATTTCCTTTCTCACCATAGGCCTGAAAGCGCTTGAAACGTCAGCTTGCAGATACTACAGAAAGAGTGTTTCAAACCTGCTCTATGAAAGGGAATGTTCAGTCCTGTGACTTGAAGGCAAACATCAAAAAGAAGTTCCTGAGAATGCTTCTCTCTAGGTTTTATATGTAATCCCGTTTCCAACGAAATCCTCAAAGCTATCCAAATATCCACTTTCAGATTCCACAAAAAGAGTGTTTCAAAACTGCTCTGTAAAAAGAAAGGTTCATCTCTGTTAGTTGAATACACACATCACAAACAAGTTTCTGAGAATGCTTCTGTCTAGTTTTTATGGGAAGATATTACCTTTTTCATCATAGGCCTCAAAGCGCTGCAAATGTCCACTTCCAAATATTACAAAAAGAGTGTTTCAAACCTGCTGTATGAAGGGAAGTGTTCAACTCTATGAGTTGAATGCAAACATCACAGAGAAATTTCTGAGAATGCTTCTGTCTTGATTTTATATGAAGATATTCCCGTTTCTAACGAAACCTTCAAAGCTATTCAAATATCCACTTGCTGATTCTACAAAAAGAGTGTTTCCAAAATGTTGTATCAAAAGAAAGGTTCAACTCTGTTAGTTGAGGACACACATCGCAAATAAGTTTCTGAGAATGCTTCTGTCTAGTTTTTACTTGAAGATATTTCCTTTCTCACCATAGGCCTGAAAGCGCTTGAAACGTCAGCTTGCAGATACTACAGAAAGAGTGTTTCAAACCTGCTCTATGAAAGGGAATGTTCAGTTCTGTGACTTGAATGCAAACATCACAAAGAAGTTCCTGAGAATGCTTCTCTCTAGGTTTTATATGTAATCCCGTTTCCAACGAAATCCTCAAAGCTATCCAAATATCCACTTTCAGATTCCACAAAAAGAGTGTTTCAAAACTGCTCTGTAAAAAGAAAGGTTCATCTCTGTTAGTTGAATACACACATCACAAACAAGTTTCTGAGAATGCTTCTGTCTAGTTTTTATGGGAAGATATTTCCTTTTTCAACATAGGCCTCAAAGCGCTCCAAACGTCCACTTCCAGGTAGTGCACAGAGTGTTTCAAACCTGCTCTATGAAAGGAAGTGTTCAACTCTATGAGTTGAAGGCAAACATCACAGAGAAGTTTCTGAGAATGCTTCTGTCTTGATTTTATATGAGGATATTCCCGTTTCCAACGAAACCATCAAAGCTATCCAAATATCCACCTGCAGATCCTACAAAAAGAGTGTTTCCAAAATGCTGTATCAAAACAAAGGTTCAACTCTGTTAGTTGAGAACACACATCGCAAATAAGTTTCTGAGAATGCTTCTGTCTAGTTTTTATTTGAAGATATTTCCTTTTTCACCACAGGCCTGAAAGCGCTTGAAACGTCCGCATGCAGATACTACAGAAAGAGTGTTTCAAAGCTGCTGTATGAAAGGGAATGTTCAGTTCTGTGACTTGAATGCAAATATCACAAAGAAGTTCCTGAGAATGCTTCTCCCTAGATTTTTTATGTAATCCCGTTTCCAACGAAACCCTCAAAGCTATCCAAATATCCACTTTCAGATTCCACAAAAAGAGTGTTTCAAAACTGCTCTGTAAAAAGAAAGGTTCATCTCTGTTAGTTGAATACACACATCACAAACAAGTTTCTGAGAATGCTTCTGTCTGGTTTTTAGGAGAAGATATTTCCTTTTTCAACATAGGCCTCAAAGCGCTGCAAATGTCCACTTCCAAATATTAGAAAAAGAGTGTTTCAAACCTGCTGTATGAAGAGAAGTGTTCAACTCTATGAGTTGAATGCAAACATCACAGAGAAGTTTCTGAGAATGCTTCTGTCTTGATTTTATATGAAGATATTCCCGTTTCCAACGAAACCTTCAAAGCTATCCAAATATCCACTTGCAGATTCTACAAAAAGAGTGTTTCCAAAATGTTGTATCAAAAGAAAGGTTCAACTCTGTTAGTTGAGGACACACATCGCAAATAAGTTTCTGAGAATGCTTCTGTCTAGTTTTTATTTGAAGATATTTCCTTTCTCACCACAGGCCTGAAAGCGCTTAAAACGTCCGCTTGCAGATACTACAGAAAGAGTGTTTCAAACCTGCTCTATGAAAGGGAATGTTCAGTTCTGTGACTTGAATGCAAACATCACAAAGAAGTTCCTGAGAATGCTTCTCCCTAGATTTTATATGTAATCCCGTTTCCAACGAAATCCGCAAAGCTATCCAAATATCCACTTTCAGATTCCACAAAAAGAGTGTTTCCAAACTGCTCTGTAAAAAGAAAGGTTCATCTCTGTTAGTTGAATACACACATCACAAACAAGTTTCTGACAATGCTTCTGTCTAGTTTTTATGGGAAGATATTTCCTTTTTCAACATAGGCCTCAAAGTGCTCCAAATGTCCACTTCCAGGTAGTGCAGAAAGAGTGTTTCAAACCTGCTCTATAAAAGGGAATACTCAACTCTGTGACTTGAATGCAAACATCACAAAGCACTTTCTGAGAATGCTTCCGTCTAGATTTTATATGAAGATATTCCGTTTCCAACGAAACCTTCAAAGCTATCCGAATATCCACCTGCAGATTCTACAAAAAGAGTGTTTCCAAAATGCCGTATCAAAACAAAGGTTCAACTCTGTTAGTTGAGAACACACATCGCAAATAAGTTTCTGAGAATGCTTCTGTCTAGTTTTTACTTGAAGATATTTCCTTTCTCACCATAGGCCTGAAAGCGCTTGAAACGTCAGCTTGCAGATACTACAGAAAGAGTGTTTTAAACCTGCTCTATGAAAGGGAATGTTCAGTTCTGTGACTTGAATGCAAACATCACAAAGAAGTTCCTGAGAATGCTTCTCTCTAGGTTTTATATGTAATCCCGTTTCCAACGAAATCCTCAAAGCTATCCAAATATCCACTTTCAGATTCCACAAAAAGAGTGTTTCAAAACTGCTCTGTAAAAAGAAAGGTTCATCTCTGTTAGTTGAATACACACATCACAAACAAGTTTCTGAGAATGCTTCTGTCTAGTTTTTATGGGAAGATATTACCTTTTTCATCATAGGCCTCAAAGCGCTGCAAATGTCCACTTCCAAATATTACAAAAAGAGTGTTTCAAACCTGCTGTATGAAGGGAAGTGTTCAACTCTATGAGTTGAATGCAAACATCACAGAGAAGTTTCTGAGAATGCTTCTGTCTTGATTTTATATGAAGATATTCCCGTTTCCAACGAAACCTTCAAAGCTATCCAAATATCCACTTGCAGATTCTACGAAAAGAGTGTTTCCAAAATGTTGTATCAAAAGAAAGGTTCAACTCTGTTAGTTGAGGACACACATCGCAAATAAGTTTCTGAGAATGCTTCTGTCTAGTTTTTATTTGAAGATATTTCCTTTCTCACCATAGGCCTGAAAGCGTTTGAAATGTCCGTTTGCAGATACTACAGAAAGAGTGTTTCAAACATGCTCTATGAAAGGGAATGTTCAGTTCTGTGACTTGAATGCAAACATCACAAAGAAGTTCCTGAGAATGCTTCTCTCTAGGTTTTATATGTAATCCCGTTTCCAACGAAATCCTCAAAGCTATCCAAATATCCACTTTCAGATTCCACAAAAAGAGTGTTTCAAAACTGCTCTGTAATAAGAAAGGTTCATCCCTGTTAGTTGAATACACACATCACAAACAAGTTTCTGAGAATGCTTCTGTCTAGTTTTTATGGGAAGATATTTCCTTTTTCAACATAGGCCTCAAAGCGCTCCAAACGTCCACTTCCAGGTAGTGCAGAAAGAGTGTCTCAAACCTGGTATATAACAGGGAACATTCTACTCTGTGACTTGAATGAAAACATCACAAAGCAGTTTCTGAGAATGGTTCCGTCTAGATTTTATATGAAGATATTCCCGTTTCCAACGAAAACTTCAAAGCTATCCGAATATCCACCTGCAGATTCTACAAAAAGAGTGTTTCCAAAATGCCGTATCAAAACAAAGGTTCAACTCTGTTAGTTGAGAACACACATGGCAAATAAGTTTCTGAGAATGCTTCTGTCTGGTTTTTAGGATAAGATATCTCCTTTTTCACCATAGGCTTCAAAGCGCTGCCAATGTCCACTTCCAAATATTACAAAAAGAGTATTTCAAACCAGCTCTATGAAAGGAAGTGTTCAACTCTATGAGTTGAATGCAAACATCACAGAGAAGTTTCTGAGAATGCTTCTGTCTTGATTTTATATGAAGATATTCCCGTTTCCAAAGAAACCTTCAAAGCTATCCAAATATCCACCTGCAGATCCTACAAAAAGAGTGTTTCCAAAATGCTGTATCAAAACAAAGGTTCAACTCTGTTAGCTGAGAACACACATCGCAAATAAGTTTCTGAGAATGCTTCTGTCTGGTTTTTAGGAGAAGATATTTCCTTTTTCAACATAGGCCTCAAAGCGCTGCAAATGTCCACTTCCAAATATTACAAAAAGAGTGTTTCAAACCTGCTCTATGAAGGGAAGTGTTCACCTCTATGAGTTGAATGCAAACATCACAGAGAAGTTTCTGAGAATGCTTCTGTCTTGATTTTATATGAAGATATTCCCGTTTCCAACGAAACCTTCAAAGCTATCCAAATATCCACTTGCAGATTCTACAAAAAGAGTGTTTCCAAAATGTTGTATCAAAACAAAGGTTCAACTCTGTTAGTTGAGGACACACATCGCAAATAAGTTTCTGAGAATGCTTCTGTCTAGTTTTTATTTGAAGATATTTCCATTCTTATCATAGGCCTGAAAGCGCTTGAAATGTCCGTTTGCAGATACTACAGAAAGAGTGTTTCAAACATGCTCTATGAAAGGGAATGTTCAGTTCTGTGACGTGAATGCAAACATCACAAAGAAGTTCCTGAGAATGCTTCTCTCTAGGTTTTATATGTAATCCCGTTTCCAACGAAATCCTCAAAGCTATCCAAATATCCACTTTCAGATTCCACAAAAAGAGTGTTTCAAAACTGCTCTGTAAAAAGAAAGGTTCATCTCTGTTAGTTGAATACACACATCACAAACAAGTTTCTGAGAATGCTTCTGTCTAGTTTTTATGGGAAGATATTTCCTTTTTCATCATAGGCCTCAAAGCGCTGCAAATGTCCACTTCCACATATTACAAAAAGAGTGTTTCAAACCTGCTGTATGAAGGGAAGTGTTCAACTCTATGAGTTGAATGCAAACATCACAGAGAAGTTTCTGAGAATGCTTCCGTCTAGCATTTTATATGAAGATATTCCCGTTTCCAACGAAACCTTCAAAGCTATCCGAATATCCACCTGCAGATTCTACAAAAAGAGTGTTTCCAAAATGCCGTATCAAAACAAAGGTTCAACTCTGTTAGTTGAGAACACACATGGCAAATAAGTTTCTGACAATGTTTCTGTCTAGTTTTTACTTGAAGATATTTCCTTTCTCACCATAGGCCTGAAAGCGCTTGAAACGTCAGCTTGCAGATACTACAGAAAGAGTGTTTCAAACCTGCTCTATGAAAGGGAATGTTCAGTCCTGTGACTTGAAGGCAAACATCACAAAGAAGTTCCTGATAATGCTTCTCTCTAGGTTTTATATGTAATCCCGTTTCCAACGAAATCCTCAAAGCTATCCAAATATCCACTTTCAGATTCCACAAAAAGAGTGTTTCAAAACTGCTCTGTAAAAAGAAAGGTTCATCTCTGTTAGTTGAATACACACATCACAAACAAGTTTCTGAGAATGCTTCTGTCTAGTTTTTATGGGAAGATATTTCCTTTTTCATCATAGGCCTCAAAGCGCTGCAAATGTCCACTTCCAGGTAGTGCAGAAAGAGTGTCTCAAACCTCGTATATAACAGGGAACATTCTACTCTGTGACTTGAATGAAAACATCACAAAGCAGTTTCTGAGAATGCTTCCGTCTAGATTTTATATGAAGATATTCCCGTTTCCAACGAAACCTTCAAAGCTATCCGAATATCCACCTGCAGATTCTACAAAAAGAGTGTTTCCAAAATGCCATATCAAAACAAAGGTTCAACTCTGTTAGTTGAGAACACACATCGCAAATAAGTTTCTGAGAATGCTTCTGTCTAGTTTTTACTTGAAGATATTTCCTTTCTCACCATAGGCCTGAAAGCGCTTGAAACGTCAGCTTGCAGATACTACAGAAAGAGTGTTTCAAACCTGCTCTATGAAAGGGAATGTTCAGTTCTGTGACTTGAAGGCAAACATCACAAAGAAGTTCCTGAGAATGCTTCTCTCTAGGTTTTATATGTAATCCCGTTTCCAACGAAATCCTCAAAGCTATCCAAATATCCACTTTCAGATTCCACAAAAAGAGTGTTTCAAAACTGCTCTGTAAAAAGAAAGGTTCATCTCTGTTAGTTGAATACACACATCACAAACAAGTTTCTGAGAATGCTTCTGTCTAGTTTTTATGGGAAGATATTACCTTTTTCATCATAGGCCTCAAAGCGCTGCAAATGTCCACTTCCAAATATTACAAAAAGAGTGTTTCAAACCTGCTGTATGAAGGGAAGTGTTCAACTCTATGAGTTGAATGCAAACATCACAGAGAAGTTTCTGAGAATGCTTCTGTCTTGATTTTATATGAAGATATTCCCGTTTCCAACGAAACCTTCAAAGCTATCCAAATATCCACTTGCAGATTCTACAAAAAGAGTGGTTCCAAAATGTTGTATCAAAAGAAAGGTTCAACTCTGTTAGTTGAGGACACACATCACAAATAAGTTTCTGAGAATGCTTCTGTCTAGTTTTTATTTGAAGATATTTCCTTTCTTACCATAGGCCTGAAAGCGCTTGAAATGTCCGTTTGCAGATACTACAGAAAGAGTGTTTCAAACATGCTCTATGAAAGGGAATGTTCAGTTCTGTGACGTGAATGCAAACATCACAAAGAAGTTCCTGAGAATGCTTCTCTCTAGATTTTATATGTAATCCCGTTTCCAACGAAATCCTCAAAGCTATCCAAATATCCACTTTCAGATTCCACAAAAAGAGTGTTTCAAAACTGCTCTGTAAAAAGAAAGGTTCATCTCTGTTAGTTGAATACACACATCACAAACAAGTTTCTGAGAATGCTTCTGTCTAGTTTTTATGGGAAGATATTTCCTTTTTCAACATAGGCCTCAAAGCGCTCCAAACGTCCACTTCCAGGTAGTGCAGAAAGAGTGTCTCAAACCTGGTATATAACAGGGAACATTCTACTCTGTGACTTGAATGAAAACATCACAAAGCAGTTTCTGAGAATGCTTCCGTCTAGATTTTATATGAAGATATTCCCGTTTCCAACGAAACCTTCAAAGCTATCCGAATATCCACCTGCAGATTCTACAAAAAGAGTGTTTCCAAAATGCCATATCAAAACAAAGGTTCAACTCTGTTAGTTGAGAACACACATCGCAAATAAGTTTCTGAGAATGCTTCTGTCTAGTTTTTACTTGAAGATATTTCCTTTCTCACCATAGGCCTGAAAGTGCTTGAAACGTCCGCTTGCAGATACTACAGAAAGAGTGTTTCAAACCTGCTCTATGAAAGGGAATGTTCAGTTCTGTGACTTGAATGCAAACATCACAAAGAAGATCCTGAGAATGCTTCTCCCTAGGTTTTATATGTAATCCCGTTTCCAACGAAATCCTCAAAGCTATCCAAATATCCACTTTCAGATTCCACAAAAAGAGTGTTTCAAAACTGCTCTGTAAAAAGAAAGGTTCATCTCTGTTAGTTGAATACACACATCACAAACAAGTTTCTGAGAATGCTTCTGTCTAGTTTTTATGGGAAGATATTTCCTTTTTCAACATAGGCCTCAAAGCGCTCCAAACGTCCACTTCCGGGTAGTGCAGAAAGAGTGTCTCAAACCTGGTATATAACAGGGAACATTCTACTTTGTGACTTGAATGAAAACATCACAAAGCAGTTTCTGAGAATGCTTCCGTCTAGATTTTATATGAAGATATTCCCGTTTCCAACGAAACCTTCAAAGCTATCCAAATATCCACCTGCAGATTCTACAAAAAGAGTGTTTCCAAAATGCCGTATCAAAACAAAGGTTCAACTCTGTTAGTTGAGAACACACATGGCAAATAAGTTTCTGAGAATGCTTCTGTCTAGTTTTTACTTGAAGATATTTCCTTTCTCACCATAGGCCTGAAAGCGCTTGAAACGTCAGCTTGCAGATACTACAGAAAGAGTGTTTCAAACCTGCTCTATGAAAGGGAATGTTCAGTTCTGTGACTTGAATGCAAACATCACAAAGAAGTTCCTGAGAATGCTTCTCTCTAGGTTTTATATGTAATCCCGTTTCCAACGAAATCCTCAAAGCTATCCAAATATCCACTTTCAGATTCCACAAAAAGAGTGTTTCAAAACTGCTCTGTAAAAAGAAAGGTTCATCTCTGTTAGTTGAATACACACATCACAAACAAGTTTCTGAGAATGCTTCTGTCTAGTTTTTATGGGAAGATATTTCGTTTTTCAACATAGGCCTCAAAGCGCTCCAAATGTCCACTTCCAGGTAGTGCAGAAAGAGTGTTTCAAACCTGCTCTATAAAAGGGAATATTCAACTACTGTGACTTGAATGCAAACATCACAAAGCACTTTCTGAGAATGCTTCCGTCTAGATTTTATATGAAGATATTCCCGTTTCCAAGGAAATCTTCCTAGCTATCTAAATATCAACTTGCAGATTCTACTAAAGGAATGTTTCCAAAATGCTGTATCCACACAAAGGTTCAACTCTGTTAATTGAGGACATACAGCACAAAGAAGTTTCTGAGAATGCTTCTGTCTAGTTTTTACTTGAAGATATTTCCTTTCTCACCATAGGCCTGAAAGCGCTTGAAACGTCAGCTTGCAGATACTACAGAGTGTTTCAAACCTGCTCTATGAAAGGGAATGTTCAGTCCTGTGACTTGAATGCAAACATCACAAAGAAGTTCCTGAGAATGCTTCTCTCTAGATTTTATATGTAATCCCGTTTCCAACGAATTCCTCAAAGCTATCCAAATATCCACTTTCAGATTCCACAAAAAGAGTGTTTCAAAACTGCTCTGTAAAAAGAAAGGTTCATCTCTGTTAGTTGAATACACACATCAAAAACAAGTTTCTGAGAATGCTTCTGTCTAGTTTTTATGGGAACATATTTCCTTTTTCATCATAGGCCTCAAAGCGCTGCAAATGTCCACTTCCAGGTAGTGCAGAAAGAGTGTCTCAAACCTGGTATATAACAGGGAACATTCTACTCTGTGACTTGAATGAAAACATCACAAAGCAGTTTCTGAGAATGCTTCCGTCTAGATTTTATATGAAGATATTCCCGTTTCCAACGAAACCTTCAAAGCTATCCGAATATCCACCTGCAGATTCTACAAAAAGAGTGTTTCCAAAATGCCGTATCAAAACAAAGGTTCAACTCTGTTAGTTGAGAACACACATGGCAAATAAGTTTCTGAGAATGCTTCTGTCTAGTTTTTACTTGAAGATATTTCCTTTCTCACCATAGACCTGAAAGCGCTTGAAACGTCAGCTTGCAGATACTACAGAAAGAGTGTTTCAAACCTGCTCTATGAAAGGGAATGTTCAGTCCTGTGACTTGAATGCAAACATCACAAAGAAGTTCCTGAGAATGCTTCTCTCTAGGTTTTATATGTAATCCCGTTTCCAACGAAATCCTCAAAGCTATCCAAATATCCACTTTCAGATTCCACAAAAAGAGTGTTTCAAAACTGCTCTGTAAAAAGAAAGGTTCATCTCTGTTAGTTGAATACACACATCACAAACAAGTTTCTGAGAATGCTTCTGTCTAGTTTTTATGGGAAGATATTTCCTTTTTCAACATAGGCCTCAAAGCGCTCCAAATGTCCACTTCCAGGTAGTGCAGAAAGAGTGTTTCAAACCTGCTCTATAAAAGGGAATATTCAACTCTGTGACTTGAATGCAAACATCACAAAGCACTTTCTGAGAATGCTTCTGTCTTGATTTTATATGAAGATATTCCCGTTTCCAAAGAAACCTTCAAAGCTATCCAAATATCCACTTGCAGATTCTACAAAAAGAGTGTTTCCAAAATGTTGTATCAAAAGAAAGGTTCAACTCTGTTAGTTGAGGACACACATCGCAAACAAGTTTCTGAGAATGCTTCTGTCTAGTTTTTATTTGAAGATATTTCCTTTCTCACCATAGGCCTGAAAGCGTTTGAAATGTCCGTTTGCAGATACTACAGAAAGAGTGTTTCAAACATGCTCTATGAAAGGGAATGTTCAGTTCTGTGACTTGAATGCAAACATCACAAAGAAGTTCCTGAGAATGCTTCTCTCTAGGTTTTATATGTAATCCCGTTTCCAACGAAATCCTCAAAGCTATCCAAATATCCACTTTCAGATTCCACAAAAAGAGTGTTTCAAAACTGCTCTGTAATAAGAAAGGTTCATCCCTGTTAGTTGAATACACACATCACAAACAAGTTTCTGAGAATGCTTCTGTCTAGTTTTTATGGGAAGATATTTCCTTTTTCAACATAGGCCTCAAAGCGCTCCAAACGTCCACTTCCAGGTAGTGCAGAAAGAGTGTCTCAAACCTGGTATATAACAGGGAACATTCTACTCTGTGACTTGAATGAAAACATCACAAAGCAGTTTCTGAGAATGCTTCTGTCTTGATTTCATATGAAGATATTCCCGTTTCCAACGAAACCTTCAAAGCTATCCAAATATCCACTTGCAGATTCTACAAAAAGAGTGTTTCCAAAATGTTGTATCAAAAGAAAGGTTCAACTCTGTTAGTTGAGGACACACATCGCAAATAAGTTTCTGAGAATGCTTCTGTCTAGTTTTTATTTGAAGATATTTCCTTTCTCACCACAGGCCTGAAAGCGCTTAAAACGTCCGCTTGCAGATACTACAGAAAGAGTGTTTCAAACCTGCTCTATGAAAGGGAATGTTCAGTTCTGTGACTTGAATGCAAACATGACAAAGAAGTTCCTGAGAATGCTTCTCCCTAGATTTTATATGTAATCCCGTTTCCAACGAAATCCGCAAAGCTATCCAAATATCCACTTTCAGATTCCACAAAAAGAGTGTTTCAAAACTGCTCTGTAAAAAGAAAGGTTCATCTCTGTTAGTTGAATACACACATCACAAACAAGTTTCTGAGAATGCTTCTGTCTAGTTTTTATGGGAAGATATTTCCTTTTTCAACATAGGCCTCAAAGCGCTCCAAACGTCCACTTCCAGGTAGTGCAGAAAGAGTGTCTCAAACCTGGTATATAACAGGGAACATTCTACTCTGTGACTTGAATGAAAACATCACAAAGCAGTTTCTGAGAATGCTTCCGTCTAGATTTTATATGAAGATATTCCCGTTTCCAACGAAACCTTCAAAGCTATCCGAATATCCACCTGCAGATTCTACAAAAAGAGTGTTTCCAAAATGCCGTATCAAAACAAAGGTTCAACTCTGTTAGTTGAGAACACACATGGCAAATAAGTTTCTGAGAATGCTTCTGTCTAGTTTTTACTTGAAGATATTTCCTTTCTCACCATAGGCCTGAAAGCGCTTGAAACGTCAGCTTGCAGATACTACAGAAAGAGTGTTTCAAACATGCTCTATGAAAGGGAATGTTCAGTTCTGTGACTTGAATGCAAACATCACAAAGAAGTTCCTGAGAATGCTTCTCTCTAGGTTTTATCTGTAATCCCGTTTCCAACGAAATCCTCAAAGCTATCCAAATATCCACTTTCAGATTCCACAAAAAGAGTGTTTCAAAACTGCTCTGTAAAAAGAAAGGTTCATCTCTGTTAGTTGAATACACACATCACAAACAAGTTTCTGAGAATGCTTCTGTCTAGTTTTTATGGGAAGATATTTCCTTTTTCAACATAGGCCTCAAAGCGCTCCAAACGTCCACTTCCAGGTAGTGCAGAAAGAGTGTCTCAAACCTGGTATATAACAGGGAAACATTCTACTCTGTGACTTGAATGAAAACATCACAAAGCAGTTTCTGAGAATGCTTCCGTCTAGATTTTATATGAAGATATTCCCGTTTCCAACGAAACCTTCAAAGCTATCCGAATATCCACCTGCAGATTCTACAAAAAGAGTGTTTCCAAAATGCCGTATCAAAACAAAGGTTCAACTCTGTTAGTTGAGAACACACATGGCAAATAAGTTTCTGAGAATGCTTCTGTCTAGTTTTTACTTGAAGATATTTCCTTTCTCACCATAGGCCTGAAAGCGCTTGAAACGTCAGCTTGCAGATACTACAGAAAGAGTGTTTCAAACCTGCTCTATGAAAGGGAATGTTCAGTCCTGTGACTTGAATGCAAACATCACAAAGAAGTTCCTGAGAATGCTTCTCTCTAGGTTTTATATGTAATCCCGTTTCCAACGAAATCCTCAAATCTATCCAAATATCCACTTTCAGATTCCACAAAAAGAGTGTTTCAAAACTGCTCTGTAAAAAGAAAGGTTCATCTCTGTTAGTTGAATACACACATCACAAACAAGTTTCTGAGAATGCTTCTGTCTAGTTTTTATGGGAAGATATTTCCTTTTTCAACATAGGCCTCAAAGCGCTCCAAATGTCCACTTCCAGGTAGTGCAGAAAGAGTGTTTCAAACCTGCTCTATAAAAGGGAATATTCAACTCTGTGACTTGAATGCAAACATCACAAAGCACTTTCTGAGAATACTTCTGTCTTGATTTTATATGAAGATATTCCCGTTTCCAACGAAACCTTCAAAGCTATCCGAATATCCACCTGCAGATTCTACAAAAAGAGTGTTTCCAAAATGCCGTATCAAAACAAAGGTTCAACTCTGTTAGTTGAGAACACACATCTCAAATAAGTTTCTGAGAATGCTTCTGTCTAGTTTTTATTTGAAGATATTTCCTTTCTCACCACAGGCCTGAAGCGCTTAAAACGTCCGCTTGCAGATACTACAGAAAGAGTGTTTCAAACCTGCTCTATGAAAGGGAATGTTCAGTTCTGTGACTTGAATGCAAACATCACAAAGAAGTTCCTGAGAATGCTTCTCTCTAGGTTTTATATGTAATCCCGTTTCCAACGAAATCCTCAAAGCTATCCAAATATCCACTTTCAGATTCCACAAAAAGAGTGTTTCAAAACTGCTCTGTAAAAAGAAAGGTTCATCTCTGTTAGTTGAATACACACATCACAAACAAGTTTCTGAGAATGCTTCTGTCTAGTTTTTATGGGAAGATATTTCCTTTTTCAACATAGGCCTCAAAGCGCTCCAAACGTCCACTTCCATGTAGTGCAGAAAGAGTGTCTCAAACCTGGTATATAACAGGGAACATTCTACTCTGTGACTTGAATGAAAACATCACAAAGCAGTTTCTGAGAATGCTTCCGTCTAGATTTTATATGAAGATATTCCCGTTTCCAACGAAACCTTCAAAGCTATCCGAATATCCACCTGCAGATTCTACAAAAAGAGTGTTTCCAAAATGCCATATCAAAACAAAGGTTCAACTCTGTTAGTTGAGAGCACACATCGCAAATAAGTTTCTGAGAATGCTTCTGTCTGGTTTTTATTTGAAGATATTTCCTTTCTCACCATAGGCCTGAAAGCGCTTGGAATGTCCGTTTGCAGATACTACAGAAAGAGTGTTTCAAACATGCTCTATGAAAGGGAATGTTCAGTTCTGTGACTTGAATGCAAACATCACAAAGAAGTTCCTGAGAATGCTTCTCTCTAGGTTTTATATGTAATCCCGTTTCCAACGAAATCCTCAAAGCTATCCAAATATCCACTTTCAGATTCCACAAAAAGAGTGTTTCAAAACTGCTCTGTAAAAAGAAAGGTTCATCTCTGTTAGTTGAATACACACATCACAAACAAGTTTCTGAGAATGCTTCTGTCTAGTTTTTATGGGAAGATATTTCCTTTTTCAACATAGGCCTCAAAGCGCTCCAAATGTCCACTTCCAGGTAGTGCAGAAAGAGTGTTTCAAACCTGCTCTATAAAAGGGAATATTCAACTCTGTGACTTGAATGCAAACATCACAAAGCACTTTCTGAGAATGCTTCCGTCTACATTTTATATGAAGATATTCCCGTTTCCAAGGAAATCTTCCTAGCTATCTAAATATCAACTTGCATATCCTACTAAAGGAGTGTTTCCAAAATGCTGTATCCACACAAAGGTTCAACTCTGTTAATTGAGGACATACAGCACAAAGAAGTTTCTGAGAATGCTTCTGTCTAGATTTTATATGAAGATATCCCGTTTCCAAAGAAATCCTCAAAGGTGTCCAAATATCTACTTCCAGATTCTACAAAAAGACTGTTTCAAAACGGCTCTGTCAAAAGTAAGGTTCAACTCTGTTACTTGAGTACACACATCACAAGGAAGTTTCTGAGAATGCTTCTGTCTGGTTTTTAGGAGAAGATATTTCCTTTTTCAACATAGGCCTCAAAGCGCTGCAAATGTCCACTTCCAAATATTACAAAAAGAGTGTTTCAAAACTGCTCTATGAAGGGAAGTGTTCACCTCTATGAGTTGAATGCAAACATCACAGAGAAGTTTCTGAGAATGCTTCTGTCTTGATTTTATATGAAGATATTCCCGTTTCCAACGAAACCTTCAAAGCTATCCAAATCTCCACTTGCAGATTCTACTAAAAGAGTGTTTCCAAAATGTTGTGTCAAAACAAAGGTTCAACTCTGTTAGTTGAGGACACACATCGCAAATAAGTTTCTGAGAATGCTTCTGTCTAGTTTTTATTTGAAGATATTTCCTTTCTTACCATAGGCCTGAAAGCGCTTGAAATGTCCGTTTGCAGATACTACAGAAAGAGTGTTTCAAACATGCTCTATGAAAGGGAATGTTCAGTTCTGTGACGTGAATGCAAACATCACAAAGAAGTTCCTGAGAATGCTTCTCTCTAGATTTTATACGTAATCCCGTTTCCAACGAAATCCTCAAAGCTATCCAAATATCCACTTTCAGATTCCACAAAAAGAGTGTTTCAAAACTGCTCTGTAAAAAGAAAGGTTCATCTCTGTTAGTTGAATACACACATCACAAACAAGTTTCTGAGAATGCTTCTGTCTAGTTTTTATGGGAAGATATTTCCTTTTTCAACATAGGCCTCAAAGCGCTCCAAATGTCCACTTCCAGGTAGTGCAGAAAGAGTGTTTCAAACCTGCTCTATAAAAGGGAATATTCAACTCTGTGACTTGAATGCAAACATCACAAAGCACTTTCTGAGAATGCTTCCGTCTAGATTTTATATGAAGATATTCCCGTTTCCAACGAAACCTTCAAAGCTATCCGAATATCCACCTGCAGATTCTACAAAAAGAGTGTTTCCAAAATGCCATATCAAAACAAAGGTTCAACTCTGTTAGTTGAGAACACACATGGCAAATAAGTTTCTGAGAATGCTTCTGTCTAGTTTTTACTTGAAGATATTTCCTTTGTCACCATAGGCCTGAAAGCGCTTGAAACGTCAGCTTGCAGATACTACAGAAAGAGTGTTTCAAACCTGCTCTATGAAAGGGAATGTTCAGTCCTGTGACTTGAAGGCAAACATCACAAAGAAGTTCCTGAGAATGCTTCTCTCTAGGTTTTATATGTAATCCCGTTTCCAACGAAATCCTCAAAGCTATCCAAATATCCACTTTCAGATTCCACAAAAAGAGTGTTTCAAAACTGCTCTGTAAAAAGAAAGGTTCATCTCTGTTAGTTGAATACACACATCACAAACAAGTTTCTGAGAATGCTTCTGTCTGGTTTTTAGGAGAAGATATTTCCTTTTTCAACATAGGCCTCAAAGCGCTGCAAATGTCCACTTCCAAATATTAGAAAAAGAGTGTTTCAAACCTGCTGTATGAAGGGAAGTGTTCAACTCTATGAGTTGAATGCAAACATCACAGAGAAGTTTCTGAGAATGCTTCTGTCTTGATTTCATATGAAGATATTCCCGTTTCCAACGAAACCTTCAAAGCTATCCAAATATCCACTTGCAGATTCTACAAAAAGAGTGTTTCCAAAATGTTGTATCAAAAGAAAGGTTCAACTCTGTTAGTTGAGGACACACATCGCAAATAAGTTTCTGAGAATGCTTCTGTCTAGTTTTTATTTGAAGATATTTCCTTTCTCACCACAGGCCTGAAAGCGCTTAAAACGTCCGCTTGCAGATACTACAGAAAGAGTGTTTCAAACCTGCTCTATGAAAGGGAATGTTCAGTTCTGTGACTTGAATGCAAACATCACAAAGAAGTTCCTGAGAATGCTTCTCCCTAGATTTTATATGTAATCCCGTTTCCAACGAAATCCGCAAAGCTATCCAAATATCCACTTTCAGATTCCACAAAAAGAGTGTTTCAAAACTGCTCTGTAAAAAGAAAGGTTCATCTCTGTTAGTTGAATACACACATCACAAACAAGTTTCTGAGAATGCTTCTGTCTAGTTTTTATGGGAAGATATTTCCTTTTTCATCATAGGCCTCAAAGCGCTGCAAATGTCCACTTCCAAATATTACAAAAAGAGTGTTTCAAACCTGCTGTATGAAGGGAAGTGTTCAACTCTATGAGTTGAATGCAAACATCACAGAGAAGTTTGCTGAGAATGCTTCTCTCTTGATTTTATATGAAGATATTCCCGTTTCCAACGAAACCTTCAAAGCTATCCGAATATCCACTTGCAGATTCTACAAAAAGAGTGTTTCCAAAATGTTGTATCAAAAGAAAGTTTCAACTCTGTTAGTTGAGAACACACATCACAAATAAGTTTCTGAGAATGCCTCTGTCTGGTTTTTAGGAGAAGATATTTCCTTTTTCCAACATAGGCCTCAAAGCGCTGCAAATGTCCACTTCACAAATATTACAAAAAGAGTGTTTCAAACCTGCTCTATGAAGGGAAGTGTTCAACTCTATGAGTTGAATGCAAACATCACAGAGAAGTTTCTGAGAATGCTTCTGTCTTGATTTTATATGAAGATATTCCCGTTTCCAACGAAACCTTCAAAGCTATCCAAATATCCACCTGCAGATCCTACAAAAAGAGTGTTTCCAAAATGCTGTATCAAAACAAAGGTTCAACTCTGTTAGTTGAGAACACACATCGCAAATAAGTTTCTGAGAATGCTTCTGTCTAGTTTTTATTTGAAGATATTTCCTTTCTCACCATAGGCCTGAAAGCGCTTGAAACGTCCGCTTGCAGATACTACAGAAAGAGTGTTTCAAACCTGCTCTATGAAACGGAATGTTCAGTTCTGTGACTTGAATGCAAACATCACAAAGAAGTTCCTGAGAATGCTTCTCCCTAGATTTTTTATGTAATCCCGTTTCCAACGAAATCCTCAAAGCTATCCAAATATCCACTTTCAGATTCCACAAAAAGAGTGTTTCAAAACTGCTCTGTAAAAAGAAAGCTTCATCTCTGTTAGTTGAATACACACATCACAAACAAGTTTCTGAGAATGCTTCTGTCTGGTTTTTAGGAGAAGATATTTCCTTTTTCAACATAGGCCTCAAAGCGCTGCAAATGTCCACTTCCAAATATTAGAAAAAGAGTGTTTCAAACCTGCTGTATGAAGGGAAGTGTTCAACTCTATGAGTTGAATGCAAACATCACAGAGAAGTTTCTGAGAATGCTTCTGTCTTGATTTCATATGAAGATATTCCCGTTTCCAACGAAACCTTCAAAGCTATCCAAATATCCACTTGCAGATTCTACAAAAAGAGTGTTTCCAAAATGTTGTATCAAAAGAAAGGTTCAACTCTGTTAGTTGAGGACACACATCGCAAATAAGTTTCTGAGAATGCTTCTGTCTAGTTTTTATTTGAAGATATTTCCTTTCTCACCAAAGGCCTGAAAGCCCTTAAAACGTCCGCTTGCAGATACTACAGAAAGAGTGTTTCAAACCTGCTCTATGAAAGGGAATGTTCAGTTCTGTGACTTGAATGCAAACATCACAAAGAAGTTCCTGAGAATGCTTCTCCCTAGATTTTATATGTAATCCCGTTTCCAACGAAATCCGCAAAGCTATCCAAATATCCACTTTCAGATTCCACAAAAAGAGTGTTTCAAAACTGCTCTGTAAAAAGAAAGGTTCATCTCTGTTAGTTGAATACACACATCACAAACAAGTTTCTGAGAATGCTTCTGTCTAGTTTTTATGGGAAGATATTTCCTTTTTCATCATAGGCCTCAAAGCGCTCCAAATGTCCACTTCCAGATAGTGCAGAAAGAGTGTCTCAAACCTGGTATATAAAAGGGAACATTCTACTCTGTGACTTGAAAGAAAACATCACAAAGCAGTTTCTGAGAATGCTTCCGTCTAGATTTTATATGAAGATATTCCCGTTTCCAACGAAACCTTCAAAGCTATCCGAATATCCACCTGCAGATTCTACAAAAAGAGTGCTTCCAAAATGCCGAATCAAAACAAAGGTTCAACTCTGTTAGTTGAGAACACACATGGCAAATAAGTTTCTGAGAATGCTTCTGTCTAGTTTTTACTTGAAGATATTTCCTTTCTCACCATAGGCCTGAAAGCGCTTGAAACGTCCGCTTGCAGATACTACAGAAGGAGTGTTTCAAACATGCTCTATGAAAGGGAATGTTCAGTTCTGTGACTTGAATGCAAACATCACAAAGAAGTTCCTGAGAATGCTTCTCTCTAGATTTTATATGTAATCCCGTTTCCAACGAAATCCTCAAAGCTATCCAAATATCCACTTTCAGATTCCACAAAAAGAGTTTTTCAAAACTGCTCTGTAAAAAGAAAGGTTCATCTCTGTTAGTTGAATACACACATCATAAACAAGTTTCTGAGAATGCTTCTTTCTAGTTTTTATGGGAAGATATTACCTTTTTCATCATAGGCTTCAAAGCGCTGCAAAAGTCCACTTCCAAATATTAGAAAAAGAGTGTTTCAAACCTGCTGTATGAAGGGAAGTGTTCAACTCTATGAGTTGAATGCAAACATCACAGAGAAGTTTCTGAGAATGCTTCTGTCTTGATTTTATATGAAGATTTTCCCGTTTCCAACGAAACCTTCAAAGCTATCCAAATATCCACTTGCAGATTCCACAAAAAGAGTGTTTCCAAAATGTTGTATCAAAAGAAAGGTTCAACTCTGTTAGTTGAGGACACACATCGCAAATAAGTTTCTGAGAATGCTTCTGTCTAGTTTTTATTTGAAGATATTTCCTTTCTCACCATAGGCCTGAAAGCGTTTGAAATGTCCGTTTGCAGATACTACAGAAAGAGTGTTTCAAACATGCTCTATGAAAGGGAATGTTCAGTTCTGTGACGTGAATGCAAACATCACAAAGAAGTTCCTGAGAATGCTTCTCTCTAGATTTTATATGTAATTCCGTTTCCAACGAAATCCTCAAAGCTATCCAAATATCCACTTTCAGATTCCACAAAAAGAGTGTTTCAAAACTGCTCTGTAAAAAGAAAGGTTCATCTCTGTTAGTTGAATACACACATCACAAACAAGTTTCTGAGAATGCTTCTGTCTAGTTTTTATGGGAAGATATTTCCTTTTTCAACATAGGCCTCAAAGCACTCCAAACGTCCACTTCCAGGTAGTGCAGAAAGAGTGTCTCAAACCTGGTATATAACAGGGAACATTCTACTCTGTGACTTGAATGAAAACATCACAAAGCAGTTTCTGAGAATGCTTCCGTCTAGATTTTATATGAAGATATTCCCGTTTCCAACGAAACCTTCAAAGCTATCCGAATATCCACCTGCAGATTCTACAAAAAGAGTGTTTCCAAAATGCCGTATCAAAACAAAGGTTCAACTCTGTTAGTTGAGAACACACATGGCAAATAAGTTTCTGAGAATGCTTCTGTCTAGTTTTTACTTGAAGATATTTCCTTTCTCACCATAGGCCTGAAAGCGCTTGAAACGTCCGCTTGCAGATACTACAGAAGGAGTGTTTCAAACATGCTCTATGAAAGGGAATGTTCAGTTCTGTGACTTGAATGCAAACATCACAAAGAAGTTCCTGAGAATGCTTCTCTCTAGATTTTCTATGTAATCCCGTTTCCAACGAAATCCTCAAAGCTATCCAAATATCCACTTTCAGATTCCACAAAAAGAGTGTTTCAAAACTGCTCTGTAAAAAGAAAGGTTCATCTCTGTTATTTGAATACACACATCACAAACAAGTTTCTGAGAATGCTTCTGTCTAGTTTTTATGGGAAGATATTTCCTTTTTCAACATAGGCCTCAAAGCGCTGCAAATGTCCACTTCCAGGTAGTGCAGAAAGAGTGTTTCAAACCTGCTCTATAAAAGGGAATATTCAACTCTGTGACTTGAATGCAAACATCACAAAGCACTTTCTGAGAATGCTTCTGTCTTGATTTCATATGAAGATATTCCCGTTTCCAACGAAACCTTCAAAGCTATCCAAATATCCACTTGCAGATTCTACAAAAAGAGTGTTTCCAAAATGTTGTATCAAAAGAAAGGTTCAACTCTGTTAGTTGAGGACACACATCGCAAATAAGTTTCTGAGAATGCTTCTGTCTAGTTTTTATTTGAAGATATTTCCTTTCTCACCACAGGCCTGAAAGCGCTTAAAACGTCCGCTTGCAGATACTACAGAAAGAGTGTTTCAAACCTGCTCTATGAAAGGGAATGTTCAGTTCTGTGACTTGAATGCAAACATCACAAAGAAGTTCCTGAGAATGCTTCTCCCTAGATTTTATATGTAATCCCGTTTCCAACGAAATCCGCAAAGCTATCCAAATATCCACTTTCAGATTCCACAAAAAGAGTGTTTCAAAACTGCTCTGTAAAAAGAAAGGTTCATCTCTGTTAGTTGAATACACACATCACAAACAAGTTTCTGAGAATGCTTCTGTCTGGTTTTTAGGAGAAGATATTTCCTTTTTCAACATAGGCCTCAAAGCGCTGCAAATGTCCACTTCCAAATATTAGAAAAAGAGTGTTTCAAACCTGCTGTATGAAGGGAAGTGTTCAACTCTATGAGTTGAATGCAAACATCACAGAGAAGTTTCTGAGAATGCTTCTGTCTTGATTTCATATGAAGATATTCCCGTTTCCAACGAAACCTTCAAAGCTATCCAAATATCCACTTGCAGATTCTACAAAAAGAGTGTTTCCAAAATGTTGTATCAAAAGAAAGGTTCAACTCTGTTAGTTGAGGACACACATCGCAAATAAGTTTCTGAGAATGCTTCTGTCTAGTTTTTATTTGAAGATATTTCCTTTCTCACCACAGGCCTGAAAGCGCTTAAAACGTCCGCTTGCAGATACTACAGAAAGAGTGTTTCAAACCTGCTCTATGAAAGGGAATGTTCAGTTCTGTGACTTGAATGCAAACATCACAAAGAAGTTCCTGAGAATGCTTCTCTCTAGATTTTATATGTAATCCCGTTTCCAACGAAATCCTCAAAGCTATCCAAATATCCACTTTCAGATTCCACAAAAAGAGTGTTTCAAAACTGCTCTGTAAAAAGAAAGGTTCATCTCTGTTAGTTGAATACACACATCACAAACAAGTTTCTGAGAATGCTTCTGTCTAGTTTTTATGGGAAGATATTTCCTTTTTCATCATAGGCCTCAAAGCGCTCCAAATGTCCACTTCCAGGTAGTGCAGAAAGAGTGTCTCAAACCTGGTATATAACAGGGAACATTCTACTCTGTGACTTGAATGAAAACATCACAAAGCAGTTTCCTGAGAATGCTTCCGTCTAGACTTTATATGAAGATATTCCCGTTTCGAACGAAACCTTCAAAGCTATCCGTATATCCACCTGCAGATTCTACAAAAAGAGTGTTTCCAAAATGCCGTATCAAAACAAAGGTTCAACTCTGTTAGTTGAGAACACACATGGCAAATAAGTTTCTGAGAATGCTTCTGTCTAGTTTTTACTTGAAGATATTTCCTTTATCACCATAGGCCTGAAAGCGCTTGAAACGTCAGCTTGCAGATACTACAGAAAGAGTGTTTCAAACCTGCTCTATGAAAGGGAATGTTCAGTCCTGTGACTTGAAGGCAAACATCACAAAGGAGTTCCTGAGAATGCTTCTCTCTAGGTTTTATATGTAATCCCGTTTCCAACGAAATCCTCAAAGCTATCCAAATATCCACTTTCAGATTCCACAAAAAGAGTGTTTCAAAACTGCTCTGTAAAAAGAAAGGTTCATCTCTGTTAGTTGAATACACACATCACAAACAAGTTTCTGAGAATGCTTCTGTCTAGTTTTTATGGGAAGATATTTCCTTTTTCAACATAGGCCTCAAAGCGTTCCAAATGTCCACTTCCAGGTAGTGCAGAAAGAGTGTTTCAGACCTGCTCTATAAAAGGGAATATTCAACTCTGTGACTTGAATGCAAACATCACAAAGCACTTTCTGAGAATGCTTCCGTCTAGATTTTATATGAAGATATTCCCGTTTCCAACGAAACCTTCAAAGCTATCCGAATATCCACCTGCAGATTCTACAAAAAGAGTGTTTCCAAAATGCCGTATCAAAACAAAGGTTCAACTCTGTTAGTTGAGAACACACATGGCAAATAAGTTTCTGAGAATGCTTCTGTCTAGTTTTTACTTGAAGATATTTCCTTTCTCACCATAGGCCTGAAAGCGCTTGAAACGTCAGCTTGCAGATACTACAGAAAGAGTGTTTCAAACCTGCTCTATGAAAGGGAATGTTCAGTCCTGTGACTTGAAGGGAAACATCAAAAAGAAGTTCCTGAGAATGCTTCTCTCTAGGTTTTATATGTAATCCCGTTTCCAACGAAATCCTCAAAGCTATCCAAATATCCACTTTCAGATTCCACAAAAAGAGTGTTTCAAAACTGCTCTGTAAAAAGAAAGGTTCATCTCTGTTAGTTGAATACACACATCACAAACAAGTTTCTGAGAATGCTTCTGTCTAGTTTTTATGGGAAGATATTTCCTTTTTCAACATAGGCCTCAAAGCGCTCCCAATGTCCACTTCCACGTAGTGCACAGAGTGTTTCAAACCTGCTCTATAAAAGGGAACATTCTACTCTGTGACTTGAATGCAAACATCACAAAGCACTTTCTGAGAATCCTTCCGTCTAGATTTTATATGAAGATATTCCCGTTTCCAAGGAAATCTTCCTAGCTATCTAAATATCAACTTGCAGATTCTACTAAAGGAATGTTTCCAAAATGCTGTATCCACACAAAGGTTCAACTCTGTTAATTGAGGACATACAGCACAAGGAAGTTTCTGAGAATGCTTCTGTCTAGTTTTTACTTGAAGATATTTCCTTTCTCACCATAGGCCTGAAAGCGCTTGAAACGTCAGCTTGCAGATACTACAGAAAGAGTGTTTCAAACCTGCTCTATGAAAGGGAATGTTCAGTTCTGTGACTTGAATGCAAACATCACAAAGAAGTTCCTCAGAATGCTTCTCTCTAGATTTTATATGTAATCCCGTTTCCAACGAAATCCTCAAAGCTATCCAAATATCCACTTTCAGATTCCACAAAAAGAGTGTTTCAAAACTGCTCTCTAAAAAGAAAGGTTCATCTCTGTTAGTTGAATACACACATCACAAACAAGTTTCTGAGAATGCTTCCTGTCTGGTTTTTAGGAGAAGATATTTCCTTTTTCAACATAGGCCTCAAAGCGCTGCAAATGTCCACTTCCAAATATTAGAAAAAGAGTGTTTCAAACCTGCTGTATGAAGGGAAGTGTTCAACTCTATGAGTTGAATGCAAACATCACAGAGAAGTTTCTGAGAATGCTTCTGTCTTGATTTTATATGAAGATATTCCCGTTTCCAACGAAACCTACAAAGCTATCCAAATATCCACTTGCAGATTCTACAAAAACAGTGTTTCCAAAATGTTGTATCAAAAGAAAGGTTCAACTCTGTTAGTTGAGGACACACATCGCAAATAAGTTTCTGAGAATGCTTCTGTCTAGTTTTTATTTGAAGATATTTCCTTTCTCACCATAGGCCTGAAAGCGTTTGAAATGTCCGTTTGCAGATACTACAGAAAGAGTGTTTCAAACATGCTCTATGAAAGGGAATGTTCAGTTCTGTGACGTGAATGCAAACATCACAAAGAAGTTCCTGAGAATGCTTCTCTCTAGATTTTATATGTAATCCCGTTTCCAACGAAATCCTCAAAGCTATCCAAATATCCACTGTCAGATTCCACAAAAAGAGTGTTTCAAAACTGCTCTGTTAAAAGAAAGGTTCATATCTGTTAGTTGAATACACACATCACAAACAAGTTTCTGAGAATGCTTCTGTCTAGTTTTTATGGGAAGATATTTCCTTTTTCATCATAGGCCTCAAAGCGCTCCAAATGTCCACTTCCAGATAGTGCAGAAAGAGTGTCTCAAACCTGGTATATAAAAGGGAACATTCTACTCTGTGACTTGAATGAAAACATCACAAAGCAGTTTCTGAGAATGCTTCCGTCTAGATTTTCTATGAAGATATTCCCGTTTCCAACGAAACCTTCAAAGCTATCCGAATATCCACCTGCAGATTCTACAAAAAGAGTGTTTCCAAAATGTCGTATCAAAACAAAGGTTCAACTCTGTTAGTTGAGAACACACATGGCAAATAAGTTTCTGAGAATGCTTCTGTCTAGTTTTTACTTGAAGATATTTCCTTTCTCACCATAGGCCTGAAAGCGCTTGAAACGTCCGCTTGCAGATACTACAGAAAGAGTGTTTCAAACATGCTCTATGAAAGGGAATGTTCAGTTCTGTGACTTGAATGCAAACATCACAAAGAAGTTCCTGAGAATGCTTCTCTCTAGATTTTATATGTAATCCCGTTTCCAACGAAATCCTCAAAGCTATCCAAATATCCACTTTCAGATTCCACAAAAAGAGTGTTTCAAAACTGCTCTGTAAAAAGAAAGGTTCATCTCTGTTAGTTGAATACACACATCACAAACAAGTTTCTGAGAATGCTTCTGTCTAGTTTTTATGGGAAGATATTACCTTTTTCATCATAGGCCTCAAAGCGCTGCAAATGTCCACTTCCAAATATTACAAAAAGAGTGTTTCAAACCTGCTGTATGAAGGGAAGTGTTCAACTCTATGAGTTGAATGCAAACATCACAGAGAAGTTTCTGAGAATGCTTCTGTCTTGATTTTATATGAAGATATTCCCGTTTCCAAAGAAACCTTCAAAGCTATCCAAATATCCACTTGCAGATTCTACAAAAAGAGTGTTTCCAAAATGTTGTATCAAAAGAAAGGTTCAACTCTGTTAGTTGAGGACACACATCGCAAATAAGTTTCTGAGTATGCTTCTGTCTAGTTTTTATTTGAAGATATTTCCTTTCTCACCATAGGCCTGAAAGCGTTTGAAATGTCCGTTTGCAGATACTACAGAAAGAGTGTTTCAAACATGCTCTATGAAAGGGAATGTTCAGTTCTGTGACGTGAATGCAAACATCACAAAGAAGTTCCTGAGAATGCTTCTCTCTAGATTTTATATGTAATCCCGTTTCCAACGAAATCCTCAAAGCTATCCAAATATCCACTTTCAGATTCCACAAAAAGAGTGTTTCAAAACTGCTCTGTAAAAAGAAAGGTTCATCTCTGTTAGTTGAATACACACATCACAAACAAGTTTCTGAGAATGCTTCTGTCTAGTTTTTATGGGAAGATATTTCCTTTTTCATCATAGGCTTCAAAGCGCTGCAAATGTCCACTTCCAGGTAGTGCAGAAAGAGTGTCTCAAACCTGGTATATAACAGGGAACATTCTACTCTGTGACTTGAATGAAAACATCACAAAGCAGTTTCTGAGAATGCTTCCGTCAAGATTTTATATGAAGATATTCCCGTTTCCAACGAAACCTTCAAAGCTATCCGAATATCCACCTGCAGATTCTACAAAAAGAGTGTTTCCAAAATGCCGTATCAAAACAAAGGTTCAACTCTGTTAGTTGAGAACACACATGGCAAATAAGTTTCTGAGAATGCTTCTGTCTAGTTTTTACTTGAAGATATTTCCTTTCTCACCATAGGCCTGAAAGCGCTTGAAACGTCAGCTTGCAGATACTACAGAAAGAGTGTTTCAAACCTGCTCTATGAAAGGGAATGTTCAGTCCTGTGACTTGAAGGCAAACATCACAAAGAAGTTCCTGAGAATGCTTCTCTCTAGGTTTTATATGTAATCCCGTTTCCAACGAAATCCTCAAAGCTATCCAAATATCCACTTTCAGATTCCACAAAAAGAGTGTTTCAAAACTGCTCTGTAAAAAGAAAGGTTCATCTCTGTTAGTTGAATACACACATCACAAACAAGTTTCTGAGAATGCTTCTGTCTAGTTTTTATGGGAAGATATTTCGTTTTTCAACATAGGCCTCAAAGCGTTCCAAATGTCCACTTCCAGGTAGTGCAGAAAGAGTGTTTCAAACCTGCTCTATAAAAGGGAATATTCAACTCTGTGACTTGAATGCAAACATCACAAAGCACTTTCTGAGAATGCTTCTGTCTTGATTTTATATGAAGATATTCCCGTTTCCAACGAAACCTTCAAAGCTTTTCAAATATCCACTTGCAGATTCTACAAAAAGAGTGTTTCCAAAATGTTGTATCAAAAGAAAGGTTCAACTCTGTTAGTTGAGGACACACATCGCAAATAAGTTTCTGAGAATGCTTCTGTCTAGTTTTTATTTGAAGATATTTCCTTTCTCACCATAGGCCTGAAAGCGTTTGAAATGTCCGTTTGCAGATACTACAGAAAGAGTGTTTCAAACATGCTCTATGAAAGGGAATGTTCAGTTCTGTGACGTGAATGCAAACATCACAAAGAAGTTCCTGAGAATGCTTCTGTCTAGATTTTATATGAAGATATCCCGTGTCCAACGAAATCCTCAAAGGTATCAAAATATCCACTTGCAGATTCTACAAAAAGAGTGCTTCAAAACTGCTCTGTCAAAAGGAAGGTTCAACTCTGTTACTTGAGTACACACATCACAAGGAAGTTTCTGAGAATGCTTCTGTCTGGTTTTTAGGAGAAGATATTTCCTTTTTCAACATAGGCCTCAAAGCGCTGCAAATGTCCACTTCCAAATATTAGAAAAAGAGTGTTTCAAACCTGCTGTATGAAGGGAAGTGTTCAACTCTATGAGTTGAATGCAAACATCACAGAGAAGTTTCTGAGAATGCTTCTGTCTTGATTTCATATGAAGATATTCCCGTTTCCAACGAAACCTTCAAAGCTATCCAAATATCCACTTGCAGATTCTACAAAAAGAGTGTTTCCAAAATGTTGTATCAAAAGAAAGGTTCAAGTCTGTTAGTTGAGGACACACATCGCAAATACGTTTCTGAGAATGCTTCTGTCTAGTTTTTATTTGAAGATATTTCCTTTCTCACCACAGGCCTGAAAGCGCTTAAAACGTCCGCTTGCAGATACTACAGAAAGAGTGTTTCAAACCTGCTCTATGAAAGGGAATGTTCAGTTCTGTGACTTGAATGCAAACATCACAAAGAAGTTCCTGAGAATGCTTCTCCCTAGATTTTATATGTAATCCCGTTTCCAACGAAATCCGCAAAGCTATCCAAATATCCACTTTCAGATTCCACAAAAAGAGTGTTTCAAAACTGCTCTGTAAAAAGAAAGGTTCATCTCTGTTAGTTGAATACACACATCACAAACAAGTTTCTGAGAATGCTTCCTGTCTAGTTTTTATGGGAAGATATTTCCTTTTTCATCATAGGCCTCAAAGCGCTGCAAATGTCCACTTCCAAATATTACAAAAAGAGTGTTTCAAACCTGCTGTATGAAGGGAAGTGTTCAACTCTATGAGTTGAATGCAAACATCACAGAGAAGTTTCTGAGAATGCTTCCGTCTTGATTTTATATGAAGATATTCCCGTTTCCAACGAAACCTTCAAAGCTATTCAAATATCCACTTGCAGATTCTACAAAAAGAGTGTTTCCAAAATGTTGTATCAAAAGAAAGGTTCAACTCTGTTAGTTGAGGACACACATCGCAAATAAGTTTCTGAGAATGCTTCTGTCTAGTTTTTACTTGAAGATATTTCCTTTCTCACCATAGGCCTGAAAGCGTTTGAAATGTCCGTTTGCAGATACTAAAGAAAGAGTGTTTCAAACATGCTCTATGAAACGGAATGTTCAGTTCTGTGACGTGAATGCAAACATCACAAAGAAGTTCCTGAGAATGCTTCTCTCTAGATTTTATATGTAATCCCGTTTCCAACGAAATCCTCAAAGCTATCCAAATATCCACTTTCAGATTCCACAAAAAGAGTGTTTCAAAACTGCTCTGTAAAAAGAAAGGTTCATCTCTGTTAGTTGAATACACACATCACAAACAAGTTTCTGAGAATGCTTCTGTCTAGTTTTTATGGGAAGATATTTCCTTTTTCATCATAGGCCTCAAAGCGCTGCAAATGTCCACTTCCAGGTAGTGCAGAAAGAGTGTCTCAAACCTGGTATATAACAGGGAACATTCTACTCTGTGACTTGAATGAAAACATCACAAAGCAGTTTCTGAGAATGCTTCTGTCTTGATTTTATATGAAGATATTCCCGTATCCAACGAAACCTTCAAAGCTATCCAAATATCCACTTGCAGATTCCACAAAAAGAGTGTTTCCAAAATGTTGTATCAAAAGAAAGGTTCAACTCTGTTAGTTGAGGACACACATCGCAAATAAGTTTCTGAGAATGCTTCTGTCTAGTTTTTATTTGAAGATATTTCCTTTCTCACCATAGGCCTGAAAGCGTTTGAAATGTCCGTTTGCAGATACTACAGAAAGAGTGTTTCAAACATGCTCTATGAAAGGGAATGTTCAGTTCTGTGACGTGAATGCAAACATCACAAAGAAGTTCCTGAGAATGCTTCTCTCTAGGTTTTATATGTAATCCCGTTTCCAACGAAATCCTCAAAGCTATCCAAATATCCACTTTCAGATTCCACAAAAAGAGTGTTTCAAAACTGCTCTGTAAAAAGAAAGGTTCATCTCTGTTAGTTGAATACACACATCACAAACAAGTTTCTGAGAATGCTTCTGTCTAGTTTTTATGGGAAGATATTTCCTTTTTCAACATAGGCCCCAAAGCGCTCCAAACGTCCACTTCCAGGTAGTGCAGAAAGAGTGTCTCAAACCTGGTATATAACAGGGAACATTCTACTCTATGACTTGAATGAAAACATCACAAAGCAGTTTCTGAGAATGCTTCCGTCTAGATTTTATATGAAGATATTCCCGTTTCCAACGAAACCTTCAAAGCTATCCGAATATCCACCTGCAGATTCTACAAAAAGAGTGTTTCCAAAATGCCGTATCAAAACAAAGGTTCAACTCTGTTAGTTGAGAACACACATGGCAAATAAGTTTCTGAGAATGCTTCTGTCTAGTTTTTACTTGAAGATATTTCCTTTCTCACCATAGGCCTGAAAGCGCTTGAAACGTCAGCTTGCAGATACTACAGAAAGAGTGTTTCAAACCTGCTCTATGAAAGGGAATGTTTAGTCCTGTGACTTGAAGGCAAACATCACAAAGAAGTTCCTGAGAATGCTTCTCTCTAGGTTTTATATGTAATCCCGTTTCCAACGAAATCCTCAAAGCTATCCAAATATCCACTTTCAGATTCCACAAAAAGAGTGTTTCAAAACTGCTCTGTAAAAAGAAAGGTTCATCTCTGTTAGTTGAATACACACATCACAAACAAGTTTCTGAGAATGCTTCTGTCTAGTTTTTATGGGAAGATATTTCCTTTTTCAACATAGGCCTCAAAGCGCTCCAAATGTCCACTTCCAGATAGTGCAGAAAGAGTGTCACAAACCTGGTATATAAAAGGGAACATTCTACACTGTGACTTGAATGAAAACATCACAAAGCACTTTCTGAGAATGCTTCTGTCTTGATTTCATATGAAGATATTCCCGTTTCCAACGAAACCTTCAAAGCTATCCAAATATCCACTTGCAGATTCTACAAAAAGAGTGTTTCCAAAATGTTGTATCAAAAGAAAGGTTCAACTCTGTTAGTTGAGGACACACATCGCAAATAAGTTTCTGAGAATGCTTCTGTCTAGTTTTTATTTGAAGATATTTCCTTTCTCACCACAGGCCTGAAAGCGCTTAAAACGTCCGCTTGCAGATACTACAGAAAGAGTGTTTCAAACCTGTTCTATGAAAGGGAATGTTCAGTTCTGTGACTTGAATGCAAACATCACAAAGAAGTTCCTGAGAATGCTTCTCCCTAGATTTTATATGTAATCCCGTTTCCAACGAAATCCGCAAAGCTATCCAAATATCCACTTTCAGATTCCACAAAAAGAGTGTTTCAAAACTGCTCTGTAAAAAGAAAGGTTCATCTCTGTTAGTTGAATACACACATCACAAACAAGTTTCTGAGAATGCTTCTGTCTGGTTTTTAGGAGAAGATATTTCCTTTTTCAACATAGGCCTCAAAGCGCTGCAAATGTCCACTTCCAAATATTAGAAAAAGAGTGTTTCAAACCTGCTGTATGAAGGGAAGTGTTCAACTCTATGAGTTGAATGCAAACATCACAGAGAAGTTTCTGAGAATGCTTCTGTCTTGATTTCATATGAAGATATTCCCGTTTCCAACGAAACCTTCAAAGCTATCCAAATATCCACTTGCAGATTCTACAAAAAGAGTGTTTCCAAAATGTTGTATCAAAAGAAAGGTTCAACTCTGTTAGTTGAGGACACACATCGCAAATAAGTTTCTGAGAATGCTTCTGCCTAATTTTTATTTGAAGATATTTCCTTTCTCACCACAGGCCTGAAAGCGCTTAAAACGTCCGCTTGCAGATACTACAGAAAGAGTGTTTCAAACCTGCTCTATGAAAGGGAATGTTCAGTTCTGTGACTTGAATGCAAACATCACAAAGAAGTTCCTGAGAATGCTCTTCTCCCTAGGATTTTATATGTAATCCCGTTTCCAACGAAATCCGCAAAGCTATCCAAATATCCACTTTCAGATTCCACAAAAAGAGTGTTTCAAAACTGCTCTGTAAAAAGAAAGGTTCATCTCTGTTAGTTGAATACACACATCACAAACAAGTTTCTGAGAATGCTTCTGTCTAGTTTTTATGGGAAGATATTACCTTTTTCATCATAGGCCTCAAAGCGCTGCAAATGTCCACTTCCAAATATTACAAAAAGAGGGTTTCAAACCTGCTGTATGAAGGGAAGTGTTCAACTCTATGAGTTGAATGCAAACATCACAGAGAAGTTTCTGAGAATGCTTCTGTCTTGATTTTATATGAAGATATTCCCGTTTCCAACGAAACCTTCAAAGCTATTCAAATATCCACTTGCAGATTCTACAAAAAGAGTGTTTCCAAAATGTTGTATCAAAAGAAAGGTTCAACTCTGTTAGTTGAGGACACACATCGCAAATAAGTTTCTGAGAATGCTTCTGTCTAGTTTTTACTTGAAGATATTTCCTTTCTCACCATAGGCCTGAAAGTGTTTGAAATGTCCGTTTGCAGATACTACAGAAAGAGTGTTTCAAACATGCTCTATGAAAGGGAATGTTCAGTTCTGTGACGTGAATGCAAACATCACAAAGAAGTTCCTGAGAATGCTTCTCTCTAGATTTTATATGTAATCCCGTTTCCAACGAAATCCTCAAAGCTATCCAAATATCCACTTTCAGATTCCACAAAAAGAGTGTTTCAAAACTGCTCTGTAAAAAGAAAGGTTCATCTCTGTTAGTTGAATACACACATCACAAACAAGTTTCTGAGAATGCTTCTGTCTAGTTTTTATGGGAAGATATTTCCTTTTTCATCATAGGCCTCAAAGCGCTCCAAATGTCCACTTCCAGATAGTGCAGAAAGAGTGTCTCAAACCTGGTATATAAAAGGGAACATTCTACTCTGTGGCTTGAATGAAAACATCACAAAGCAGTTTCTGAGAATGCTTCCGTCTAGATTTTATATGAAGATATTCCCGTTTCCAACGAAACTTTCAAAGCTATCCGAATATCCACGTGCAGATTCTACAAAAAGAGTGTTTCCAAAATGCCGTATCAAAACAAAGGTTCAACTCTGTTAGTTGAGAACACACATGGCAAATAAGTTTCTGAGAATGCTTCTGTCTAGTTTTTATTTGAAGATATTTCCTTTCTCACCATAGGCCTGAAAGCGTTTGAAATGTCCGTTTGTAGATACTACAGAAAGAGTGTTTCAAACATGCTCTATGAAAGGGAATGTTCAGTTCTGTGACGTGAATGCAAACATCACAAAGAAGTTCCTGAGAATGCTTCTCTCTAGATTTTATATGTAATCCCGTTTCCAACGAAATCCTCAAAGCTATCCAAATATCCACTTTCAGATTCCACAAAAAGAGTGTTTCAAAACTGCTCTGTAAAAAGAAAGGTTCATCTCTGTTAGTTGAATACACACATCACAAACAAGTTTCTGAGAATGCTTCTGTCTAGTTTTTATGGGAAGATATTTCCTTTTTCATCATAGGCCTCAAAGCGCTCCAAATGTCCACTTCCAGGTAGTGCAGAAAGAGTGTCTCAAACCTGGTATATAACAGGGAACATTCTACTCTGTGACTTGAATGAAAACATCACAAAGCAGTTTCTGAGAATGCTTCTGTCTTGATTTCATATGAAGATATTCCCGTTTCCAACGAAACCTTCAACGTTATCCAAATATCCACGTGCAGATTCTACAAAAAGAGTGTTTCCAAAATGTTGTATCAAAAGAAAGGTTCAACTCTGTTAGTTGAGGACACACATCGCAAATAAGTTTCTGAGAATGCTTCTGTCTAGTTTTTATTTGAAGATATTTCCTTTCTCACCACAGGCCTGAAAGCGCTTAAAACGTCCGCTTGCAGATACTACAGAAAGAGTGTTTCAAACCTGCTCTATGAAAGGGAATGTTCAGTTCTGTGACTTGAATGCAAACATCACAAAGAAGTTCCTGAGAATGCTTCTCCCTAGATTTTATATGTAATCCCGTTTCCAACGAAATCCGCAAAGCTATCCAAATATCCACTTTCAGATTCCACAAAAAGAGTGTTTCAAAACTGCTCTGTAAAAAGAAAGGTTCATCTCTGTTAGTTGAATACACACATCACAAACAAGTTTCTGAGAATGCTTCTGTCTGGTTTTTAGGAGAAGATATTTCCTTTTTCAACATAGGCCTCAAAGCGCTGCAAATGTCCACTTCCAAATATTAGAAAAAGAGTGTTTCAAACCTGCTGTATGAAGGGAAGTGTTCAACTCTATGAGTTGAATGCAAACATCACAGAGAAGTTTCTGAGAATGCTTCTGTCTTGATTTCATATGAAGATATTCCCGTTTCCAACGAAACCTTCAAAGCTATCCAAATATCCACTTGCAGATTCTACAAAAAGAGTGTTTCCAAAATGTTGTATCAAAAGAAAGGTTCAACTCTGTTAGTTGAGGACACACATCGCAAATAAGTTTCTGAGAATGCTTCTGTCTAGTTTTTATTTGAAGATATTTCCTTTCTCACCACAGGCCTGAAAGCGCTTAAAACGTCCGCTTGCAGATACTACAGAAAGAGTGTTTCAAACCTGCTCTATGAAAGGGAATGTTGAGTTCTGTGACTTGAATGCAAACATCATAAAGAAGTTCCTGAGAATGCTTCTCCCTAGATTTTATATGTAATCCCGTTTCCAACGAAATCCGCAAAGCTATCCAAATATCCACTTTCAGATTCCACAAAAAGAGTGTTTCAAAACTGCTCTGTAAAAAGAAAGGTTCATCTCTGTTAGTTGAATACACACATCACAAACAAGTTTCTGAGAATGCTTCCTGTCTAGTTTTTATGGGAAGATATTTCCTTTTTCATCATAGGCCTCAAAGCGCTGCAAATGTCCACTTCCAAATATTACAAAAAGAGTGTTTCAAACCTGCTGTATGAAGGGAAGTGTTCAACTCTATGAGTTGAATGCAAACATCACAGAGAAGTTTCTGAGAATGCTTCCGTCTAGATTTTATATGAAGATATTCCCGTTTCCAACGAAACCTTCAAAGCTATCCGAATATCCACCTGCAGATTCTACAAAAAGAGTGTTTCCAAAATGCCGTATCAAAACAAAGGTTCAACTGCTGTTAGTTGAGAACACACATGGCAAATAAGTTTCTGAGAATGCTTCTGTCTAGTTTTTACTTGAAGATATTTCCTTTCTCACCATAGGCCTGAAAGCGCTTGAAACGTCAGCTTGCAGATACTACAGAAAGAGTGTTTCAAACCTGCTCTATGAAAGGGAATGTTCAGTTCTGTGACTTGAATGCAAACATCACAAAGAAGTTCCTGAGAATGCTTCTCTCTAGGTTTTATATGTAATCCCGTTTCCAACGAAATCCTCAAAGCTATCCAAATATCCACTTTCAGATTCCACAAAAAGAGTGTTTCAAAACTGCTCTGTAAAAAGAAAGGTTCATCTCTGTTAGTTGAATACACACATCACAAACAAGTTTCTGAGAATGCTTCTGTCTGGTTTTTAGGAGAAGATATTTCCTTTTTCAACATAGGCCTCAAAGCGCTGCAAATGTCCACTTCCAAATATTACAAAAAGAGTGTTTCAAACCTGCTGTATGAAGGGAAGTGTTCAACTCTATGAGTTGAATGCAAACATCACAGAGAAGTTTCTGAGAATGCTTCTGTCTTGATTTTATATGAAGATATTCCCGTTTCCAAAGAAACCTTCAAAGCTATCCAAATATCCACTTGCAGATTCTACAAAAAGAGTGTTTCCAAAATGTTGTATCAAAAGAAAGGTTCAACTCTGTTAGTTGAGGAAACACATCGCAAACAAGTTTCTGAGAATGCTTCTGTCTGGTTTTTAGGAGAAGATATTTCCTTTTTCAACATAGGCCTCAAAGCGCTGCAAATGTCCACTTCCAAATATTACAAAAAGAGTGTTTCAAACCTGCTCTATGAAGGGAAGTGTTCACCTCTATGAGTTGAATGCAAACATCACAGAGAAGTTTCTGAGAATGCTTCTGTCTTGATTTTATATGAAGATATTCCCGTTTCCAACGAAACCTTCAAAGCTATCCAAATATTCACTTGCAGATTCTACTAAAAGAGTGTTTCCAAAATGTTGTATCAAAACAAAGGTTCAACTCTGTTAGTTGAGGACACACATCGCAAATAAGTTTCTGAGAATGCTTCTGTCTAGTTTTTATTTGAAGATATTTCCTTTCTCACCATAGGCCTGAAAGCGCTTGAAATGTCCGTTTGCAGATACTACAGAAAGAGTGTTTCAAACATGCTCTATGAAAGGGAATGTTCAGTTCTGTGACGTGAATGCAAACATCACAAAGAAGTTCCTGAGAATGCTTCTCTCTAGATTTTATATGTAATCCCGTTTCCAACGAAATCCTCAAAGCTATCCAAATATTCACTTTCAGATTCCACAAAAAGAGTGTTTCAAAACTGCTCTGTAAAAAGAAAGGTTCATCTCTGTTAGTTGAATACACACATCACAAACAAGTTTCTGAGAATGCTTCCTGTCTAGTTTTTATGGGAAGATATTTCCTTTTTCATCATAGGCCTCAAAGCGCTGCAAATGTCCACTTCCAAATATTACAAAAAGAGTGTTTCAAACCTGCTGTATGAAGGGAAGTGTTCAACTCTATGAGTTGAATGCAAACATCACAGAGAAGTTTCTGAGAATGCTTTCTGTCTTGATTTCATATGAAGATATTCCCGTTTCCAACGAAACCTTCAAAGCTATCCAAATATCCACTTGCAGATTCTACAAAAAGAGTGTTTCCAAAATGTTGTATCAAAAGAAAGGTTCAACTCTGTTAGTTGAGGACACACATCGCAAATAAGTTTCTGAGAATGCTTCTGTCTAGTTTTTATTTGAAGATATTTCCTTTCTCACCACAGGCCTGAAAGCGCTTAAAACGTCCGCTTGCAGATACTACAGAAAGAGTGTTTCAAACCTGCTCTATGAAAGGGAATGTTCAGTTCTGTGACTTGAATGCAAACATCACAAAGAAGTTCCTGAGAATGCTTCTCCCTAGATTTTATATGTAATCCCGTTTCCAACGAAATCCGCAAAGCTATCCAAATATCCACTTTCAGATTCCACAAAAAGAGTGTTTCAAAACTGCTCTGTAATAAGAAAGGTTCATCCCTGTTAGTTGAATACACACATCACAAACAAGTTTCTGAGAATGCTTCTGTCTAGTTTTTATGGGAAGATATTTCCTTTTTCAACATAGGCCTCAAAGCGCTCCAAACGTCCACTTCCAGGTAGTGCAGAAAGAGTGTCTCAAACCTGGTATATAACAGGGAACATTCTACTCTGTGACTTGAATGAAAACATCACAAAGCAGTTTCTGAGAATGCTTCTGTCTTGATTTTATATGAAGATATTCCCGTTTCCAACGAAACCTTCAAAGCTATTCAAATATCCACTTGCACATTCTACAAAAAGAGTGTTTCCAAAATGTTGTATCAAAAGAAAGGTTCAACTCTGTTAGTTGAGGACACACATCGCAAATAAGTTTCTGAGAATGCTTCTGTCTAGTTTTTACTTGGAGATATTTCCTTTCTCACCATAGGCCTGAAAGCGTTTGAAATGTCCGTTTGCAGATACTACAGAAAGAGTGTTTCAAACATGCTCTATGAAAGGGAATGTTCAGTTCTGTGACGTGAATGCAAACATCACAAAGAAGTTCCTGAGAATGCTTCTCTCTAGGTTTTATATGTAATCCCGTTTCCAACGAAATCCTCAAAGCTATCCAAATATCCACTTTCAGATTCCACAAAAAGAGTGTTTCAAAACTGCTCTGTAAAAAGAAAGGTTCATCTCTGTTAGTTGAATACACACATCACAAACAAGTTTCTGAGAATGCTTCTGTCTAGTTTTTATGGGAAGATATTACCTTTTTCATCATAGGCTTCAAAGCGCTGCAAAAGTCCACTTCCAAATATTAGAAAAAGAGTGTTTCAAACCTGCTGTATGAAGGGAAGTGTTCAACTCTATGAGTTGAATGCAAACATCACAGAGAAGTTTCTGAGAATGCTTCTGTCTTGATTTTATATGAAGATATTCCCGTTTCCAACGAAACCTTCAAAGCTATCCAAATATCCACTTGCAGATTCCACAAAAAGAGTGTTTCCAAAATGTTGTATCAAAAGAAAGGTTCAACTCTGTTAGTTGAGGACACACATCGCAAATAAGTTTCTGAGAATGCTTCTGTCTAGTTTTTACTTGAAGATATTTCCTTTCTCACCATAGGCCTGAAAGCGCTTGAAACGTCAGCTTGCAGATACTACAGAAAGAGTGTTTCAAACCTGCTCTATGAAAGGGAATGTTCAGTTCTGTGACTTGAATGCAAACATCACAAAGAAGTTCCTGAGAATGCTTCTCTCTAGGTTTTATATGTAATCCCGTTTCCAACGAAATCCTCAAAGCTATCCAAATATCCACTTTCAGATTCCACAAAAAGAGTGTTTCAAAACTGCTCTGTAAAAAGAAAGGTTCATCTCTGTTAGTTGAATACACACATCACAAACAAGTTTCTGAGAATGCTTCTGTCTAGTTTTTATGGGAAGATATTTCCTTTTTCATCATAGGCCTCAAAGCGCTCCAAATGTCCACTTCCAGGTAGTGCAGAAATAGTGTCTCAAACCTGGTATATAACAGGGAACATTCTACTCTGTGACTTGAATGAAAACATCACAAAGCAGTTTCTGAGAATGCTTCCGTCTAGATTTTATATGAAGATATTCCCGTTTCCAACGAAACCTTCAAAGCTATCCGAATATCCACCTGCAGATTCTACAAAAAGAGTGTTTCCAAAATGCCGTATCAAAACAAAGGTTCAACTCTGTTAGTTGAGAACACACATGGCAAATAAGTTTCTGAGAATGCTTCTGTCTAGTTTTTACTTGAAGATATTTCCTTTCTCACCATAGGCCTGAAAGCGCTTGAAACGTCAGCTTGCAGATACTACAGAAGGAGTGTTTCAAACCTGCTCTATGAAAGGGAATGTTCAGTCCTGTGACTTGAAGGCAAACATCACAAAGAAGTTCCTGAGAATGCTTCTCTCTAGGTTTTATATGTAATCCCGTTTCCAACGAAATCCTCAAAGCTATCCAAATATCCACTTTCAGATTCCACAAAAAGAGTGTTTCAAAACTGCTCTGTAAAAAGAAAGGTTCATCTCTGTTAGTTGAATACACACATCACAAACAAGTTTCTGAGAATGCTTCTGTCTAGTTTTTATGGGATGATATTTCCTTTTTCAACATAGGCCTCAAAGCACTCCAAACGTCCACTTCCATGTAGTGCAGAAAGAGTGTTTCAAACCTGGTATATAACAGGGAACATTCTACTCTGTGACTTGAATGAAAACATCACAAAGCAGTTTCTGAGAATGCTTCCGTCTAGATTTTATATGAAGATATTCCCGTTTCCAACGAAACCTTCAAAGCTATCCGAATATCCACCTGCAGATTCTACAAAAAGAGTGTTTCCAAAATGCCATATCAAAACAAAGGTTCAACTCTGTTAGTTGAGAACACACATGGCAAATAAGTTTCTGAGAATGCTTCTCTGTCTAGTTTTTACTTGAAGCATATTTCCTTTCTCACCATAGGCCTGAAAGCGCTTGAAACGTCAGCTTGCAGATACTACAGAAAGAGTGTTTCAAACCTGCTCTATGAAAGGGAATGTTCAGTCCTGTGACTTGAAGGCAAACATCACAAAGAAGTTCCTGAGAATGCTTCTCTCTAGGTTTTATATGTAATCCCGTTTCCAACGAAATCCTCAAAGCTATCCAAATATCCACTTTCAGATTCCACAAAAAGAGTGTTTCAAAACTGCTCTGTAAAAAGAAAGGTTCATCTCTGTTAGTTGAATACACACATCACAAACAAGTTTCTGAGAATGCTTCTGTCTAGTTTTTATGGGAAGATATTTCGTTTTTCAACATAGGCCTCAAAGCGCTCCAAATGTCCACTTCCAGGTAGTGCAGAAAGAGTGTTTCAAACCTGCTCTATAAAAGGGAATATTCAACTCTGTGACTTGAATGCAAACATCACAAAGCACTTTCTGAGAATGCTTCTGTCTAGTTTTTATTTGAAGATATTCCCGTTTCCAACGAAACCTTCAAAGCTATTCAAATATCCACTTGCAGATTCTACAAAAAGAGTGTTTCCAAAATGTTGTATCAAAAGAAAGGTTCAACTCTGTTAGTTGAGGACACACATCGCAAATAAGTTTCTGAGAATGCTTCTGTCTAGTTTTTATTTGAAGATATTTCCTTTCTCACCACAGGCCTGAAAGCGCTTAAAACGTCCGCTTGCAGATACTACAGAAAGAGTGTTTCAAACCTGCTCTATGAAAGGGAATGTTCAGTTCTGTGACTTGAATGCAAACATCACAAAGAAGTTCCTGAGAATGCTTCTCTCTAGGTTTTATATGTAATCCCGTTTCCAACGAAATCCTCAAAGCTATCCAAATATCCACTTTCAGATTCCACAAAAAGAGTGTTTCAAAACTGCTCTGTAAAAAGAAAGGTTCATCTCTGTTAGTTGAATACACACATCACAAACAAGTTTCTGAGAATGCTTCTGTCTAGTTTTTATGGGAAGATATTTCCTTTTTCAACAAAGGCCTCAAAGCGCTCCAAACGTCCACTTCCAGGTAGTGCAGAAAGAGTGTCTCAAACCTGGTATATAACAGGGAACATTCTACTCTGTGACTTGAATGAAAACATCACAAAGCAGTTTCTGAGAATGCTTCCGTCTAGATTTTATATGAAGATATTCCCGTTTCCAACGAAACCTTCAAAGCTATCCGAATATCCACCTGCAGATTCTACAAAAAGAGTGTTTCCAAAATGCCGTATCAAAACAAAGGTTCAACTCTGTTAGTTGAGAACACACATGGCAAATAAGTTTCTGAGAATGCTTCTGTCTAGTTTTTACTTGAAGATATTTCCTTTCTCACCATAGGCCTGAAAGCGCTTGAAACGTCAGCTTGCAGATACTACAGAAAGAGTGTTTCAAACCTGCTCTATGAAAGGGAATGTTCAGTTCTGTGACTTGAATGCAAACATCACAAAGAAGTTCCTGAGAATGCTTCTCTCTAGGTTTTATATGTAATCCCGTTTCCAACGAAATCCTCAAAGCTATCCAAATATCCACTTTCAGATTCCACAAAAAGAGTGTTTCAAAACTGCTCTGTAAAAAGAAAGGTTCATCTCTGTTAGTTGAATACACACATCACAAACAAGTTTCTGAGAATGCTTCTGTCTAGTTTTTATGGGAAGATATTTCCTTTTTCAACATAGGCCTCAAAGCGCTCCAAACGTCCACTTCCAGGTAGTGCAGAAAGAGTGTCTCAAACCTGGTATATAACAGGGAACATTCTACTCTGTGACTTGAATGAAAACATCACAAAGCAGTTTCTGAGAATGCTTCTGTCTTGATTTCATATGAAGATATTCCCGTTTCCAACGAAACCTTCAAAGCTATCCAAATATCCACTTGCAGATTCTACAAAAAGAGTGTTTCCAAAATGTTGTATCAAAAGAAAGGTTCAACTCTGTTAGTTGAGGACACACATCGCAAATAAGTTTCTGAGAATGCTTCTGTCTAGTTTTTATTTGAAGATATTTCCTTTCTCACCATAGGCCTGAAAGCGTTTGAAATGTCCGTTTGTAGATACTACAGAAAGAGTGTTTCAAACATGCTCTATGAAAGGGAATGTTCAGTTCTGTGACGTGAATGCAAACATCACAAAGAAGTTCCTGAGAATGCTTCTCTCTAGATTTTATATGTAATCCCGTTTCCAACGAAATCCTCAAAGCTATCCAAATATCCACTTTCAGATTCCACAAAAAGAGTGTTTCAAAACTGCTCTGTAAAAAGAAAGGTTCATCTCTGTTAGTTGAATACACACATCACAAACAAGTTTCTGAGAATGCTTCTGTCTAGTTTTTATGGGAAGATATTTCCTTTTTCAACATAGGCCTCAAAGCGCTCCAAACGTCCACTTCCAGGTAGTGCAGAAAGAGTGTCTCAAACCTGGTATATAACAGGGAACATTCTACTCTGTGACTTGAATGAAAACATCACAAAGCAGTTTCTGAGAATGCTTCCGTCTAGATTTTATATGAAGATATTCCCGTTTCCAACGAAACCTTCAAAGCTATCCGAATATCCACCTGCAGATTCTACAAAAAGAGTGTTTCCAAAATGCCATATCAAAACAAAGGTTCAACTCTGTTAGTTGAGAACACACATCGCAAATAAGTTTCTGAGAATGCTTCTGTCTAGTTTTTACTTGAAGATATTTCCTTTCTCACCATAGGCCTGAAAGCGCTTGAAACGTCAGCTTGCAGATACTACAGAAAGAGTGTTTCAAACCTGCTCTATGAAAGGGAATGTTGAGTTCTGTGACTTGAATGCAAACATCACAAAGAAGTTCCTGAGAATGCTTCTCTCTAGGTTTTATATGTAATCCCGTTTCCAACGAAATCCTCAAAGCTATCCAAATATCCACTTTCAGATTCCACAAAAAGAGTGTTTCAAAACTGCTCTGTAAAAAGAAAGGTTCATCTCTGTTAGTTGAATACACACATCACAAACAAGTTTCTGAGAATGCTTCTGTCTGGTTTTTAGGAGAAGATATTTCCTTTTTCAACATAGGCCTCAAAGCGCTGCAAATCTCCACTTCCAAATATTACAAAAAGAGTGTTTCAAACCTGCTGTATGAAGGGAAGCGTTCAACTCTATGAGTTGAATGCAAACATCACAGAGAAGTTTCTGAGAATGCTTCTGTCTTGATTTCATATGAAGATATTCCCGTTTCCAACGAAACCTTCAAAGCTATCCAAATATCCACTTGCAGATTCTACAAAAAGAGTGTTTCCAAAATGTTGTATCAAAAGAAAGGTTCAACTCTGTTAGTTGAGGACACACATCGCAAATAAGTTTCTGAGAATGCTTCTGTCTAGTTTTTATTTGAAGATATTTCCTTTCTCACCACAGGCCTGAAAGCGCTTAAAACGTCCGCTTGCAGATACTACAGAAAGAGTGTTTCAAACCTGCTCTATGAAAGGGAATGTTCAGTTCTGTGACTTGAATGCAAACATCACAAAGAAGTTCCTGAGAATGCTTCTCCCTAGATTTTATATGTAATCCCGTTTCCAACGAAATCCGCAAAGCTATCCAAATATCCACTTTCAGATTCCACAAAAAGAGTGTTTCAAAACTGCTCTGTAAAAAGAAAGGTTCATCTCTGTTAGTTGAATACACACATCACAAACAAGTTTCTGAGAATGCTTCTGTCTAGTTTTTATGGGAAGATATTACCTTTTTCATCATAGGCGTCAAAGCGCTGCAAATGTCCACTTCCAAATATTACAAAAAGAGTGTTTCAAACCTGCTGTATGAAGGGAAGTGTTCAACTCTATGAGTTGAATGCAAACATCACAGAGAAGTTTCTGAGAATGCTTCTGTCTTGATTTTATATGAAGATATTCCCGTTTCCAACGAAACCTTCAAAGCTATTCAAATATCCACTTGCAGATTCTACAAAAAGAGTGTTTCCAAAATGTTGTATCAAAAGAAAGGTTCAACTCTGTTAGTTGAGGACACACATCGCAAATAAGTTTCTGAGAATGCTTCTGTCTAGTTTTTATTTGAAGATATTTCCTTTCTCACCATAGGCCTGAAAGCGTTTGAAATGTCCGTTTGCAGATACTACAGAAAGAGTGTTTCAAACATGCTCTATGAAAGGGAATGTTCAGTTCAGTGACGTGAATGCAAACATCACAAAGAAGTTCCTGAGAATGCTTCTCTCTAGATTTTATATGTAATCCCGTTTCCAACGAAATCCTCAAAGCTATCCAAATATCCACTTTCAGATTCCACAAAAAGAGTGTTTCAAAACTGCTCTGTAAAAAGAAAGGTTCATCTCTGTTAGTTGAATACACACATCACAAACAAGTTTCTGAGAATGCTTCTGTCTAGTTTTTATGGGATGATATTTCCTTTTTCAACATAGGCCTCAAAGCGCTCCAAACGTCCACTTCCATGTAGTGCAGAAAGAGTGTCTCAAACCTGGTATATAACAGGGAGACATTCTACTCTGTGACTTGAATGAAAACATCACAAAGCAGTTTCTGAGAATGCTTCCGTCTAGATTTTATATGAAGATATTCCCGTTTCCAACGAAACCTTCAAAGCTATCCGAATATCCACCTGCAGATTCTACAAAAAGAGTGTTTCCAAAATGCCATATCAAAACAAAGGTTCAACTCTGTTAGTTGAGAACACACATCGCAAATAAGTTTCTGAGAATGCTTCTGTCTAGTTTTTATTTGAAGATATTTCCTTTCTCACCATAGGCCTGAAAGCGTTTGAAATGTCCGTTTGCAGATACTACAGAAAGAGTGTTTCAAACCTGCTCTATGAAAGGGAATGTTCAGTTCTGTGACGTGAATGCAAACATCACAAAGAAGTTCCTGAGAATGCTTCTCTCTAGATTTTATATGTAATCCCGTTTCCAACGAAATCCTCAAAGCTATCCAAATATCCACTTTCAGATTCCACAAAAAGAGTGTTTCAAAACTGCTCTGTAAAAAGAAAGGTTCATCTCTGTTAGTTGAATACACACATCACAAACAAGTTTCTGAGAATGCTTCTGTCTAGTTTTTATGGAAAGATATTTCCTTTTTCATCATAGGCCTCAAAGCGCTGCAAATGTCCACTTCCAGGTAGTGCAGAAAGAGTGTCTGAAACCTGGTATATAACAGGGAAGATTCTACTCTGTGACTTGAATGAAAACATCACAAAGCAGTTTCTGAGAATGCTTCCGTCTAGATTTTATATGAAGATATTCCCGTTTCCAACGAAACCTTCAAAGCTATCCGAATATCCACCTGCAGATTCTACAAAAAGAGTGTTTCCAAAATGCCGTATCAAAACAAAGGTTCAACTCTGTTAGTTGAGAACACACATGGCAAATAAGTTTCTGAGAATGCTTCTGTCTAGTTTTTACTTGAAGATATTTCCTTTCTCACCATAGGCCTGAAAGCGCTTGAAACGTCAGCTTGCAGATACTACAGAAAGAGTGTTTCAAACATGCTCTATGAAAGGGAATGTTCAGTCCTGTGACTTGAAGGCAAACATCAAAAAGAAGTTCCTGAGAATGCTTCTCTCTAGGTTTTATATGTAATCCCGTTTCCAACGAAATCCTCAAAGCTATCCAAATATCCACTTTCAGATTCCACAAAAAGAGTGTTTCAAAACTGCTCTGTAAAAAGAAAGGTTCATCTCTGTTAGTTGAATACACACATCACAAACAAGTTTCTGAGAATGCTTCTGTCTAGTTTTTATGGGAAGATATTTCCTTTTTCAACATAGGCCTCAAAGCGCTCAAAACGTCCACTTCCAGGTAGTACAGAAAGAGTGTCTCAAACCTGGTATATAACAGGGAACATTCTACTCTGTGACTTGAATGAAAACATCACAAAGCAGTTTCTGAGAATGCTTCCGTCTAGATTTTATATGAAGATATTCCCGTTTCCAACGAAACCTTCAAAGCTATCCGAATATCCACCTGCAGATTCTAGAAAAAGAGTGTTTCCAAAATGCCATATCAAAACAAAGGTTCAACTCTGTTAGTTGAGAACACACATGGCAAATAAGTTTCTGAGAATGCTTCTGTCTAGTTTTTATTTGAAGATATTTCCTTTCTCACCATAGGCCTGAAAGCGTTTGAAACGTCCGTTTGCAGATACTACAGAAAGAGTGTTTCAAACATGCTCTATGAAAGGGAATGTTCAGTTCTGTGACGTGAATGCAAACATCACAAAGAAGTTCCTGAGAATGCTTCTCCCTAGATTTTATATGTAATCCCGTTTCCAACGAAATCCTCAAAGCTATCCAAATATCCACTTTCAGATTCCACAAAAAGAGTGTTTCAAAACTGCTCTGTAAAAAGAAAAGTTCATCTCTGTTAGTTGAATACACACATCACAAACAAGTTTCTGAGAATGCTTCTGTCTAGTTTTTATGGGAAGATATTTCCTTTTTCAACATAGGCCTCAAAGCGCTCCAAATGTCCACTTCCAGGTAGTGCACAGACTGTTTCAAACCTGCTCTATGAAAGGAAGTGTTCAACTCCATGAGTTGAATGCAAACATCACAGAGAAGTTTCTGAGAATGCTTCTGTCTTGATTTTCTATGAAGATATTCCCGTTTCCAACGAAACCTTCTAAGCTATCCAAATATCCACCTGCAGATCCTACAAAAAGAGTGTTTCCAAAATGCTGTATCAAAACAAAGGTTCAACTCTGTTAGTTGAGAACACACATCGCAAATCAGTTTCTGAGAATGCTTCTGTCTAGTCTTTATTTGAAGATATTTCCTTTTTCACCACAGGCCTGAAAGAGCTTGAAACGTCCCCTTGCAGATACTACAGAAAGTGTGTTTCAAACCTGCTCTATGAAAGGGAATGTTCAGTTCTGTGACTTGAATGCAAACATCACAAAGAAGTTCCTGAGAATGCTTCTCCTCTTAGATTTTATATGTAATCCCGTTTCCAACGAAATCCTCAAAGCTATCCAAATATCCACTTTCAGATTCCACAAAAAGAGTGTTTCAAAACTGCTCTGTAAAAAGAAAGGTTCATCTCTGTTAGTTGAATACACACATCACAAAGAAGTTTCTGAGAATACTTCTGTCTAGTTTTTATGGGAAGATATTTCCTTTTTCAACATAGGCCTCAAAGCGCTCCAAACGTCCACTTCCGGGTAGTGCAGAAAGAGTGTCTCAAACCTGGTATATAACAGGGAACATTCTACTCTGTGACTTGAATGAAAACATCACAAAGCAGTTTCTGAGAATGCTTCCGTCTAGATTTTATATGAAGATATTCCCGTTTCCAACGAAACCTTCAAAGCTATCCGAATATCCACCTGCAGATTCTACAAAAAGAGTGTTTCCAAAATGCCGTATCAAAACAAAGGTTCAACTCTGTTAGTTGAGAACACACATGGCAAATAAGTTTCTGAGAATGCTTCTGTCTAGTTTTTACTTGAAGATATTTCCTTTCTCACCATAGGCCTGAAAGCGCTTGAAACGTCAGCTTGCAGATACTACAGAAAGAGTGTTTCAAACCTGCTCTATGAAAGGGAATGTTTAGTCCTGTGACTTGAAGGCAAACATCACAAAGAAGTTCCTGAGAATGCTTCTCCCTAGATTTTATATGTAATCCCGTTTCCAACGAAATCCTCAAAGCTATCCAAATATCCACTTTCGGATTCCACAAAAAGAGTGTTTCAAAACTACTCTGTAAAAAGAAAGGTTCATCTCTGTTAGTTGAATACACACATCACAAACAAGTTTCTGAGAATGCTTCTGTCTAGTTTTTATGGGAAGATATTTCCTTTTTCATCATAGGCCTCAAAGCGCTGCAAATGTCCACTTCCAAATATTACAAAAAGAGTGTTTCAAACCTGCTGTATGAAGGGAAGTGTTCAACTCTATGAGTTGAATGCAAACATCACAGAGAAGTTTCTGAGAATGCTTCTGTCTTGATTTTATATGAAGATATTCCCGTTTCCAACCGAAACCTTCAAAGCTATCCAAATATCCACTTGCAGATTCCACAAAAAGAGTGTTTCCAAAATGTTGTATCAAAAGAAAGGTTCAACTCTGTTAGTTGAGGACACACATCGCAAATAAGTTTCTGAGAATGCTTCTGTCTAGTTTTTATTTGAAGATATTTCCTTTCTCACCATAGGCCTGAAAGCGTTTGAAATGTCCGTTTGCAGATACTACAGAAAGAGTGTTTCAAACATGCTCTATGAAAGGGAATGTTCAGTTCTGTGACGTGAATGCAAACATCACAAAGAAGTTCCTGAGAATGCTTCTCCCTAGATTTTATATGTAATCCCGTTTCCAACGAAATCCGCAAAGCTATCCAAATATCCACTTTCAGATTCCACAAAAAGAGTGTTTCAAAACTGCTCTGTAAAAAGAAAGGTTCATCTCTGTTAGTTGAATACACACATCACAAACAAGTTTGCTGAGAATGCTTCTCTGTCTAGTTTTTATGGGAAGATATTTCCTTTTTCATCATAGGCCTCAAAGCGCTGCAAATGTCCACTTCCAAATATTACAAAAAGAGTGTTTCAAACCTGCTGTATGAAGGGAAGTGTTCAACTCTATGAGTTGAATGCAAACATCACAGAGAAGTTTCTGAGAATGCTTCTGTCTTGATTTTATATGAAGATATTCCCGTTTCCAAAGAAACCTTCAAAGCTATCCAAATATCCACTTGCAGATTCTACAAAAAGAGTGTTTCCAAAATGTTGTATCAAAAGAAAGGTTCAACTCTGTTAGTTGAGGAAACACATCGCAAACAAGTTTCTGAGAATGCTTCTGTCTAGTTTTTATTTGAAGATATTTCCTTTCTCACCATAGGCCTGAAAGCGTTTGAAATGTCCGTTTGCAGATACTACAGAAAGAGTGTTTCAAACATGCTCTATGAAAGGGAATGTTCAGTTCTGTGACGTGAATGCAAACATCACAAAGAAGTTCCTGAGAATGCTTCTCTCTAGATTTTATATGTAATCCCGTTTCCAACGAAATCCTCACAGCTATCCAAATATCCACTTTCAGATTCCACAAAAAGAGTGTTTCAAAACTGCTCTGTAAAAAGAAAGGTTCATCTCTGTTAGTTGAATACACACATCACAAACAAGTTTCTGAGAATGCTTCTGTCTAGTTTTTATGGGAAGATATTTCCTTTTTCATCATAGGCCTCAAAGCGCTCCAAATGTCCACTTCCAGGTAGTGCAGAAATAGTGTCTCAAACCTGGTATATAACAGGGAACATTCTACTCTGTGACTTGAATGAAAACATCACAAAGCAGTTTCTGAGAATGCTTCCGTCTAGATTTTATGTGAAGATATTCCCGTTTCCAAGGAAATCTTCCTAGCTATCTAAATATCAACTTGCAGATTCTACTAAAGGAGTGTTTCCAAAATGCTGTATCCACACAAAGGTTCAACTCTGTTAATTGAGGACATACAGCACAAAGAAGTTTCTGAGAATGCTTCTGTCTAGATTTTATATGAAGATATCCCGTTTCCAAAGAAATCCTCAAAGGTATCCAAATATCTACTTCCAGATTCTACAAAAAGACTGTTTCAAAACGGCTCTGTCAAAAGTAAGGTTCAACTCTGTTACTTGAGTACACACATCACAAGAAAGTTTCTGAGAATGCTTCTGTCTGGTTTTTAGGAGAAGATATTTCCTTTTTCAACATAGGCCTCAAAGCGCTGCAAATGTCCACTTCCAAATATTACAAAAAGAGTGTTTCAAACCTGCTGTATGAAGGGAAGTGTTCAACTCTATGAGTTGAATGCAAACATCACAGAGAAGTTTCTGAGAATGCTTCTGTCTTGATTTCATATGAAGATATTCCCGTTTCCAACGAAACCTTCAAAGCTATCCAAATATCCACTTGCAGATTCTACAAAAAGAGTGTTTCCAAAATGTTGTATCAAAAGAAAGGTTCAACTCTGTTAGTTGAGGACACACATCGCAAATAAGTTTCTGAGAATGCTTCTGTCTAGTTTTTATTTGAAGATATTTCCTTTCTCACCACAGGCCTGAAAGCGCTTAAAACGTCCGCTTGCAGATACTACAGAAAGAGTGTTTCAAACCTGCTCTATGAAAGGGAATGTTCAGTTCTGTGACTTGAATGCAAACATCACAAAGAAGTTCCTGAGAATGCTTCTCCCTAGATTTTATATGTAATCCCGTTTCCAACGAAATCCGCAAAGCTATCCAAATATCCACTTTCAGATTCCACAAAAAGAGTGTTTCAAAACTGCTCTGTAAAAAGAAAGGTTCATCTCTGTTACTTGAATACACACATCACAAACAAGTTTCTGAGAATGCTTCTGTCTGGTTTTTAGGAGAAGATATTTCCTTTTTCAACATAGGCCTCAAAGCGCTGCAAATGTCCACTTCCAAATATTACAAAAAGAGTGTTTCAAACCTGCTGTATGAAGGGAAGTGTTCAACTCTATGAGTTGAATGCAAACATCACAGAGAAGTTTCTGAGAATGCTTCTGTCTTGATTTCATATGAAGATATTCCCGTTTCCAACGAAACCTTCAAAGTTATCCAAATATCCGCTTGCAGATTCTACAAAAAGAGTGTTTCCAAAATGTTGTATCAAAAGAAAGGTTCAACTCTGTTAGTTGAGGACACACATCGCAAATAAGTTTCTGAGAATGCTTCTGTCTAGTTTTTATTTGAAGATATTTCCTTTCTCACCACAGGCCTGAAAGCGCTTAAAACGTCCGCTTGCAGATACTACAGAAAGAGTGTTTCAAACCTGCTCTATGAAAGGGAATGTTCAGTTCTGTGACTTGAATGCAAACATCACAAAGAAGTTCCTGAGAATGCTTCTCCCTAGATTTTATATGTAATCCCGTTTCCAACGAAATCCGCAAAGCTATCCAAATATCCACTTTCAGATTCCACAAAAAGAGTGTTTCAAAACTGCTCTGTAAAAAGAAAGGTTCATCTCTGTTAGTTGAATACACACATCACAAACAAGTTTCTGAGAATGCTTCTGTCTAGTTTTTATGGGAAGTTATTTCCTTTTTCAACATAGGCCTCAAAGCGCTCCAAATGTCCACTTCCAGGTAGTGCAGAAAGAGTGTTTCAAACCTACTCTATAAAAGGGAATATTCAACTCTGTGACTTGAATGCAAACATCACAAAGCACTTTCTGAGAATGCTTCTGTCTTGATTTTATATGAAGATATTCCCGTTTCCAACGAAACCTTCAAAGCTATTCAAATATCCACTTGCAGATTCTACAAAAAGAGTGTTTCCAAAATGTTGTATCAAAAGAAAGGTTCAACTCTGTTAGTTGAGGACACACATCGCAAATAAGTTTCTGAGAATGCTTCTGTCTAGTTTTTACTTGAAGATATTTCCTTTCTCACCATAGGCCTGAAAGCGCTTGAAACGTCCGCTTGCAGATACTACAGAAAGAGTGTTTCAAACATGCTCTAAGAAAGGGAATGTTCAGTTCTGTGACTTGAATGCAAACATCACAAAGAAGTTCCTGAGAATGCTTCTCTCTAGATTTTATATGTAATCCCGTTTCCAACGAAATCCTCAAAGCTATCCAAATATCCACTTTCAGATTCCACAAAAAGAGTGTTTCAAAACTGCTCTGTAAAAAGAAAGGTTCATCTCTGTTAGTTGAATACACACATCACAAACAAGTTTCTGAGAATGCTTCTGTCTAGTTTTTATGGGAAGATATTTCCTTTTTCATCATAGGCCTCAAAGCGCTCCAAATGTCCACTTCCAGGTAGTGCAGAAAGAGTGTCTCAAACCTGGTATATAAAAGGGAACATTCTACTCTGTGACTTGAATGAAAACATTACAAAGCAGTTTCTGAGAATGCTTCCGTCTTGATTTTATATGAAGATATTCCCGTTTCCAACGAAACCTTCAAAGCTATTCAAATATCCACTTGCAGATTCTACAAAAAGAGTGTTTCCAAAATGTTGTATCAAAAGAAAGGTTCAACTCTGTTAGTTGAGGACAGACATCGCAAATAAGTTTCTGAGAATGCTTCTGTCTAGTTTTTACTTGAAGATATTTCCTTTCTCACCATAGGCCTGAAAGCGTTTGAAATGTCCGTTTGCAGATACTACAGAAAGAGTGTTTCAAACATGCTCTATGAAAGGGAATGTTCAGTTCTGTGACGTGAATGCAAACATCACAAAGAAGTTCCTGAGAATGCTTCTCTCTAGATTTTATATGTAATCCCGTTTCCAACGAAATCCTCAAAGCTATCCAAATATCCACTTTCAGATTCCACAAAAAGAGTGTTTCAAAACTGCTCTGTAAAAAGAAAGGTTCATCTCTGTTAGTTGAATACACACATCACAAACAAGTTTCTGAGAATGCTTCTGTCTAGTTTTTATGGGAAGATATTTCCTTTTTCAACATAGGCCTCAAAGCGCTCCAAACGTCCACTTCCAGGTAGTGCAGAAAGAGTGTCTCAAACCTGGTATATAACAGGGAACATTCTACTCTGTGACTTGAATGAAAACATCACAAAGCAGTTTCTGAGAATGCTTCCGTCTAGACTTTATATGAAGATATTCCCGTTTCCAACGAAACCTTCAAAGCTATCCGTATATCCACCTGCAGATTCTACAAAAAGAGTGTTTCCAAAATGCCGTATCAAAACAAAGGTTCAACTCTGTTAGTTGAGAACACACATGGCAAATAAGTTTCTGAGAATGCTTCTGTCTAGTTTTTACTTGAAGATATTTCCTTTCTCACCATAGGCCTGAAAGCGCTTGAAACGTCAGCTTGCAGATACTACAGAAAGAGTGTTTCAAACCTGCTCTATGAAAGGGAATGTTCAGTCCTGTGACTTGAAGGCAAACATCACAAAGAAGTTCCTGAGAATGCTTCCGTCTAGATTTTATATGAAGATATTCCCGTTTCCAACGAAACCTTCAAAGCTATCCAAATATCCACTTTCAGATTCCACAAAAAGAGTGTTTCAAAACTGCTCTGTAAAAAGAAAGGTTCATCTCTGTTAGTTGAATACACACATCAAAAACAAGTTTCTGAGAATGCTTCTGTCTAGTTTTTATGGGAAGATATTACCTTTTTCATCATAGGCCTCAAAGCGCTGCAAATGTCCACTTCCAAATATTACAAAAAGAGTGTTTCAAACCTGCTGTATGAAGGGAAGTGTTCAACTCTATGAGTTGAATGCAAACATCACAGAGAAGTTTCTGAGAATGCTTCTGTCTTGATTTTATATGAAGATATTCCCGTTTAAAACGAAACCTTCAAAGCTATTCAAATATCCACTTGCAGATTCTACAAAAAGAGTGTTTCCAAAATGTTGTATCAAAAGAAAGGTTCAACTCTGTTAGATGAGGACACACATCGCAAATAAGTTTCTGAGAATGCTTCTGTCTAGTTTTTATTTGAAGATATTCCCGTTTCCAACGAAACCTTCAAAGCTATTCAAATATCCACTTGCAGATTCTATAAAAAGTGTGTTTCCAAAATGTTGTATCAAAAGAAAAGTTCAACTCTGTTAGTTGAGGACACACATCGCAAATAAGTTTCTGAGAATGCTTCTGTCTAGTTTTTATTTGAAGATATTTCCTTTCTCACCATAGGCCTGAAAGCGTTTGAAATGTCCGTTTGCAGATACTACAGAAAGAGTGTTTCAAACATGCTCTATGAAAGGGAATGTTCAGTTCTGTGACGTGAATGCAAACATCACAAAGAAGTTCCTGAGAATGCTTCTGTCTAGATTTTATATGAAGATATCCCGTGTCCAACGAAATCCTCAAAGGTATCAAAATATCCACTTGCAGATTCTACAAAAAGAGTGCTTCAAAACTGCTCTGTCAAAATGAAGGTTCAACTCTGTTACTTGAGTACACACATCACAAGGAAGTTTCTGAGAATGCTTCTGTCTGGTTTTTAGGAGAAGATATTTCCTTTTTCAACATAGGCCTCAAAGCGCTGCAAATGTCCACTTCCAAATATTACAAAAAGAGTGTTTCAAACCTGCTGTATGAAGGGAAGTGTTCAACTCTATGAGTTGAATGCAAACATCACAGAGAAGTTTCTGAGAATGCTTCCGTCTTGATTTTATATGAAGATATTCCCGTTTCCAACGAAACCTTCAAAGCTATTCAAATATCCACTTGCAGATTCTACAAAAAGAGTGTTTCCAAAATGTTGTATCAAAAGAAAGGTTCAACTCTGTTAGTTGAGGACACACATCGCAAATAAGTTTCTGAGAATGCTTCTGTCTAGTTTTTACTTGAAGATATTTCCTTTCTCACCATAGGCCTGAAAGCGTTTGAAATGTCCGTTTGCAGATACTACAGAAAGAGTGTTTCAAACATGCTCTATGAAAGGGAATGTTCAGTTCTGTGACGTGAATGCAAACATCACAAAGAAGTTCCTGAGAATGCTTCTCTCTAGATTTTATATGTAATCCCGTTTCCAACGAAATCCTCAAAGCTATCCAAATATCCACTTTCAGATTCCACAAAAAGAGTGTTTCAAAACTGCTCTGTAAAAAGAAAGGTTCATCTCTGTTAGTTGAATACACACATCACAAACAAGTTTCTGAGAATGCTTCTGTCTAGTTTTTATGGGAAGATATTTCCTTTTTCAACATAGGCCTCAAAGCGCTCCAAACGTCCACTTCCAGGTAGTGCAGAAAGAGTGTCTCAAACCTGGTATATAACAGGGAACATTCTACTCTGTGACTTGAATGAAAACATCACAAAGCAGTTTCTGAGAATGCTTCCGTCTAGATTTTATATGAAGATATTCCCGTTTCCAACGAAACCTTCAAAGCTATCCGAATATCCACCTGCAGATTCTACAAAAAGAGTGTTTCCAAAATGCCGTATCAAAACAAAGGTTCAACTCTGTTAGTTGAGAACACACATGGCAAATAAGTTTCTGAGAATGCTTCTGTCTAGTTTTTATTTGAAGATATTTCCTTTCTTACCATAGGCCTGAAAGCCCTTGAAATGTCCGTTTGCAGATACTACAGAAAGAGTTTTTCAAACATGCTCTATGAAAGGGAATGTTCAGTTCTTTGACGTGAATGCAAACATCACAAAGAAGTTCCTGAGAATGCTTCTCTCTAGATTTTATATGTAATCCCGTTTCCAACGAAATCCTCAAAGCTATCCAAATATCCACTTTCAGATTCCACAAAAAGAGTGTTTCAAAACTGCTCTGTAAAAAGAAAGGTTCATCTCTTGTTAGTTGAATACACACATCACAAACAAGTTTCTGAGAATGCTTCTGTCTAGTTTTTATGGGAAGATATTTCCTTTTTCATCATAGGCCTCAAAGCGCTCCAAATGTCCACTTCCAGGTAGTGCAAAAAGAGTGTTTCAACCCTGCTCTATAAAAGGGAATATTCAACTCTGTGACTTGAATGCAAACATCACAAAGCACTTTCTGAGAATGCTTCCGTCTAGATTTTATATGAAGATATTCCCGTTTCCAACGAAACCTTCAAAGCTATCCGAATATCCACCTGCACATTCTACAAAAAGAGTGTTTCCAAAATGCCGTATCAAAAAAAAGGTTCAACTATGTTAGTTGAGAACACACATGGCAAATAAGTTTCTGAGAATGCTTCTGTCTAGTTTTTATTTGAAGATATTTCCTTTTTCACCACAGGCCTGAAAGCGCTTGAAACGTCCGCTTGCAGATACTACAGAAAGAGTGTTTCAAACCTGCTCTATGAAAGGGAATGTTCAGTTCTGTGACTTGAATGCAAACATCACAAAGAAGTTCCTGAGAATGCTTCTCCCTAGATTTTATATGTAATCCCGTTTCCAACGAAATCCTCAAAGCTATCCAAATATCCACTTTCAGATTCCACAAAAAGAGTGTTTCAAAACTGTTCTGTAAAAAGAAAGGTTCATCTCTGTTAGTTGAATACACACATCACAAACAAGTTTCTGAGAATGCTTCTGTCTAGTTTTTATGGGAAGATATTTCCTTTTTCATCATAGGCCTCAAAGCGCTGCAAATGTCCACTTCCAGGTAGTGCAGAAAGAGTGTCTCAAACCTGGTATATAACAGGGAACATTCTACTCTGTGACTTGAATGAAAACATCACAAAGTAGTTTCTGAGAATGCTTCCGTCTAGATTTTATATGAAGATATTCCCGTTTCCAACGAAACCTTCAAAGCTATCCGAATATCCACCTGCAGATTCTACAAAAAGAGTGTTTCCAAAATGCCATATCAAAACAAAGGTTCAACTCTGTTAGTTGAGAACACACATCGCAAATAAGTTTCTGAGAATGCTTCTGTCTAGTTTTTACTTGAAGATATTTCCTTTCTCACCATAGGCCTGAAAGCGCTTGAAACGTCAGCTTGCAGATACTACAGAAAGAGTGTTTCAAACCTGCTCTATGAAAGGGAATGTTCAGTCCTGTGACTTGAAGGCAAACATCACAAAGAATTTCCTGAGAATGCTCTTCTCTCTAGAATTTTATATGTAATCCCGTTTCCAACGAAATCCTCAAAGCTATCCAAATATCCACTTTCAGATTCCACAAAAAGAGTGTTTCAAAACTGCTCTGTAAAAAGAAAGGTTCATCTCTGTTAGTTGAATACACACATCACAAACAAGTTTCTGAGAATGCTTCTGTCTAGTTTTTATGGGAAGATATTTCCTTTTTCAACATAGGCCTCAAAGCGCTCCAAATGTCCACTTCCAGGTAGTGCAGAAAGAGTGTTTCAAACCTGCTCTATAAAAGGGAATATTCAACTCTGTGACTTGAATGCAAACATCACAAAGCACTTTCTGAGAATGCTTCTGTCTTGATTTTATATGAAGATATTCCCGTTTCCAACGAAACCTTCAAAGCTATCCAAATATCCACTTGCAGATTCTACAAAAAGAGTGTTTCCAAAATGTTGTATCAAAAGAAAGGTTCAACTCTGTTAGTTGAGGACACACATCGCAAATAAGTTTCTGAGAATGCTTCTGTCTAGTTTTTATTTGAAGATATTTCCTTTCTCACCATAGGCCTGAAAGCGTTTGAAATGTCCGTTTGCAGATACTACAGAAAGAGTGTTTCAAACATGCTCTATGAAAGGGAATGTTCAGTTCCGTGACGTGAATGCAAACATCACAAAGAAGTTCCTGAGAATGCTTCTCTCTAGAGTTTATATGTAATCCCGTTTCCAACGAAATCCTCAAAGCCATCCAAATATCCACTTTCAGATTCCACAAAAAGAGTGTTTCAAAACTGCTCTGTAAAAAGAAAGGTTCATCTCTGTTAGTTGAATACACACATCACAAACAAGTTTCTGAGAATGCTTCTGTCTAGTTTTTATGGGAAGATATTTCCTTTTTCAACATAGGCCTCAAAGCGCTCCAAACGTCCACTTCCGGGTAGTGCAGAAAGAGTGTCTCAAACCTGGTATATAACAGGGAACATTCTACTCTGTGACTTGAATGAAAACATCACAAAGCAGTTTCTGAGAATGCTTCTGTCTTGATTTCATATGAAGATATTCCCGTTTCCAACGAAACCTTCAAAGCTATCCAAATATCCACTTGCAGATTCTACAAAAAGAGTGTTTCCAAAATGTTGTATCAAAAGAAAGGTTCAACTCTGTTAGTTGAGGACACACATCGCAAATAAGTTTCTGAGAATGCTTCTGTCTAGTTTTTATTTGAAGATATTTCCTTTCTCACCACAGGCCTGAAAGCGCTTAAAACGTCCGCTTGCAGATACTACAGAAAGAGTGTTTCAAACCTGCTCTATGAAAGGGAATGTTCAGTTCTGTGACTTGAATGCAAACATCACAAAGAAGTTCCTGAGAATGCTTTCTCCCTAGATTTTATATGTAATCCCGTTTCCAACGAAATCCGCAAAGCTATCCAAATATCCACTTTCAGATTCCACAAAAAGAGTGTTTCAAAACTGCTCTGTAAAAAGAAAGGTTCATCTGTTAGTTGAATACACACATCACAAACAAGTTTCTGAGAATGCTTCTGTCTGGTTTTTAGGAGAAGATATTTCCTTTTTCAACATAGGCCTCAAAGCGCTGCAAATGTCCACTTCCAAATATTAGAAAAAGAGTGTTTCAAACCTGCTGTATGAAGGGAAGTGTTCAACTCTATGAGTTGAATGCAAACATCACAGAGAAGTTTCTGAGAATGCTTCTGTCTTGATTTCATATGAAGATATTCCCGTTTCCAACGAAACCTTCAAAGCTATCCAAATATCCACTTGCAGATTCTACAAAAAGAGTGTTTCCAAAATGTTGTATCAAAAGAAAGGTTCAACTCTGTTAGTTGAGGACACACATCGCAAATAAGTTTCTGAGAATGCTTCTGTCTAGTTTTTATTTGAAGATATTTCCTTTCTCACCACAGGCCTGAAAGCGCTTAAAACGTCCGCTTGCAGATACTACAGAAAGAGTGTTTCAAACCTGCTCTATGAAAGGGAATGTTCAGTTCTGTGACTTGAATGCAAACATCACAAAGAAGTTCCTGAGAATGCTTCTCCCTAGATTTTATATGTAATCCCGTTTCCAACGAAATCCGCAAAGCTATCCAAATATCCACTTTCAGATTCCACAAAAAGAGTGTTTCAAAACTGCTCTGTAAAAAGAAAGGTTCATCTCTGTTAGTTGAATACACACATCACAAACAAGTTTCTGAGAATGCTTCTGTCTAGTTTTTATGGGAAGATATTTCCTTTTTCATCATAGGCCTCAAAGCGCTGCAAATGTCCACTTCCAAATATTACAAAAAGAGTGTTTCAAACCTGCTGTATGAAGGGAAGTGTTCAACTCTATGAGTTGAATGCAAACATCACAGAGAAGTTTCTGAGAATGCTTCTGTCTTGATTTTATATGAAGATATTCCCGTTTCCAACGAAACCTTCAAAGCTATTCAAATATCCACTTGCAGATTCTACAAAAAGAGTGGTTCCAAAATGTTGTATCAAAAGAAAGGTTCAACTCTGATAGTTGAGGAAACACATCGCAAATAAGTTTCTGAGAATGCTTCTGTCTAGTTTTTATTTGAAGATATTTCCTTTCTCACCATAGGCCTGAAAGCGTTTGAAATGTCCGTTTGCAGATACTACAGAAAGAGTGTTTCAAACATGCTCTATGAAAGGGAATGTTCAGTTCTGTGACGTGAATGCAAACATCACAAAGAAGTTCCTGAGAATGCTTCTCTCTAGATTTTATATGTAATCCCGTTTCCAACGAAATCCTCAAAGCTATCCAAATATCCACTTTCAGATTCCACAAAAAGAGTGTTTCAAAACTGCTCTGTAAAAAGAAAGGTTCATCTCTGTTAGTTGAATACACACATCAAAAACAAGTTTCTGAGAATGCTTCTGTCTAGTTTTTATGGGAAGATATTTCCTTTTTCATCATAGGCCTCAAAGCGCTGCAAATGTCCACTTCCAGGTAGTGCAGAAAGAGTGTCTCAAACCTGGTATATAACAGGGAACATTCTACTCTGTGACTTGAATGAAAACATCACAAAGCAGTTTCTGAGAATGCTTCCGTCTAGATTTTATATGAAGATATTCCCGTTTCCAACGAAACCTTCAAAGCTATCCGAATATCCACCTGCAGATTCTACAAAAAGAGTGTTTCCAAAATGCCATATCAAAACAAAGGTTCAACTCTGTTAGTTGAGAACACACATCGCAAATAAGTTTCTGAGAATGCTTCTGTCTAGTTTTTACTTGAAGATATTTCCTTTCTCACCATAGGCCTGAAAGCGCTTGAAACGTCAGCTTGCAGATACTACAGAAAGAGTGTTTCAAACCTGCTCTATGAAAGGGAATGTTCAGTTCTGTGACTTGAATGCAAACATCACAAAGAAGTTCCTGAGAATGCTTCTGTCTAGATTTTATATGAAGATATCCCGTGTCCAACGAAATCCTCAAAGGTATCAAAATATCCACTTGCAGATTCTACAAAAAGAGTGCTTCAAAACTGCTCTGTCAAAAGGAAGGTTCAACTCTGTTACTTGAGTACACACATCACAAGGAAGTTTCTGAGAATGCTTCTGTCTGGTTTTTAGGAGAAGATATTTCCCTTTTCAACATAGGCCTCAAAGCGCTGCAAATGTCCACTTCCAAATATTAGAAAAAGAGTGTTTCAAACCTGCTGTATGAAGGGAAGTGTTCAACTCTATGAGTTGAATGCAAACATCACAGAGAAGTTTCTGAGAATGCTTCTGTCTTGATTTCATATGAAGATATTCCCGTTTCCAACGAAACCTTCAAAGCTATCCAAATATCCACTTGCAGATTCTACAAAAAGAGTGTTTCCAAAATGTTGTATCAAAAGAAAGGTTCAACTCTGTTAGTTGAGGACACACATCGCAAATAAGTTTCTGAGAATGCTTCTGTCTAGTTTTTATTTGAAGATATTTCCTTTCTCACCACAGGCCTGAAAGCGCTTAAAACGTCCGCTTGCAGATACTACAGAAAGAGTGTTTCAAACCTGCTCTATGAAAGGGAATGTTCAGTTCTGTGACTTGAATGCAAACATCACAAAGAAGTTCCTGAGAATGCTTCTCCCTAGATTTTATATGTAATCCCGTTTCCAACGAAATCCGCAAAGCTATCCAAATATCCACTTTCAGATTCCACAAAAAGAGTGTTTCAAAACTGCTCTGTAAAAAGAAAGGTTCATCTCTGTTAGTTGAATACACACATCACAAACAAGTTTCTGAGAATGCTTCTGTCTAGTTTTTATGGGAAGATATTTCCTTTTTCATCATAGGCCTCAAAGCGCTGCAAAGGTCCACTTCCAAATATTACAAAAAGAGTGTTTCAAACCTGCTGTATGAAGGGAAGTGTTCAACTCTATGAGTTGAATGCAAACATCACAGAGAAGTTTCTGAGAATGCTTCCGTCTTGATTTTATATGAAGATATTCCCGTTTCCAACGAAACCTTCAAAGCTATTCAAATATCCACTTGCTGATTCTACAAAAAGAGTGTTTCCAAAATGTTGTATCAAAAGAAAGGTTCAACTCTGTTAGTTGAGGACACACATCGCAAATAAGTTTCTGAGAATGCTTCTGTCTAGTTTTTACTTGAAGATATTTCCTTTCTCACCATAGGCCTGAAAGCGTTTGAAATGTCCGTTTGCAGATACTACAGAAAGAGTGTTTCAAACATGCTCTATGAAAGGGAATGTTCAGTTCTGTGACGTGAATGCAAACATCACAAAGAAGTTCCTGAGAATGCTTCTCTCTAGATTTTATATGTAATCCCGTTTCCAACGAAATCCTCAAAGATATCCAAATATCCACTTTCAGATTCCACAAAAAGAGTGTTTCAAAACTGCTCTGTAAAAAGAAAGGTTCATGTCTGTTAGTTGAATACACACATCACAAACAAATTTCTGAGAATGCTTCTGTCTAGTTTTTATGGGAAGATATTTCCTTTTTCATCATAGGCCTCAAAGCGCTCCAAATGTCCACTTCCAGATAGTGCAGAAAGAGTGTCTCAAACCTGGTATATAAAAGGGAACATTCTACTCTGTGACTGGAATGAAAACATCACAAAGCAGTTTCTGAGAATGCTTCCGTCTAGATTTTATATGAAGATATTCCCGTTTCCAACGAAACCTTCAAAGCTATCCGAATATCCACCTGCAGATTCTACAAAAAGAGTGTTTCCAAAATGCCATATCAAAACAAAGGTTCAACTCTGTTAGTTGAGAACACACATCGCAAATAAGTTTCTGAGAATGCTTCTGTCTAGTTTTTACTTGAAGATATTTCCTTTCTCACCATAGGCCTGAAAGCGCTTGAAACGTCAGCTTGCAGATACTACAGAAAGAGTGTTTCAAACCTGCTCTATGAAAGGGAATGTTCAGTTCTGTGACTTGAATGCAAACATCACAAAGAAGTTCCTGAGAATGCTTCTCTCTAGGTTTTATATGTAATCCCGTTTCCAACGAAATCCTCAAAGCTATCCAAATATCCACTTTCAGATTCCACAAAAAGAGTGTTTCAAAACTGCTCTGTAAAAAGAAAGGTTCATCTCTGTTAGTTGAATACACACATCACGAACAAGTTTCTGAGAATGCTTCTGTCTAGTTTTTATGGGAAGATATTTCCTTTTTCAACATAGGCCTCAAAGCGCTCCAAATGTCCACTTCCAGGTAGTGCAGAAAGAGTGTTTCAAACCTGCTCTATAAAAGGGAATATTCAACTCTGTGACTTGAATGCAAACATCACAAAGCACTTTCTGAGAATGCTTCTGTCTTGATTTTATATGAAGATATTCCCGTTTCCAACGAAACCTTCAAAGCTATCCAAATATCCACTTGCAGATTCTACAAAAAGAGTGTTTCCAAAATGTTGTATCAAAAGAAAGGTTCAACTCTGTTAGTTGAGGACACACATCGCAAATAAGTTTCTGAGAATGCTTCTGTCTAGTTTTTATTTGAAGATATTTCCTTTCTCACCACAGGCCTGAAAGCGCTTAAAACGTCCGCTTGCAGATACTACAGAAAGAGTGTTTCAAACCTGCTCTATGAAAGGTAATGTTCAGTTCTGTGACTTGAATGCAAACATCACAAAGAAGTTCCTGAGAATGCTTCTCTCTAGATTTTATATGTAATCCCGTTTCCAACGAAATCCTCAAAGCTATCCAAATATCCACTTTCAGATTCCACAAAAAGAGTGTTTCAAAACTGCTCTGTAAAAAGAAAGGTTCATCTCTGTTAGTTGAATACACACATCACAAACAAGTTTCTGAGAATGCTTCTGTCTAGTTTTTATGGGAAGATATTTCCTTTTTCATCATAGGCCTCAAAGCGCTGCAAATGTCCACTTCCAGGTAGTGCAGAAAGAGTGTCTGAAACCTGGTATATAACAGGGAAGATTCTACTCTGTGACTTGAATGAAAACATCACAAAGCAGTTTCTGAGAATGCTTCCGTCTAGATTTTATATGAAGATATTCCCGTTTCCAACGAAACCTTCAAAGCTATCCGAATATCCACCTGCAGATTCTACAAAAAGAGTGTTTCCAAAATGCCATATCAAAACAAAGGTTCAACTCTGTTAGTTGAGAACACACATCGCAAATAAGTTTCTGAGAATGCTTCTGTCTAGTTTTTATTTGAAGATATTTCCTTTCTCACCATAGGCCTGAAAGCGCTTGAAATGTCCGTTTGCAGATACTACAGAAAGAGTGTTTCAAACATGCTCTATGAAAGGGAATGTTCAGTTCTGTGACGTGAATGCAAACATCACAAAGAAGTTCCTGAGAATGCTTCTCTCTAGATTTTATATGTAATCCCGTTTCCAACGAAATCCTCAAAGCTATCCAAATATCCACTTTCAGATTCCACAAAAAGAGTGTTTCAAAACTGCTCTGTAAAAAGAAAGGTTCATCTCTGTTAGTTGAATACACACATCACAAACAAGTTTCTGAGAATGCTTCTGTCCAGTTTTTATGGGAAGATATTTCCTTTTTCATCATAGGCCTCAAAGCGCTGCAAATGTCCACTTCCAGGTAGTGCAGAAAGAGTGTCTCAAACCTGGTATATAACAGGGAACATTCTACTCTGTGACTTGAATGAAAACATCACAAAGCAGTTTCTGAGAATGCTTCCGTCTAGATTTTATATGAAGATATTCCCGTTTCCAACGAAACCTTCAAAGCTATCCGAATATCCACCTGCAGATTCTACAAAAAGAGTGTTTCCAAAATGCCATATCAAAACAAAGGTTCAACTCTGTTAGTTGAGAACACACATCGCAAATAAGTTTCTGAGAATGCTTCTGTCTAGTTTTTATTTGAAGATATTTCGTTTTTCACCACAGGTCTGAAAGCGCTTGAAACGTCCGCTTGCAGATACTACAGAAAGAGTGTTTCAAACATGCTCTATGAAAGGGAATGTTCAGTTCTGTGACTTGAATGCAAACATCACAAAGAAGTTCCTGAGAATGCTTCTCCCTAGATTTTATATGTAATCCCGTTTCCAACGAAATCCTCAAAGCTATCCAAATATCCACTTTCAGATTCCACAAAAAGAGTGTTTCAAAACTGCTCTGTAAAAAGAAAGGTTCATCTCTGTTAGTTGAATATACACATCACAAATAAGTTTCTGAGAATGCTTCTGTCTATTTTCTATGGGAAGATATTTCCTTTTTCAACATAGGCCTCAAAGCGCTCCAAATGTCCACTTCCAGGTAGTGCACAGAGTGTTTCAAACCTGCTCTATAAAAGGGAACATTCTACTCTGTGACTTGAATGAAGACATCACAAAGCAGTTTCTGAGAATGCTTCTGTCTTGATTTCATATGAAGATATTCCCGTTTACAACGAAACCTTCAAAGCTATCCAAATATCCACTTGCAGATTCTACAAAAAGAGTGTTTCCAAAATGTTGTATCAAAAGAAAGGTTCAACTCTGTTAGTTGAGGACACACATCGCAAATAAGTTTCTGAGAATGCTTCTGTCTAGTTTTTATTTGAAGATATTTCCTTTCTCACCACAGGCCTGAAAGCGCTTAAAACGTCCGCTTGCAGATACTACAGAAAGAGTGTTTCAAACCTGCTCTATGAAAGGGAATGTTCAGTTCTGTGACTTGAATGCAAACATCACAAAGAAGTTCCTGAGAATGCTTCTCCCTAGATTTTATATGTAATCCCGTTTCCAACGAAATCCGCAAAGCTATCCAAATATCCACTTTCAGATTCCACAAAAAGAGTGTTTCAAAACTGCTCTGTAAAAAGAAAGGTTCATCTCTGTTAGTTGAATACACACATCACAAACAAGTTTCTGAGAATGCTTCTGTCTAGTTTTTATGGGAAGATATTTCCTTTTTCATCATAGGCCTCAAAGCGCTCCAAATGTCCACTTCCAGGTAGTGCAGAAAGAGTGTCTCAAACCTGGTATATAAAAGGGAACATTCTACTCTGTGACTTGAATGAAAACATCACAAAGCAGTTTCTGAGAATGCTTCCGTCTAGATTTTATATGAAGATATTCCCGTTTCCAACGAAACCTTCAAAGCTATCCGAATATCCACCTGCAGATTCTAAAAAAAGAGTGTTTCCAAAATGCCATATCAAAACAATGGTTCAACTCTGTTAGTTGAGAAAACACATGGCAAATAAGTTTCTGAGAATGTTTCTGTCTAGTTTTTACTTGAAGATATTTCCTTTCTCACCATAGGCCTGAAAGTGCTTGAAACGTCAGCTTGCAGATACTACAGAAAGAGTGTTTCAAACCTGCTCTATGAAAGGGAATGTTCAGTTCTGTGACTTGAATGCAAACATCACAAAGAAGTTCCTGAGAATGCTTCTCTCTAGATTTTATATGTAATCCCGTTTCCAACGAAATCCTCAAAGCTATCCAAATATCCACTTTCAGATTCCACAAAAAGAGTGTTTCAAAACTGCTCTGTAAAAAGAAAGGTTCATCTCTGTTAGTTGAATACACACATCACAAACAAGTTTCTGAGAATGCTTCTGTCTGGTTTTTAGGAGAAGATATTTCCTTTTTCAACATAGGCCTCAAAGCGCTGCAAATGTCCACTTCCAAATATTAGAAAAAGAGTGTTTCAAACCTGCTGTATGAAGGGAAGTGTTCAACTCTATGAGTTGAATGCAAACATCACAGAGAAGTTTCTGAGAATGCTTTTGTCTTGATTTCATATGAAGATATTCCCGTTTCCAACGAAACCTTCAAAGCTATCCAAATATCCACTTGCAGATTCTACAAAAAGAGTGTTTCCAAAATGTTGTATCAAAAGAAAGGTTCAACTCTGTTAGTTGAGGACACACATCGCAAATAAGTTTCTGAGAATGCTTCTGTCTAGTTTTTATTTGAAGATATTTCCTTTCTCACCACAGGCCTGAAAGCGCTTAAAACGTCCGCTTGCAGATACTACAGAAAGAGTGTTTCAAACCTGCTCTATGAAAGGGAATGTTCAGTTCTGTGACTTGAATGCAAACATCACAAAGAAGTTCCTGAGAATGCTTCTCCCTAGATTTTATATGTAATCCCGTTTCCAACGAAATCCGCAAAGCTATCCAAATATCCACTTTCAGATTCCACAAAAAGAGTGTTTCAAAACTGCTCTGTAAAAAGAAAGGTTCATCTCTGTTAGTTGAATACACACATCACAAACAAGTTTCTGAGAATGCTTCTGTCTAGTTTTTATGGGAAGATATTTCCTTTTTCATCATAGGCCTCAAAGCGCTGCAAATGTCCACTTCCAAATATTACAAAAAGAGTGTTTCAAACCTGCTGTATGAAGGGAAGTGTTCAACTCTATGAGTTGAATGCAAACATCACAGAGAAGTTTCTGAGAATGCTGCTGTCTTGATTTTATATGAAGATATTCCCGTTTCCAACGAAACCTTCAAAGCTATCCAAATATCCACTTGCAGATTCTACAAAAAGAGTGTTTCCAAAATGTTGTATCAAAAGAAAGGTTCAACTCTGTTAGTTGAGGACACACATCGCAAATAAGTTTCTGAGAATGCTTCTGTCTAGTTTTTATTTGAAGATATTTCCTTTCTCACCACAGGCCTGAAAGCGCTTAAAACGTCCGCTTGCAGATACTACAGAAAGAGTGTTTCAAACCTGCTCTATGAAAGGGAATGTTCAGTTCTGTGACTTGAATGCAAACATCACAAAGAAGTTCCTGAGAATGCTTCTCCCTAGATTTTATATGTAATCCCGTTTCCAACGAAATCCGCAAAGCTATCCAAATATCCACTTTCAGATTCCACAAAAAGAGTGTTTCAAAACTGCTCTGTAAAAAGAAAGGTTCATCTCTGTTAGTTGAATACACACATCACAAACAAGTTTCTGAGAATGCTTCTGTCTGGTTTTTAGGAGAAGATATTTCCTTTTTCAACATAGGCCTCAAAGCGCTGCAAATGTCCACTTCCAAATATTAGAAAAAGAGTGTTTCAAACCTGCTGTATGAAGGGAAGTGTTCAACTCTATGAGTTGAATGCAAACATCACAGAGAAGTTTCTGAGAATGCTTCTGTCTTGATTTCATATGAAGATATTCCCGTTTCCAACGAAACCTTCAAAGCTATCCAAATATCCACTTGCAGATTCTACAAAAAGAGTGTTTCCAAAATGTTGTATCAAAAGAAAGGTTCAACTCTGTTAGTTGAGGACACACATCGCAAATAAGTTTCTGAGAATGCTTCTGTCTAGTTTTTATTTGAAGATATTTCTTTTCTCACCACAGGCCTGAAAGCGCTTAAAACGTCCGCTTGCAGATACTACAGAAAGAGTGTTTCAAACCTGCTCTATGAAAGGGAATGTTCAGTTCTGTGACTTGAATGCAAACATCACAAAGAAGTTCCTGAGAATGCTTCTCTCTAGGTTTTATATGTAATCCCGTTTCCAACGAAATGCTCAAAGCTATCCAAATATCCACTTTCAGATTCCACAAAAAGAGTGTTTCAAAACTGCTCTGTAAAAAGAAAGGTTCATCTCTGTTAGTTGAATACACACATCACAAACAAGTTTCTGAGAATGCTTCTGTCTAGTTTTTATGGGAAGATATTTCCTTTTTCAACATAGGCCTCAAAGCGCTCCAAACGTCCACTTCCAGGTAGTGCAGAAAGAGTGTCTCAAACCTGGTATATAACAGGGAACATTCTACTCTGTGACTTGAATGAAAACATCACAAAGCAGTTTCTGAGAATGCTTCCGTCTAGATTTTATATGAAGATATTCCCGTTTCCAACGAAACCTTCAAAGCTATCCGAATATCCACCTGCAGATTCTACAAAAAGAGTGTTTCCAAAATGCCGTATCAAAACAAAGGTTCAACTCTGTTAGTTGAGAACACACATGGCAAATAAGTTTCTGAGAATGCTTCTGTCTAGTTTTTACTTGAAGATATTTCCTTTCTCACCATAGGCCTGAAAGCGCTTGAAACGTCCGCTTGCGGATACTACAGAAAGAGTGTTTCAAACATGCTCTATGAAAGGGAATGTTCAGTTCTGTGACTTGAATGCAAACATCACAAAGAAGTTCCTGAGAATGCTTCTCTCTAGATTTTATATGTAATCCCGTTTCCAACGAAATCCGCAAAGCTATCCAAATATCCACTTTCAGATTCCACAAAAAGAGTGTTTCAAAACTGCTCTGTAAAAAGAAAGGTTCATCTCTGTTAGTTGAATACACACATCACAAACAAGTTTCTGAGAATGCTTCTGTCTAGTTTTTATGGGAAGATATTACCTTTTTCATCATAGGCCTCAAAGCGCTGCAAATGTCCACTTCCAAATATTACAAAAAGAGTGTTTCAAACCTGCTGTATGAAGGGAAGTGTTCAACTCTATGAGTTGAATGCAAACATCACAGAGAAGTTTCTGAGAATGCTTCCGTCTAGATTTTATATGAAAATATTCCCGTTTCCAACGAAACCTTCAAAGCTATCCGAATATCCACCTGCAGATTCTACAAAAAGAGTGTTTCCAAAATGCCGTATCAAAACAAAGGTTCAACTCTGTTAGTTGAGAACACACATGGCAAATAAGTTTCTGAGAATGCTTCTGTCTAGTTTTTACTTGAAGATATTTCCTTTGTCACCATAGGCCTGAAAGCGCTTGAAACGTCAGCTTGCAGATACTACAGAAGGAGTGTTTCAAACCTGCTCTATGAAAGGGAATGTTCAGTCCTGTGACTTGAAGGCAAACATCACAAAGAAGTTCCTGAGAATGCTTCTCTCTAGGTTTTATATGTAATCCCGTTTCCAACGAAATCCTCAAAGCTATCCAAATATCCACTTTCAGATTCCACAAAAAGAGTGTTTCAAAACTGCTCTGTAAAAAGAAAGGTTCATCTCTGTTAGTTGAATACACACATCACAAACAAGTTTCTGAGAATGCTTCTGTCTAGTTTTTATGGGAAGATATTTCCTTTTTCAACATAGGCCTCAAAGCGTTCCAAATGTCCACTTCCAGGTAGTGCAGAAAGAGTGTTTCAGACCTGCTCTATAAAAGGGAATATTCAACTCTGTGACTTGAATGCAAACATCACAAAGCACTTTCTGAGAATGCTTCCGTCTAGATTTTATATGAAGATATTCCCGTTTCCAAGGAAATCTTCCTAGCTATCTAAATATCAACTTGCAGATTCTACTAAAGGAATGTTTCCAAAATGCTGTATCCACACAAAGGTTCAACTCTGTTAATTGAGGACATACAGCACAAAGAAGTTTCTGAGAATGCTTCTGTCTAGATTTTATATGAAGATATCCCGTTTCCAAAGAAATCCTCAAAGGTATCCAAATATCTACTTCCAGATTCTACAAAAAGACTGTTTAAAACGGCTCTGTCCAAAGTAAGGTTCAACTCTGTTACTTGAGTACACACATCACAAGGAAGTTTCTGAGAATGCTTCTGTCTGGTTTTTAGGAGAAGATATTTCCTTTTTCAACATAGGCCTCAAAGCGCTGCAAATGTCCACTTCCAAATATTACAAAAAGAGTGTTTCAAACCTGCTCTATGAAGGGAAGTGTTCAACTCTATGAGTTGAATGCAAACATCACAGAGAAGTTTCTGAGAATGCTTCTGTCTTGATTTTATATGAAGATATTCCCGTTTCCAACGAAACCTTCAAAGCTATCCAAATCTCCACTTGCAGATTCTACAAAAAGAGTGTTTCCAAAATGTTGTATCAAAACAAAGGTTCAACTCTGTTAGTTGAGGACACACATCGCAAATAAGTTTCTGAGAATGCTTCTGTCTAGTTTTTATTTGAAGATATTTCCTTTCTTACCATAGGCCTGAAAGCGCTTGAAATGTCCGTTTGCAGATACTACAGAAAGAGTGTTTCAAACATGCTCTATGAAAGGGAATGTTCAGTTCTGTGACGTGAATGCAAACATCACAAAGAAGTTCCTGAGAATGCTTCTCTCTAGGTTTTATATGTAATCCCGTTTCCAACGAAATCCTCCAAGCTATCCAAATATCCACTTTCAGATTCCACAAAAAGAGTGTTTCAAAACTGCTCTGTAAAAAGAAAGGTTCATCTCTGTTAGTTGAATACACACATCACAAACAAGTTTCTGAGAATGCTTCTGTCTAGTTTTTATGGGAAGATATTTCCTTTTTCAACATAGGCCTCAAAGCGCTCCAAATGTCCACTTCCAGGTAGTGCAGAAAGAGTGTTTCAAACCTGCTCTATAAAAGGGAATATTCAACTCTGTGACTTGAATGCAAACATCACAAAGCACTTTCTGAGAATGCTTCTGTCTTGATTTTATATGAAGATTTTCCCGTTAACAACGAAACCTTCAAAGCTATCCAAATATCCACTTGGAGATTCTACAAAAAGAGTGTTTCCAAAATGTTGTATCCAAACAAAGGTTCAACTCTGTTAGTTGAGAACACACATCGCAAATAAGTTTCTGAGAATGCTTCTGTCTAGTTTTTATTTGAAGATATTTCCTTTCTCACCATAGGCCTGAAAGCGTTTGAAATGTCCGTTTGCAGATACTACAGAAAGAGTGTTTCAAACATGCTCTATGAAAGGGAATGTTCAGTTCTGTGACTTGAATGCAAACATCACAAAGAAGTTCCTGAGAATGCTTCTCTCTAGATTTTATATGTAATCCCGTTTCCAACGAAATCCTCAAAGCTATCCAAATATCCACTTTCAGATTCCACAAAAAGAGTGTTTCAAAACTGCTCTGTAAAAAGAAAGGTTCATCTCTGTTAGTTGAATACACACATCACAAACAAGTTTCTGAGAATGCTTCTGTCTAGTTTTTATGGGAAGATATTTCCTTTTTCAACATAGGCCTCAAAGCGCTCCAAATGTCCACTTCCAGGTAGTGCAGAAAGAGTGTTTCAAACCTGCTCTATAAAAGGGAAGATTCTACTCTGTGACTTGAATGCAAACATCACGAAAGCACTTTCTGAGAATGCTTCTGTCTTGATTTTATATGAAGATATTCCCGTTTCCAACGAAACCTTCAAAGCTATCCAAATATCCACTTGCAGATTCTACAAAAAGAGTGTTTCCAAAGTGCTGTATCCAAACAAAGGTTCAACTCTTTTAGTTGAGAACACACATCGCAAATAAGTTTCTGAGAATGCTTCTGTCTAGTTTTTACTTGAAGATATTTCCTTTTTCACCACAGGCCTGAAAACGCTTCAAACGTCCGCTTGCAGATACTACAGAAAGAGTGTTTCAAACCTGCTCTATGAAAGGGAATGTTCAGTTCTGTGACTTGAACGCAAACATCACAAAGAAGTTCCTGAGAATGCTTCTCCCTAGATTTTATATGTAATCCCGTTTCCAACGAAATCCGCAAAGCTATCCAAATATCCACTTTCAGATTCCACAAAAAGAGTGTTTCAAAACTGCTCTGTAAAAAGAAAGGTTCATCTCTGTTAGTTGAATACACACATCACAAACAAGTTTCTGAGAATGCTTCTGTCTAGTTTTTATGGGAAGATATTTCCTTTTTCAACATAGGCCTCAAAGCGCTCCAAATGTCCACTTCCAGGTAGTGCAGAAAGAGTGTTTCAAACCTGCTCTATAAAAGGGAATATTCAACTATGTGACTTGAATGGAAACATCACAAAGCACTTTCTGAGAATGCTTCCGTCTAGATTTTATATGAAGATATTCCCGTTTCCAAGGAAATCTTCCTAGCTATCTAAATATCAACTTGCATATCCTACTAAAGGAGTGTTTCCAAAATGCTGTATCCACACAAAGGTTCAACTCTGTTAATTGAGGACATACAGCACAAAGAAGTTTCTGAGAATGCTTCTGTCTAGTTTTTATTTGAAGATATTTCCTTTCTCACCATAGGCCTGAAAGCGTTTGAAATGTCCGTTTGCAGATACTACAGAAAGAGTGTTTCAAACATGTTCTATGAAAGGGAATGTTCAGTTCTGTGACGTGAATGCAAACATCACAAAGAAGTTCCTGAGAATGCTTCTCTCTAGATTTTATATGTAATCCCGTTTCCAACGAAATCCTCAAAGCTATCCAAATATCCACTTTCAGATTCCACAAAAAGAGTGTTTCAAAACTGCTCTGTAAAAAGAAAGGTTCATCTCTGTTAGTTGAATACACACATCACAAACAAGTTTCTGAGAATGCTTCTGTCTAGTTTTTATGGGAAGATATTTCCTTTTTCAACATAGGCCTCAAAGCGCTCCAAACGTCCACTTCCAGGTAGTGCAGAAAGAGTGTCTCAAACCTGGTATATAACAGGGAACATTCTACTCTGTGACTTGAATGAAAACATCACAAAGCAGTTTCTGAGAATGCTTCCGTCTAGATTTTATATGAAGATATTCCCGTTTCCAACGAAACTTTCAAAGCTATCCGAATATCCACCTGCAGATTCTACAAAAAGAGTGTTTCCAAAATGCCATATCAAAACAAAGGTTCAACTCTGTTAGTTGAGAACACACATGGCAAATAAGTTTCTGAGAATGCTTCTGTCTAGTTTTTACTTGAAGATATTTCCTTTCTCACCATAGGCCTGAAAGCGCTTGAAACGTCAGCTTGCAGATACTACAGAAAGAGTGTTTCAAACCTGCTCTATGAAAGGGAATGTTCAGTCCTGTGACTAGAAGGCAAACATCACAAAGAAGTTCCTGAGAATGCTTCTCTCTAGGTTTTATATGTAATCCCGTTTCCAACGAAATCCTCAAAGCTATCCAAATATCCACTTTCAGATTCCACAAAGAGAGTGTTTCAAAACTGCTCTGTAAAAAGAAAGGTTCATCTCTGTTAGTTGAATACACACATCACAAACAAGTTTCTGAGAATGCTTCTGTCTAGTTTTTATGGGAAGATATTTCCTTTTTCAACATAGGCCTCAAAGCGCTCCAAACGTCCACTTCCAGGTAGTGCAGAAAGAGTGTCTCAAACCTGGTATATAACAGGGAACATTCTACTCTGTGACTTGAATGAAAACATCACAAAGCAGTTTCTGAGAATGCTTCCGTCTAGATTTTATATGAAGATATTCCCGTTTCCAACGAAACCTTCAAAGCTATCCGAATATCCACCTGCAGATTCTACAAAAAGAGTGTTTCCAAAATGCCGTATCAAAACAAAGGTTCAACTCTGTTAGTTGAGAACACACATGGCAAATAAGTTTCTGAGAATGCTTCTGTCTAGTTTTTACTTGAAGATATTTCCTTTCTCACCATAGGCCTGAAAGCGCTTGAAACGTCAGCTTGCAGATACTACAGAAAGAGTGTTTCAAACCTGCTCTATGAAAGGGAATGTTCAGTTCTGTGACTTGAATGCAAACATCACAAAGAAGTTCCTGAGAATGCTTCTCTCTAGGTTTTATATGTAATCCCGTTTCCAACGAAATCCTCAAAGCTATCCAAATATCCACTTTCAGATTCCACAAAAAGAGTGTTTCAAAACTGCTCTGTAAAAAGAAAGGTTCATCTCTGTTAGTTGAATACACACATCACAAACAAGTTTCTGAGAATGCTTCTGTCTAGTTTTTATGGGAAGATATTTCCTTTTTCAACATAGGCCTCAAAGCGCTCCAAATGTCCACTTCCAGGTAGTGCAGAAAGAGTGTTTCAAACCTGCTCTATAAAAGGGAATATTCAACTCTGTGACTTGAATGCAAACATCACAAAGCACTTTCTGAGAATGCTTCCGTCTAGATTTTATATGAAGATATTCCCGTTTCCAAGGAAATCTTCCTAGCTATCTAAATATCAACTTGCAGATTCTACTAAAGGAATGTTTCCAAAATGCTGTATCCACACAAAGGTTCCACTCTGTTAATTGAGGACATACAGCACAAAGAAGTTTCTGAGAATGCTTCTGTCTAGATTTTATATGAAGATATCCCGTTTCCAAAGAAATCCTCAAATGTATCCAAATATCTACTTCCAGATTCTACAAAAAGACTGTTTCAAAACTGCGCTGTAAAAAGAAAGGTTCATCTCTGTTAGTTGAATACACACATCACAAACAAGTTTCTGAGAATGCTTCTGTCTAGTTTTTATGGGAAGATATTTCCTTTTTCATCATAGGCCTCAAAGCGCTCCAAATGTCCACTTCCAGATAGTGCAGAAAGAGTGTCCCAAACCTGGTATATAAAAGGGAACATTCTACTCTGTGACTTCAACGAAAACATCACAAAGCAGTTTCTGAGAATGCTTCCGTCTAGATTTTATATGAAGATATTCCCGTTTCCAACGAAACCTTCAAAGCTATCCGAATATCCACCTGCAGATTCTACAAAAAGAGTGTTTCCAAAATGCCGTATCAAAACATAGGTTCAACTCTGTTAGTTGAGAACACACATGGCAAATAAGTTTCTGAGAATGCTTCTGTCTAGTTTTTACTTGAAGATATTTCCTTTCTCACCATAGGCCTGAAAGCGCTTGAAACGTCCGCTTGCAGATACTACAGAAAGAGTGTTTCAAACATGCTCTATGAAAGGGAATGTTCAGTTCTGTGACTTGAATGCAAACATCACAAAGAAGTTCCTGAGAATGCTTCTCTCTAGATTTTATATGTAATCCCGTTTCCAACGAAATCCTCAAAGCTATCCAAATATCCACTTTCAGATTCCACAAAAAGAGTGTTTCAAAACTGCTCTGTAAAAAGAAAGGTTCATCTCTGTTAGTTGAATACACACATCACAAACAAGTTTCTGAGAATGTTTCTGTCTAGTTTTTATGGGAAGATATTTCCTTTTTCATCATAGGCCTCAAAGCGCTGCAAATGTCCACTTCCAGGTAGTGCAGAAAGAGTGTCTCAAACCTGGTATATAACAGGGAACATTCTACTCTGTGACTTGAATGAAAACATCACAAAGCAGTTTCTCAGAATGCTTCCGTCTAGATTTTATATGAAGATATTCCCGTTTCCAACGAAACCTTCAAAGCTATCCGAATATCCACCTGCAGATTCTACAAAAAGAGTGTTTCCAAAATGCCATATCAAAACAAAGGTTCAACTCTGTTAGTTGAGAACACACATGGCAAATAAGTTTCTGAGAATGCTTCTGTCTAGTTTTTACTTGAAGATATTTCCTTTGTCACCATAGGCCTGAAAGCGCTTGAAACGTCAGCTTGCAGATACTACAGAAAGAGTGTTTCAAACCTGCTCTATGAAAGGGAATGTTCAGTCCTGTGACTTGAAGGCAAACATCACAAAGAAGTTCCTGAGAATGCTTCTGTCTAGATTTTATATGAAGATATCCCGTGTCCAACGAAATCCTCAAAGGTATCAAAATATCCACTTGCAGATTCTACAAAAAGAGTGCTTCAAAACTGCTCTGTCAAAAGGAAGGTTCAACTCTGTTACTTGAGTACACACATCACAAGGAAGTTTCTGAGAATGCTTCTGTCTGGTTTTTAGGAGAAGATATTTCCTTTTTCAACATAGGCCTCAAAGCGCTGCAAATGTCCACTTCCAAATATTACAAAAAGAGTGTTTCAAACCTGCTGTATGAAGGGAAGTGTTCAACTCTATGAGTTGAATGCAAACATCACAGAGAAGTTTCTGAGAATGCTTCTGTCTTGATTTCATATGAAGATATTCCCGTTTCCAACGAAACCTTCAAAGCTATCCAAATATCCACTTGCAGATTCTACAAAAAGAGTGTTTCCAAAATGTTGTATCAAAAGAAAGGTTCAACTCTGTTAGTTGAGGACACACATCGCAAATAAGTTTCTGAGAATGCTTCTGTCTAGTTTTTATTTGAAGATATTTCCTTTCTCACCACAGGCCTGAAAGCGCTTAAAACGTCCGCTTGCAGATACTACAGAAAGAGTGTTTCAAACCTGCTCTATGAAAGGGAATGTTCAGTTCTGTGACTTGAATGCAAACATCACAAAGAAGTTCCTGAGAATGCTTCTCCCTAGATTTTATATGTAATCCCGTTTCCAACGAAATCCGCAAAGCTATCCGAATATCCACTTTCAGATTCCACAAAAAGAGTGTTTCAAAACTGCTCTGTAAAAAGAAAGGTTCATCTCTGTTAGTTGAATACACACATCACAAACAAGTTTCTGAGAATGCTTCCTGTCTAGTTTTTATGGGAAGATATTTCCTTTTTCATCATAGGCCTCAAAGCGCTGCAAATGTCCACTTCCAAATATTACAAAAAGAGTGTTTCAAACCTGCTGTATGAAGGGAAGTGTTCAACTCTATGAGTTGAATGCAAACATCACAGAGAAGTTTCTGAGAATGCTTTCTGTCTTGATTTCATATGAAGATATTCCCGTTTCCAACGAAACCTTCAAAGCTATCCAAATATCCACTTGCAGATTCTACAAAAAGAGTGTTTCCAAAATGTTGTATCAAAAGAAAGGTTCAACTCTGTTAGTTGAGGACACACATCGCAAATAAGTTTCTGAGAATGCTTCTGTCTAGTTTTTATTTGAAGATATTTCCTTTCTCACCACAGGCCTGAAAGCGCTTAAAACGTCCGCTTGCAGATACTACAGAAAGAGTGTTTCAAACCTGCTCTATGAAAGGGAATGTTCAGTTCTGTGACTTGAATGCAAACATCACAAAGAAGTTCCTGAGAATGCTTCTCCCTAGATTTTATATGTAATCCCGTTTCCAACGAAATCCGCAAAGCTATCCAAATATCCACTTTCAGATTCCACAAAAAGAGTGTTTCAAAACTGCTCTGTAAAAAGAAAGGTTCATCTCTGTTAGTTGAATACACACATCACAAACAAGTTTCTGAGAATGCTTCTGTCTAGTTTTTATGGGAAGATATTTCCTTTTTCAACATAGGCCTCAAAGCGCTCCAAATGTCCACTTCCAGGTAGTGCAGAAAGAGTGTTTCAAACCTGCTCTATAAAAGGGAATATTCAACTCTGTGACTTGAATGCAAACATCACAAAGCACTTTCTGAGAATGCTTCCGTCTAGATTTTATATGAAGATATTCCCGTTTCCAACGAAACCTTCAAAGCTATCCGAATATCCACCTGCAGATTCTACAAAAAGAGTGTTTCCAAAGTGCCGTATCAAAACAAAGGTTCAACTCTGTTAGTTGAGAACACACATGGCAAATAAGTTTCTGAGAATGCTTCTGTCTAGTTTTTACTTGAAGATATTTCCTTTCTCACCATAGGCCTGAAAGCGCTTGAAACGTCAGCTTGCAGATACTACAGAAAGAGTGTTTCAAACCTGCTCTATGAAAGGGAATGTTCAGTCCTGTGACTTGAAGGCAAACATCACAAAGAAGTTCCCTGAGAATGCTTTCTCTGTAGATTTTATATGTAATCCCGTTTCCAACGAAATCCTCAAAGCTATCCAAATATCCACTTTCAGATTCCACAGAAAGAGTGTTTCAAAACTACTCTGTAAAAAGAAAGGTTCATCTCTGTTAGTTGAATACACACATCACAAACAAGTTTCTGAGAATGCTTCTGTCTAGTTTTTATGGGAAGATATTTCCTTTTTCAACATAGGCCTCAAAGCGCTCCAAACGTCCACTTCCAGGTAGTGCAGAAAGAGTGTCTCAAACCTGGTATATAACAGGGAACATTCTACTCTGTGACTTGAATGAAAACATCACAAAGCAGTTTCTGAGAATGCTTCCGTCTAGATTTTATATGAAGATATTCCCGTTTCCAACGAAACCTTCAAAGCTATCCGAATATCCACCTGCAGATTCTACAAAAAGAGTGTTTCCAAAATGCCGTATCAAAACAAAGGTTCAACTCTGTTAGTTGAGAACACACATGGCAAATAAGTTTCTGAGAATGCTTCTGTCTAGTTTTTACTTGAAGATATTTCCTTTCTCACCATAGGCCTGAAAGCGCTTGAAACGTCAGCTTGCAGATACTACAGAAAGAGTGTTTCAAACCTGCTCTATGAAAGGGAATGTTCAGTCCTGTGACTTGAAGGCAAACATCACAAAGAAGTTCCTGAGAATGCTTCTCTCTAGGTTTTATATGTAATCCCGTTTCCAACGAAATCCTCAAAGCTATCCAAATATCCACTTTCAGATTCCACAAAAAGAGTGTTTCAAAACTGCTCTGTAAAAAGAAAGGTTCATCTCTGTTAGTTGAATACACACATCACAAACAAGTTTCTGAGAATGCTTCTGTCTAGTTTTTATGGGAAGATATTTCCTTTTTCAACATAGGCCTCAAAGCGCTCCAAATGTCCACTTCCAGGTAGTGCAGAAAGAGTGTTTCAAACCTGCTCTATAAAAGGGAATATTCAACTCTGTGACTTGAATGCAAACATCACAAAGCACTTTCTGAGAATGCTTCCGGCTAGATTTTATATGAAGATATTCCCGTTTCCAAGGAAATCTTCCTAGCTATCTAAATATCAACTTGCAGATTCTACTAAAGGAATGTTTCCAAAATGCTGTATCCACACAAAGGTTCAACTCTGTTAATTGAGGACATACAGCACAAAGAAGTTTCTGTGAATGCTTCTGTCTAGTTTTTACTTGAAGATATTTCCTTTCTCACCATAGGCCTGAAAGCGTTTGAAATGTCCGTTTGCAGATACTACAGAAAGAGTGTTTCAAACATGCTCTATGAAAGGGAATGTTCAGTTCTGTGACGTGATTGCAAACATCACAAAGAAGTTCCTGAGAATGCTTCTCTCTAGATTTTATATGTAATCCCGTTTCCAACGAAATCCTCAAAGCTATCCAAATATCCACTTTCAGATTCCACAAAAAGAGTGTTTCAAAACTGCTCTGTAAAAAGAAAGGTTCATCTCTGTTAGTTGAATACACACATCACAAACAAGTTTCTGAGAATGCTTCTGTCTGGTTTTTAGGAGAAGATATTTCCTTTTTCAACATAGGCCTCAAAGCGCTGCAAATGTCCACTTCCAAATATTAGAAAAAGAGTGTTTCAAACCTGCTGTATGAAGGGAAGTGTTCAACTCTATGAGTTGAATGCAAACATCACAGAGAAGTTTCTGAGAATGCTTCTGTCTTGATTTCATATGAAGATATTCCCGTTTCCAACGAAACCTTCAAAGTTATCCAAATATCCACTTGCAGATTCTACAAAAAGAGTGTTTCCAAAATGTTGTATCAAAAGAAAAGTTCAACTCTGTTAGTTGAGGACACACAACGCAAATAAGTTTCTGAGAATGCTTCTGTCTAGTTTTTATTTGAAGATATTTCCTTTCTCACCACAGGCCTGAAAGCGCTTAAAACGTCCGCTTGCAGATACTACAGAAAGAGTGTTTCAAACCTGCTCTATGAAAGGGAATGTTCAGTTCTGTGACTTGAATGCAAACATCACAAAGAAGTTCCTGAGAATGCTTCTCCCTAGATTTTATATGTAATCCCGTTTCCAACGAAATCCGCAAAGCTATCCAAATATCCACTTTCAGATTCCACAAAAAGAGTGTTTCAAAACTGCTCTGTAAAAAGAAAGGTTCATCTCTGTTAGTTGAATACACACATCACAAACAAGTTTCTGAGAATGCTTCTGTCTGGTTTTTAGGAGAAGATATTTCCTTTTTCAACATAGGCCTCAAAGCGCTGCAAATGTCCACTTCCAAATATTAGAAAAAGAGTGTTTCAAACCTGCTGTATGAAGGGAAGTGTTCAACTCTATGAGTTGAATGCAAACATCACAGAGAAGTTTCTGAGAATGCTTCTGTCTTGATTTCATATGAAGATATTCCCGTTTCCAACGAAACCTTCAAAGCTATCCAAATATCCACTTGCAGATTCTACAAAAAGAGTGTTTCCTAAATGTTGTATCAAAAGAAAGGTTCAACTCTGTTAGTTGAGGACACACATCGCAAATAAGTTTCTGAGAATGCTTCTGTCTAGTTTTTATTTGAAGATATTTCCTTTCTCACCACAGGCCTGAAAGCGCTTAAAACGTCCGCTTGCAGATACTACAGAAAGAGTGTTTCAAACCTGCTCTATGAAAGGGAATGTTCAGTTCTGTGACTTGAATGCAAACATCACAAAGAAGTACTTGAGAATGCTTCTCTCTAGATTTTATATGTAATCCCGTTTCCAACGAAATCCTCAAAGCTATCCAAATATCCACTTTCAGATTCCACAAAAAGAGTGTTTCAAAACTGCTCTGTAAAAAGAAAGGTTCATCTCTGTTAGTTGAATACACACATCACAAACAAGTTTCTGAGAATGCTTCTGTCTAGTTTTTATGGGAAGATATTTCCTTTTTCATCATAGGCCTCAAAGCGCTGCAAATGTCCACTTCCAGGTAGTGCAGAAAGAGTGTCTGAAACCTGGTATATAACAGGGAAGATTCTACTCTGTGACTTGAATGAAAACATCACAAAGCAGTTTCTGAGAATGCTTCCGTCTAGATTTTATATGAAGATATTCCCGTTTCCAACGAAACCTTCAAAGCTATCCGAATATCCACCTGCAGATTCTACAAAAAGAGTATTTCCAAAATATCGCATCAAAACAAAGGTTCAACTCTGTTAGTTGAGAACACACATGGCAAAGAAGTTTCTGAGAATGCTTCTGTCTAGTTTTTACTTGAAGATATTTCCTTTCTCACCATAGGCCTGAAAGCGCTTGAAACGTCAGCTTGCAGATACTACAGAAAGAGTGTTTCAAACCTGCTCTATGAAAGGGAATGTTCAGTTCTGTGACTTGAATGCAAACATCACAAAGAAGTTACTGAGAATGCTTCTCTCTAGGTTTTATATGTAATCCCGTTTCCAACGAAATCCTCAAAGCTATCCAAATATCCACTTTCAGATTCCACAAAAAGAGTGTTTCAAAACTGCTCTGTAAAAAGAAAGGTTCATCTCTGTTAGTTGAATACACACATCACAAACAAGTTTCTGAGAATGCTTCTGTCTAGTTTTTATGGGAAGATATTTCCTTTTTCAACATAGGCCTCAAAGCGCTCCAAATGTCCACTTCCAGGTAGTGCAGAAAGAGTGTTTCAAACCTGCTCTATAAAAGGGAATATTCAACTCTGTGACTTGAATGCAAACATCACAAAGCACTTTCTGAGAATGCTTCCGTCTAGATTTTATATGAAGATATTCCCGTTTCCAACGAAACCTTCAAAGCTATCCGAATATCCACCTGCAGATTCTACAAAAAGAGTGTTTCCAAAATGTTGTATCAAAACATAGGTTCAACTCTGTTAGTTGAGAACACACATGGCAAATAAGTTTCTGAGAATGCTTCTGTCTAGTTTTTACTTGAAGATATTTCCTTTCTCACCATAGGCCTGAAAGCGCTTGTAACGTCCGCTTGCAGATACTACAGAAAGAGTGTTTCAAACATGCTCTATGAAAGGGAATGTTCAGTTCTGTGACTTGAATGCAAACATCACAAAGAAGTTCCTGAGAATGCTTCTCTCTAGATTTTATATGTAATCCCGTTTCCAACGAAATCCTCAAAGCTATCCAAATATCCACTTTCAGATTCCACAAAAAGAGTGTTTCAAAACTGCTCTGTAAAAAGAAAGGTTCATCTCTGTTAGTTGAATACACACATCACAAACAAGTTTCTGAGAATGCTTCTGTCTAGTTTTTATGGGAAGATATTTCCTTTTTCAACATAGGCCTCAAAGCGCTCCAAACGTCCACTTCCAGGTAGTGCAGAAAGAGTGTCTCAAACCTGGTGTATAACAGGGAACATTCTACTCTGTGACTTGAATGAAAACATCACAAAGCAGTTTCTGAGAATGCTTCCGTCTAGTATTTTATATGAAGATATTCCCGTTTCCAACGAAACCTTCAAAGCTATCCGAATATCCACCTGCAGATTCTACAAAAAGAGTGTTTCCAAAATGCCGTATCAAAACAAAGGTTCAACTCTGTTAGTTGAGAACACACATGGCAAAGAAGTTTCTGAGAATGCTTCTGTCTAGTTTTTACTTGAAGATATTTCCTTTCTCACCATAGGCCTGAAAGCGCTTGAAACGTCAGCTTGCAGATACTACAGAAAGAGTGTTTCAAACCTGCTCTATGAAAGGGAATGTTCAGTCCTGTGACTTGAAGGCAAACATCACAAAGAAGTTCCTGAGAATGCTTCTCTCTAGGTTTTATATGTAATCCCGTTTCCAACGAAATCCTCAAAGCTATCCAAATATCCACTTTCAGATTCCACAAAAAGAGTGTTTCAAAACTGCTCTGTAAAAAGAAAGGTTCATCTCTGTTAGTTGAATACACACATCACAAACAAGTTTCTGAGAATGCTTCTGTCTAGTTTTTATGGGAAGATATTTCCTTTTTCAACATAGGCCTCAAAGCGCTGCAAATGTCCACTTCCAGGTAGTGCAGAAACAGTGTCTCAAACCTGGTATATAACAGGGAAGATTCTACTCTGTGACTTGAATGAAAACATCACAAAGCAGTTTCTGAGAATGCTTCCGTCTAGATTTTATATGAAGATATTCCCGTTTCCAACGAAACCTTCAAAGCTATCCGAATATCCACCTGCAGATTCTACAAAAAGAGTGTTTCCAAAATGCCGTATCAAAACAAAGGTTCAACTCTGTTAGTTGAGAACACACATGGCAAATAAGTTTCTGAGAATGCTTCTGTCTAGTTTTTACTTGAAGATATTTCCTTTCTCACCATAGGCCTGAAAGCGCTTGAAACGTCAGCTTGCAGATACTACAGAAAGAGTGTTTCAAACATGCTCTATGAAAGGGAATGTTCAGTTCTGTGACGTGAATGCAAACATCACAAAGAAGTTCCTGAGAATGCTTCTCTCTAGGTTTTATATGTAATCCCGTTTCCAACGAAATCCACAAAGCTATCGAAATATCCACTTTCAGATTCCACAAAAAGAGTGTTTCAAAACTGCTCTGTAAAAAGAAAGGTTCATCTCTGTTAGTTGAATACACACATCACAAACAAGTTTCTGAGAATTCTTCTGTCTGGTTTTTAGGAGAAGATATTTCCTTTTTCAACATAGGCCTCAAAGCGCTGCAAATGTCCACTTCCAAATATTACAAAAAGAGTGTTTCAAACCTGCTCTATGAAGGGAAGTGTTCAACTCTATGAGTTGAATGCAAACATCACAGAGAAGTTTCTGAGAATGCTTCTGTCTTGATTTTATATGAAGATATTCCCGTTTCCAACGAAACCTTCAAAGCTATCCAAATATCCACTTGCAGATTCTACAAAAAGAGTGTTTCCAAAATGTTGTATCAAAACAAAGGTTCAACTCTGTTAGTTGAGGACACACATCGCAAATAAGTTTCTGAGAATGCTTCCTGTCTAGTTTTTATTTGAAGATATTTCCTTTCTTACCATAGTCCTGAAAGCGCTTGAAATGTCCGTTTGCAGATACTACAGAAAGAGTGTTTCAAACATGCTCTATGAAAGGGAATGTTCAGTTCTGTGACTTGAATGCAAACATCACAAAGAAGTTCCTGAGAATGCTTCTCTGGAGATTTTATATGTAATCCCGTTTCCAACGAAATCCTCAAAGCTATCCAAATATCCACTTTCAGATTCCACAAAAAGAGTGTTTCAAAACTGCTCTGTAAAAAGAAAGGTTCATATCTGTTAGTTGAATACACACATCACAAACAAGTTTCTGAGAATGCTTCTGTCTTGTTTTTATGGGAAGATATTTCCTTTTTCATCATAGGCCTCAAAGCGCTCCAAATGTCCACTTCCAGATAGTGCAGAAAGAGTGTCTCAAACCTGGTATATAAAAGGGAACATTCTACTCTGTGACTTGAATGAAAACATCACAAAGCAGTTTCTGAGAATGCTTCCGTCTAGATTTTATATGAAGATATTCCCGTTTCCAACGAAACCTTCAAAGCTATCCGAATATCCACCTGCAGATTCTACAAAAAGAGTGTTTCCAAAATGCCGTATCAAAACAAAGGTTCAACTCTGTTAGTTGAGAACACACATGGCAAATAAGTTTCTGAGAATGCTTCTGTCTAGTTTTTACTTGAAGATATTTCCTTTGTCACCATAGGCCTGAAAGCGCTTGAAACGTCAGCTTGCAGATACTACAGAAAGAGTGTTTCAAACCTGCTCTATGAAAGGGAATGTTCAGTCCTGTGACTAGAAAGCAAACATCACAAAGAAGTTCCTGAGAATGCTTCTCTCTAGGTTTTATATGTAATCCCGTTTCCAACGAAATCCTCAAAGCTATCCAAATATCCACTTTCAGATTCCACAAAAAGAGTGTTTCAAAACTGCTCTGTAAAAAGAAAGGTTCATCTCTGTTAGTTGAATACACACATCACAAACAAGTTTCTGAGAATGCTTCTGTCTAGTTTTTATGGGAAGATATTTCCTTTTTCATCATAGGCCTCAAAGCGCTACAAATGTCCACTTCCAGGTAGTGCAGAAAGAGTGTCTCAAACCTGGTATATAACAGGGAACATTCTACTCTGTGACTTGAATGAAAACATCACAAAGCAGTTTCTGACAATGCTTCCGTCTAGATTTTATATGAAGATATTCCCGTTTCCAACGAAACCTTCAAAGCTATCCGAATATCCACCTGCAGATTCTACAAAAAGAGTGTTTCCAAAATGCCGTATCAAAACAAAGGTTCAACTCTGTTAGTTGAGAACACACATGGCAAATAAGTTTCTGAGAATGCTTCTGTCTAGTTTTTACTTGAAGATATTTCCTTTCTCACCATAGGCCTGAAAGCGCTTGAAACGTCAGCTTGCAGATACTACAGAAAGAGTGTTTCAAACCTGCTCTATGAAAGGGAATGTTCAGTCCTGTGACTTGAAGGCCAACATCAAAAAGAAGTTCCTGAGAATGCTTCTCTCTAGGTTTTATATGTAATCCCGTTTCCAACGAAATCCTCAAAGCTATCCAAATATCCACTTTCAGATTCCACAAAAAGAGTGTTTCAAAACTGCTCTGTAAAAAGAAAGGTTCATCTCTGTTAGTTGAATACACACATCACAAACAAGTTTCTGAGAATGCTTCTGTCTAGTTTTTATGGGAAGATATTTCGTTTTTCAACATAGGCCTCAAAGCGCTCCAAATGTCCACTTCCAGGTAGTTCAGAAAGAGTGTTTCAAACCTGCTCTATAAAAGGGAATATTCAACTCTGTGACTTGAATGCAAACATCACAAAGCACTTTCTGAGAATGCTTCTGTCTTGATTTTATATGAAGATATTCCCGTTTCCAACGAAACCTTCAAAGCTATCCAAATATCCACTCGCAGATTCTACAAAAAGAGTGTTTCCAAAATGTTGTATCAAAACAAAGGTTCAACTCTGTTAGTTGAGGACACACATCGCAAATAAGTTTCTGAGAATGCTTCTGTCTAGTTTTTACTTGAAGATATTTCCTTTCTCACCATAGGCCTGAAAGCGCTTGAAACGTCAGCTTGCAGATACTACAGAAAGAGTGTTTCAAACCTGCTCTATGAAAGGGAACGTTCAGTCCTGTGACTTGAATGCAAACATCACAAAGAAGTTCCTGAGAATGCTTCTCTCTAGGTTTTATATGTAATCCCGTTTCCAACGAAATCCTCAAAGCTATCCAAATATCCACTTTCAGATTCCACAAAAAGAGTGTTTCAAAACTGTTCTGTAAAAAGAAAGGTTCATCTCTGTTAGTTGAATACACACATCACAAACAAGTTTCTGACAATGCTTCTGTCTAGTTTTTATGGGAAGATATTTCCTTTTTCAACATAGGCCTCAAAGCGCTCCAAACGTCCACTTCCAGGTAGTGCAGAAAGAGTGTCTCAAACCTGGTATATAACAGGGAACATTCTACTCTGTGACTTGAATGAAAACATCACAAAGCAGTTTCTGAGAATGCTTCCGTCTAGATTTTATATGAAGATATTCCCGTTTCCAACGAAACCTTCAAAGCTATCCGAATATCCACCTGCAGATTCTACAAAAAGAGTGTTTCCAAAATGCCGTATCAAAACAAAGGTTCAACTCTGTTAGTTGAGAACACACATGGCAAATAAGTTTCTGAGAATGCTTCTGTCTAGTTTTTAGTTGAAGATATTTCCTTTCTCTCCATAGGCCTGAAAGCGCTTGAAACGTCCGCTTGCAGATACTACAGAAAGAGTGTTTCAAACATGCTCTATGACAGGGAATGTTCAGTTCTGTGACTTGAATGCAAACATCACAAAGAAGTTCCTGAGAATGCTTCTCTCTAGGTTTTATATGTAATCCCGTTTCCAACGAAATCCTCAAAGCTATCCAAATATCCACTTTCAGATTCCACAAAAAGAGTGTTTCAAAACTGCTCTGTAAAAAGAAAGGTTCATCTCTGTTAGTTGAATACACACATCACAAACAAGTTTCTGAGAATGCTTCTGTCTAGTTTTTATGGGAAGATATTTCGTTTTTCAACATAGGCCTCAAAGCGCTCCAAATGTCCACTTCCAGGTAGTGCAGAAAGAGTGTTTCAAACCTGCTCTATAAAAGGGAATATTCAACTCTGTGACTTGAATGCAAACATCACAAAGCACTTTCTGAGAATGCTTCCGTCTAGATTTTATATGAAGATATTCCCGTTTCCAACGAAACCTTCAAAGCTATCCGAATATCCACCTGCAGATTCTACAAAAAGAGTGTTTCCAAAATGCCGTATCAAAACAAAGGTTCAACTCTGTTAGTTTAGAACACACATGGCAAATAAGTTTCTGAGAATGCTTCTGTCTAGTTTTTACTTGAAGATATTTCCTTTCTCACCATAGGCCTGAAAGCGCTTGAAACGTCAGCTTGCAGATACTACAGAAGGAGTGTTTCAAACCTGCTCTATGAAAGGGAATGTTCAGTCCTGTGACTTGAAGGCAAACATCACAAAGAAGTTTCCTGAGAATGCTTCTCCCTAGGATTTTATATGTAATCCCGTTTCCAACGAAATCCGCAAAGCTATCCAAATATCCACTTTCAGATTCCACAAAAAGAGTGTTTCAAAACTGCTCTGTAAAAAGAAAGGTTCATCTCTGTTAGTTGAATACACACATCACAAACAAGTTTCTGAGAATGCTTCTGTCTAGTTTTTATGGGAAGATATTTCCTTTTTCAGCATAGGCCTCAAAGCGCTCCAAATGTCCACTTCCAGGTAGTTCAGAAAGAGTCTCTCAAACCTGGTATATAACAGGGAACATTCTACTCTGTGACTTGAATGAAAACATCACAAAGCAGTTTCTGAGAATGCTTCTGTCTTGATTTCATATGAAGATATTCCCGTTTCCAACGAAACCTTCAAAGCTATCCAAATATCCACTTGCAGATTCTACAAAAAGAGTGTTTCCAAAATGTTGTATCAAAAGAAAGGTTCAACTCTGTTAGTTGAGGACACACATCGCAAATAAGTTTCTGAGAATGCTTCTGTCTAGTTTTTATTTGAAGATATTTCCTTTCTCACCACAGGCCTGAAAGCGCTTAAAACGTCCGCTTGCAGATACTACAGAAAGAGTGTTTCAAACCTGCTCTATGAAAGGGAATGTTCAGTTCTGTGACTTGAATGCAAACATCACAAAGAAGTTCCTGAGAGTGCTTCTCCCTAGATTTTATATGTAATCCCGTTTCCAACGAAATCCGCAAAGCTATCCAAATATCCACTTTCAGATTCCACAAAAAGAGTGTTTCAAAACTGCTCTGTAAAAAGAAAGGTTCATCTCTGTTAGTTGAATACACACATCACAAACAAGTTTCTGAGAATGCTTCTGTCTAGTTTTTATGGGAAGATATTTCCTTTTTCATCATAGGCCTCAAAGCGCTGCAAATGTCCACTTCCAAATATTACAAAAAGAGTGTTTCAAACCTGCTGTATGAAGGGAAGTGTTCAACTCTATGAGTTGAATGCAAACATCACAGAGAAGTTTCTGAGAATGCTTCTGTCTTGATTTCATATGAAGATATTCCCGTTTCCAACGAAACCTTCAAAGCTATCCAAATATCCACTTGCAGATTCTACAAAAAGAGTGTTTCCAAAATGTTGTATCAAAAGAAAGGTTCAACTCTGTTAGTTGAGGACACACATCGCAAATAAGTTTCTGAGAATGCTCTGTCTAGTTTTTACTTGAAGATATTTCCTTTCTCACCATAGGCCTGAAAGCGCTTGAAACGTCAGCTTGCAGATACTACAGAAAGAGTGTTTCAAACCTGCTCTATGAAAGGGAATGTTCAGTCCTGTGACTAGAAGGCAAACATCACAAAGAAGTTCCTGAGAATGCTTTCTCTCTAGGTTTTATATGTAATCCCGTTTCCAACGAAATCCGCAAAGCTATCCAAATATCCACTTTCAGATTCCACAAAAAGAGTGTTTCAAAACTGCTCTGTAAAAAGAAAGGTTCATCTCTGTTAGTTGAATACACACATCACAAACAAGTTTCTGAGAATGCTTCTGTCTAGTTTTTATGGGAAGATATTTCCTTTTTCAACATAGGCCTCAAAGCGCTCCAAATGTCCACTTCCAGGTAGTGCAGAAAGAGTGTTTCAAACCTGCTCTATAAAAGGGAATATTCAACTCTGTGACTTGAATGCAAACATCACAAAGCACTTTCTGAGAATGCTTCTGTCTTGATTTTATATGAAGATATTCCCGTTTCCAACGAAACCTTCAAAGCTATCCGAATATCCACCTGCAGATTCTACAAAAAGAGTGTTTCCAAAATGCTGTATCAAAACAAAGGTTCAACTCTGTTAGTTGAGAACACACATGGCAAATATGTTTCTGAGAATGCTTCTGTCTAGTTTTTACTTGAAGATATTTCCTTTCTCACCATAGGCCTGAAAGCTCTTGAAACGTCAGCTTGCAGATACTACAGAAAGAGTGTTTCAAACCTGCTCTATGAAAGGGAATGTTCAGTTCTGTGACTTGAATGCAAACATCACAAAGAAGTTCCTGAGAATGCTTCTCTCTAGGTTTTATATGTAATCCCGTTTCCAACGAAATCCTCAAAGCTATCCAAATATCCACTTTCAGATTCCACAAAAAGAGTGTTTCAAAACTGCTCTGTAAAAAGAAAGGTTCATCTCTGTTAGTTGAATACACGCATCACAAACAAGTTTCTGAGAATGCTTCTGTCTGGTTTTTAGGAGAAGATATTTCCTTTTTCAACATAGGCCTCAAAGCGCTGCAAATGTCCACTTCCAAATATTAGAAAAAGAGTGTTTCAAACCTGCTGTATGAAGGGAAGTGTTCAACTCTATGAGTTGAATGCACACATCACAGAGAAGTTTCTGAGAATGCTTCTGTCTTGATTTCATATGAAGATATTCCCGTTTCCAACGAAACCTTCAAAGCTATCCAAATATCCACTTGCAGATTCTACAAAAAGAGTGTTTCCAAAATGTTGTATCAAAAGAAAGGTTCAACTCTGTTAGTTGAGGACACACATCGCAAATAAGTTTCTGAGAATGCTTCTGTCTAGTTTTTATTTGAAGATATTTCCTTTCTCACCACAGGCCTGAAAGCGCTTAAAACGTCCGCTTGCAGATACTACAGAAAGAGTGTTTCAAACCTGCTCTATGAAAGGGAATGTTCAGTTCTGTGACTTGAATGCAAACATCACAAAGAAGTTCCTGAGAATGCTTCTCCCTAGATTTTATATGTAATCCCGTTTCCAACGAAATCCGCAAAGCTATCCAAATATCCACTTTCAGATTCCACAAAAAGAGTGTTTCAAAACTGCTCTGTAAAAAGAAAGGTTCATCTCTGTTAGTTGAATACACACATCACAAACAAGTTTCTGAGAATGCTTCTGTCTAGTTTTTATGGGAAGATATTTCCTTTTTCAACATAGGCCTCAAAGCGCTGCAAATGTCCACTTCCAGGTAGTGCAGAAAGAGTGTCTCAAACCTGGTATATAACAGGGAACATTCTACTCTGTGACTTGAATGAAAACATCACAAAGCAGTTTCTGAGAATGCTTCCGTCTAGATTTTATATGAAGATATTCCCGTTTCCAACGAAACCTTCAAAGCTATCCGAATATCCACCTGCAGATTCTACAAAAAGAGTGTTTCCAAAATGCCATATCAAAACAAAGGTTCAACTCTGTTAGTTGAGAACACACATCGCAAATAAGTTTCTGAGAATGCTTCTGTCTAGTTTTTACTTGAAGATATTTCCTTTCTCACCATAGGCCTGAAAGCGCTTGAAACGTCAGCTTGCAGATACTACAGAAAGAGTGTTTCAAACCTGCTCTATGAAAGGGAATGTTCAGTTCTGTGACTTGAATGCAAACATCACAAAGAAGTTCCTGAGAATGCTTCTGTCTAGATTTTATATGAAGATATCCCGTGTCCAACGAAATCCTCAAAGGTATCAAAATATCCACTTGCAGATTCTACAAAAAGAGTGCTTCAAAACTGCTCTGTCAAAAGGAAGGTTCAACTCTGTTACTTGAGTACACACATCACAAGGAAGTTTCTGAGAATGCTTCTGTCTGGTTTTTAGGAGAAGATATTACCTTTTTCAACATAGGCCTCAAAGCGCTGCAAATGTCCACTTTCAAATATTAGAAAAAGAGTGTTTCAAACCTGCTGTATGAAGGGAAGTGTTCAACTCTATGAGTTGAATGCAAACATCACAGAGAAGTTTCCGAGAATGCTTCTGTCTTGATTTCATATGAAGATATTCCCGTTTCCAACGAAACCTTCAAAGCTATCCAAATATCCACTTGCAGATTCTACAAAAAGAGTGTTTCCAAAATGTTGTATCAAAAGAAAGTTTCAACTCTGTTAGTTGAGGACACACATCGCAAATAAGTTTCTGAGAATGCTTCTGTCTAGTTTTTATTTGAAGATATTTCCTTTCTCACCACAGGCCTGAAAGCGCTTAAAACGTCCGCTTGCAGATACTACAGAAAGAGTGTTTCAAACCTGCTCTATGAAAGGGAATGTTCAGTTCTGTGACTTGAATGCAAACATCACAAAGAAGTTCCTGAGAATGCTTCTCCCTAGATTTTATATGTAATCCCGTTTCCAACGAAATCCGCAAAGCTATCCAAATATCCACTTTCAGATTCCACAAAAAGAGTGTTTCAAAACTGCTCTGTAAAAAGAAAGGTTCATCTCTGTTAGTTGAATACACACATCACAAACAAGTTTCTGAGAATGCTTCTGTCTAGTTTTTATGGGAAGATATTTCCTTTTTCAACATAGGCCTCAAGCGCTCCAAACGTCCACTTCCAGGTAGTGCAGAAAGAGTGTCTCAAACCTGGTATATAACAGGGAACATTCTACTCTGTGACTTGAATGAAAACATCACAAAGCAGTTTCTGAGAATGCTTCCGTCTAGATTTTATATGAAGATATTCCCGTTTCCAACGAAACCTTCAAAGCTATCCAAATATCCACCTGCAGATCCTACAAAAAGAGTGTTTCCAAAATGCTGTATCAAAACAAAGGTTCAACTCTGTTAGCTGAGAACACACATCGCAAATAAGTTTCTGAGAATGCTTCTGTCTAGATTTTATGAGAAGATATTACCTTTTTCATCATAGGCTTCAAAGCGCTGCAAATGTCCACTTCCAAATATTACAAAAAGAGTGTTTCAAACCTGCTGTATGAAGGGAAGTGTTCAACTCTATGAGTTGAATGCAAACATCACAGAGAAGTTTCTGAGAATGCTTCTGTCTTGATTTTATATGAAGATATTCCCGTTTCCAACGAAACCTTCAAAGCTATTCAAATATCCACTTGCAGATCCTACAAAAAGAGTGTTTCCAAAATGTTGTATCAAAAGAAAGGTTCAACTCTGTTAGTTGAGGACACACATCGCAAATAAGTTTCTGAGAATGCTTCTGTCTAGTTTTTATTTGAAGATATTTCCTTTCTCACCATAGGCCTGAAAGCGTTTGAAATGTCCGTTTGCAGATACTACAGAAAGAGTGTTTCAAACATGCTCTATGAAAGGGAATGTTCAGTTCTGTGACGTGAATGCAAACATCACAAAGAAGTTCCTGAGAATGCTTCTCTCTAGATTTTATATGTAATCCCGTTTCCAACGAAATCCTCAAAGCTATCCAAATATCCACTTTCAGATTCCACAAAAAGAGTGTTTCAAAACTGCTCTGTAAAAAGAAAGGTTCATCTCTGTTAGTTGAATACACACATCACAAACAAGTTTCTGAGAATGCTTCTGTCTAGTTTTTATGGGAAGATATTTCCTTTTTCATCATAGGCCTCAAAGCGCTGCAAATGTCCACTTCCAGGTAGTGCAGAAAGAGTGTCTGAACCCTGGTATATAACAGGGAAGATTCTACTCTGTGACTTGAATGAAAACATCACAAAGCAGTTTCTGAGAATGCTTCCGTCTAGATTTTATATGAAGATATTCCCGTTTCCAACGAAACCTTCAAAGCTATCCGAATATCCACCTGCAGATTCTACAAAAAGAGTGTTTCCAAAATGCCGTATCAAAACAAAGGTTCAACTCTGTTAGTTGAGAACACACATGGCAAATAAGTTTCTGAGAATGCTTCTGTCTAGTTTTTACTTGAAGATATTTCCTTTCTCACCATAGGCCTGAAAGCGCTTGAAACGTCAGCTTGCAGATACTACAGAAAGAGTGTTTCAAACCTGCTCTATGAAAGGGAATGTTCAGTCCTGTGACTTGAAGGCAAACATCACAAAGGAAGTTCCTGAGAATGCTTCTCTCTAGGTTTTATATGTAATCCCGTTTCCAACGAAATCCTCAAAGCTATCCAAATATCCACTTTCAGATTCCACAAAAAGAGTGTTTCAAAACTGCTCTGTAAAAAGAAAGGTTCATCTCTGTTAGTTGAATACACACATCACAAACAAGTTTCTGAGAATGCTTCTGTCTAGTTTTTATGGGAAGATATTTCCTTTTTCAACATAGGCCTCAAAGCGCTCCAAATGTCCACTTCCAGGTAGTGCAGAAAGAGTGTTTCAAACCTGCTCTATAAAAGGGAACATTCAACTCTGTGACTTGAATGCAAACATCACAAAGCACTTTCTGAGAATGCTTCCGTCTAGATTTTATATGAAGATATTCCCGTTTCCAACGAAACCTTCAAAGCTATCCGAATATCCACCTGCAGATTCTACAAAAAGAGTGTTTCCAAAATGCCATATCAAAACAAAGGTTCAACTCTGTTAGTTGAGAACACACATCGCAAATAAGTTTCTGAGAATGCTTATCCGTCTAGATTTTATATGAAGATATTCCCGTATGCAAGGAAATCTTATTAGCTATCTAAATATCAACTTGCAGATTCTACTAAAGGAATGTTTCCAAAATGCTGTATCCACACAAAGGTTCAACTCTGTTAATTGAGGACATACAGCACAAAGAAGTTTCTGAGAATGCTTCTGTCTAGATTTTATATGAAGATATCCCGTTTCCAAAGAAATCCTCAAAGGTATCCAAATATCTACTTCCAGATTCTACAAAAAGACTGTTTCAAAACGGCTCTGTCAAAAGCAAGGTTCATCTCTGTTACTTGAGTACACACATCACAAGGAAGTTTCTGAGAATGCTTCTGTCTGGTTTTTAGGAGAAGATATTTCCTTTTTCAACATAGGCCTCAAAGCGCTGCAAATGTCCACTTCCAAATATTACAAAAAGAGTGTTTCAAACCTGCTGTATGAAGGGAAGTGTTCAACTCTATGAGTTGAATGCAAACATCACAGAGAAGTTTCTGAGAATGCTTCTGTCTTGATTTCATATGAAGATATTCCCGTTTCCAACGAAACCTTCAAAGCTATCCAAATATCCACTTGCAGATTCTACAAAAAGAGTGTTTCCAAAATGTTGTATCAAAAGAAAGGTTCAACTCTGTTAGTTGAGGACACACATCGCAAATAAGATTCTGAGAATGCTTCTGTCTAGTTTTTATTTGAAGATATTTCCTTTCTCACCACAGGCCTGAAAGCGCTTAAAACGTCCGCTTGCAGATACTACAGAAAGAGTGTTTCAAACCTGCTCTATGAAAGGGAATGTTCAGATCTGTGACTTGAATGCAAACATCACAAAGAAGTTCCTGAGAATGCTTCTCTCTAGATTTTATATGTAATCCTGTTTCCAACGAAATCCTCAAAGCTATCCAAATATCCACTTTCAGATTCCACAAAAAGAGTGTTTCAAAACTGCTCTGTAAAAAGAAAGGTTCATCTCTGTTAGGTTGAATACACACATCACAAACAAGTTTCTGAGAATGCTTATGTCTAGTTTTTATGGGAAGATATTTCCTTTTTCAACATAGGCCTCAAAGCGCTCCAAATGTCCACTTCTAGGTAGTGCAGAAAGAGTGTTTCAAACCTGCTCTATAAAAGGGAATATTCAACTCTGTGACTTGAATGCAAACATCACAAAGCACTTTCTGAGAATGCTTCTGTCTTGATTTTATATGAAGATATTCCCGTTTCCAACGAAACCTTCAAAGCTATTCAAATATCCACTTGCAGATTCTACAAAAAGAGTGTTTCCAAAATGTTGTATCAAAAGAAAGGTTCAACTCTGTTAGTTGAGGACACACATCGCAAATAAGTTTCTGGAGAATGCTTCTGTCTAGTTTTTACTTGAAGATATTTCCTTTGTCACCATAGGCCTGAAAGCGCTTGAAACGTCAGCTTGCAGATACTACAGAAAGAGTGTTTCAAACCTGCTCTATGAAAGGGAATGTTCAGTTCTGTGACTTGAATGCAAACATCACAAAGAAGTTCCTGAGAATGCTTCTCTCTAGGTTTTATATGTAATCCCGTTTCCAACGAAATCCTCAAAGCTATCCAAATATCCACTTTCAGATTCCACAAAAAGAGTGTTTCAAAACTGCTCTGTAAAAAGAAAGGTTCATCTCTGTTAGTTGAATACACACATCACAAACAAGTTTCTGAGAATGCTTCTGTCTAGTTTTTATGGGAAGATATTTCCTTTTTCAACATAGGCCTCAAAGCGCTCCAAACGTCCACTTCCAGGTAGTGCAGAAAGAGTGTCTCAAACCTGGTGTATAACAGGGAACATTCTACTCTGTGACTTGAATGAAAACATCACAAAGCAGTTTCTGAGAATGCTTCCGTCTAGATTTTATATGAAGATATTCCCGTTTCCAACGAAACCTTCAAAGCTATCCGAATATCCACCTGCAGATTCTACAAAAAGAGTGTTTCCAAAATGCCGTATCAAAACAAAGGTTCAACTCTGTTAGTTGAGAACACACATGGCAAATAAGTTTCTGAGAATGCTTCTGTCTAGTTTTTACTTGAAGATATTTCCTTTCTCACCATAGGCCTGAAAGCGCTTGAAACGTCAGCTTGCAGATACTACAGAAAGAGTGTTTCAAACCTGCTCTATGAAAGGGAATGTTCAGTCCTGTGACTTGAAGGCAAACATCACAAAGAAGTTCCTGAGAATGCTTCTCTCTAGGTTTTATATGTAATCCCGTTTCCAACGAAATCCTCAAAGCTATCCAAATATCCACTTTCAGATTCCACAAAAAGAGTGTTTCAAAACTGCTCTGTAAAAAGAAAGGTTCATCTCTGTTAGTTGAATACACACATCACAAACAAGTTTCTGAGAATGCTTCTGTCTAGTTTTTATGGGAAGATATTTCCTTTTTCAACATAGGTCTCAAAGCGCTCCAAATGTCCACTTCCAGGTAGTGGAGAAAGAGTGTTTCAAACCTGCACTATAAAAGGGAACATTCTACTCTGTGACTTGAATGAAGACATCACAAAGCACTTTCTGAGAATGCTTCTGTCTTGATTTTATATGAAGATATTCCCGTTTCCAACGAAACCTTCAAAGCTATCCAAATATACACTTGCAGATTCTACAAAAAGAGTGTTTCCAAAATGTTGAATCAAAAGAAAGGTTCAACCCTGTTAGTTGAGGACACACATCGCAAATAAGTTGCTGAGAATGCTTCTGTCTAGTTTTTATTTGAAGATATTTCCTTTCTCACCACAGGCCTGAAAGCGTTTGAAATGTCCGTTTGCAGATACTACAGAAAGAGTGTTTCAAACATGCTCTATGAAAGGGAATGTTCAGTTCTGTGACGTGAATGCAAACATCACAAAGAAGTTCCTGAGAATGCTTCTCTCTAGAATTTATATGTAATCCCGTTTCCAACGAAATCCTCAAAGCTATCCAAATATCCACTTTCAGATTCCACAAAAAGAGTGTTTCAAAACTGCTCTGTAAAAAGAAAGGTTCATCTCTGTTAGTTGAATACACACATCACAAACAAGTTTCTGAGAATGCTTCTGTCTAGTTTTTATGGGAAGATATTTCCTTTTTCATCATAGGCCTCAAAGCGCTCCAAATGTCCACTTCCAGGTAGTGCAGAAATAGTGTCTCAAACCTGGTATATAACAGGGAACATTCTACTCTGTGACTTGAATGAAAACATCACAAAGCAGTTTCTGAGAATGCTTCCGTCTAGATTTTATATGAAGATATTCCCGTTTCCAACGAAACCTTCAAAGCTATCCGAATATCCACCTGCAGATTCTACAAAAAGAGTGTTTCCAAAATGCCGTATCAAAACAAAGGTTCAACTCTGTTAGTTGAGAACACACATCGCAAATAAGTTTCTGAGAATGCTTCTGTCTAGTTTTTACTTGAAGATATTTCCTTTCTCACCACAGGCCTGAAAGCGCTTCAAACGTCCGCTTGCAGATACTACAGAAAGAGTGTTTCAAACCTGCTCTATGAAAGGGAATGTTCAGTTCTGTGACTTGAATGCAAACATCACAAAGAAGTTCCTGAGAATGCTTCTCCCTAGATTTTATATGTAATCCCGTTTCCAACGAAATCCGCAAAGCTATCCAAATATCCACTTTCAGATTCCACAAAAAGAGTGTTTCAAAACTGCTCTGTAAAAAGAAAGGTTCATCTCTGTTAGTTGAATACACACATCACAAACAAGTTTCTGAGAATGCTTCTGTCTAGTTTTTATGGGAAGATATTTCCTTTTTCATCATAGGCCTCAAAGCGCTGCAAATGTCCACTTCCAAATATTACAAAAAGAGTGTTTCAAACCTGCTGTATGAAGGGAAGTGTTCAACTCTATGAGTTGAATGCAAACATCACAGAGAAGTTTCTGAGAATGCTTCTGTCTTGTTTTTATATGAAGATATTCCAGTTTCCAACGAAACCTTCAAAGCTATCCAAATATCCACTTGCAGATTCTACAAAAAGAGTGGTTCCAAAATGTTGTATCAAAAGAAAGGTTCAACTCTGTTAGTTGAGGACACACATCGCAAATAAGTTTCTGAGAATTCTTCTGTCTAGTTTTTATTTGAAGATATTTCCTTTCTCACCATAGGCCTGAAAGCGTTTGAAATGTCCGTTTGCAGATACTACAGAAAGAGTGTTTCACACATGCTCTATGAAAGGGAATGTTCAGTTCTGTGACTTGAATGCAAACATCACAAAGAAGTTCCTGAGAATGCTTCTCTCTAGGTTTTATATGTAATCCCGTTTCCAACGAAATCCTCAAAGCTATCCAAATAACCACTTTCAGATTCCACAAAAAAAGTGTTTCAAAACTGCTCTGTAAAAAGAAAGGTTCATCTCTGTTAGTTGAATACACACATCACAAACAAGTTTCTGAGAATGCTTCTGTCTAGTTATTATGGGAAGTTATTTCCTTTTTCAACATAGGCCTCAAAGCGCTCCAAACGTCCACTTCCAGGTAGTGCAGAAAGAGTGTCTCAAACCTGGTATATAACAGGGAACATTCTACTCTGTGACTTGAATGAAAACATCACAAAGCAGTTTCTGAGAATGCTTCCGTCTAGATTTTATATGAAGATATTCCCGTTTCCAACGAAACCTTCAAAGCTATCCGAATATCCACCTGCAGATTCTACAAAAAGAGTGTTTCCAAAATGCCGTATCAAAACAAAGGTTCAACTCTGTTAGTTGAGAACACACATGGCAAATAAGTTTCTGAGAATGCTTCTGTCTAGTTTTTATTTGAAGATATTTCCTTTCTTACCATAGGCCTGAAAGTGCTTGAAATGTCCGTTTGCAGATACTACAGAAAGAGTGTTTCAAACATGCTCTATGAAAGGGAATGTTCAGTTCTGTGACGTGAATGCAAACATCACAAAGAAGTTCCTGAGAATGCTTCTCTCTAGATTTTATATATAATCCCGTTTCCAACGAAATCCTCAAAGCTATCCAAATATCCACTTTCAGATTCCACAAAAAGAGTGTTTCAAAACTGCTCTGTAAAAAGAAAGGTTCATCTCTGTTAGTTGAATACACACATCACAAACAAGTTTCTGAGAATGCTTCTGTCTAGTTTTTATGGGAAGATATTTCCTTTTTCAACATAGGCCTCAAAGCGCTCCAAACGTCCACTTCCAGGTAGTGCAGAAAGAGTGTCTCAAACCTGGTATATAACAGGGAACATTCTACTCTGTGACTTGAATGAAAACATCACAAAGCAGTTTCTGAGAATGCTTCCGTCTAGATTTTATATGAAGATATTCCCGTTTCCAAGGAAATCTTCCTAGCTATCTAAATATCAACTTGCATATTCTACTAAAGGAGTGTTTCCAAAATGCTGTATCCACACAAAGGTTCAACTCTCTTAATTGAGGACATACAGCACAAAGAAGTTTCTGAGAATGCTTCTGTCTAGTTGTTACGTGAAGATATTTCCTTTCTCACCATAGGCCTGAAAGCGCTTGAAACGTCCGCTTGCAGATACTACAGAAAGAGTGTTTCAAACGTGCTCTATGAAAGGGAATGTTCAGTTCTGTGACTTGAATGCAAACATCACAAAGAAGTTCCTGAGAATGCTTCTCCCTAGATTTTATATGTAATCCCGTTTCCAACGAAATCCTCAAAGCTATCCAAATATGCACTTTCAGATTCCACAAAAAGAGTGTTTCAAAACTGCTCTGTAAAAAGAAAGGTTCATCTCTGTTAGTTGAATACACACATCACAAACAAGTTTCTGAGAATGCTTCTGTCTGGTTTTTAGGAGAAGATATTTCCTTTTTCAACATAGGCCTCAAAGCGCTGCAAATGTCCACTTCCAAATATTAGAAAAAGAGTGTTTCAAACCTGCTGTATGAAGGGAAGTGTTCAACTCTATGAGTTGAATGCAAACATCACAGAGAAGTTTCTGAGAATGCTTCTGTCTTGATTTCATATGAAGATATTCCCGTTTCCAACGAAACCTTCAAAGCTATCCAAATATCCACTTGCAGATTCTACAAAAAGAGTGTTTCCAAAATGTTGTATCAAAAGAAAGGTTCAACTCTGTTAGTTGAGGACACACATCGCAAATAAGTTTCTGAGAATGCTTCTGTCTAGTTTTTATTTGAAGATATTTCCTTTCTCACCACAGGCCTGAAAGCGCTTAAAACGTCCGCTTGCAGATACTACAGAAAGAGTGTTTCAAACCTGCTCTATGAAAAGGAATGTTCAGTTCTGTGACTTGAATGCAAACATCACAAAGAAGTTCCTGAGAATGCTTCTCCCTAGATTTTATATGTAATCCCGTTTCCAACGAAATCCGCAAAGCTATCCAAATATCCACTTTCAGATTCCACAAAAAGAGTGTTTCAAAACTGCTCTGTAAAAAGAAAGGTTCATCTCTGTTAGTTGAATACACACATCACAAACAAGTTTCTGAGAATGCTTCTGTCTAGTTTTTATGGGAAGATATTTCCTTTTTCATCATAGGCCTCAAAGCGCTGCAAATGTCCACTTCCAAATATTACAAAAAGAGTGTTTCAAACCTGCTGTATGAAGGGAAGTGTTCAACTCTATGAGTTGAATGCAAACATCACAGAGAAGTTTCTGAGAATGCTTCTGTCTTGATTTTATATGAAGATATTCCCGTTTCCAACGAAACCTTCAAAGCTATTCAAATATCCACTTGCAGATTCTACAAAAAGAGTGGTTCCAAAATGTTGTATCAAAAGAAAGGTTCAACTCTGATAGTTGAGGACACACAACGCAAATAAGTTTCTGAGAATGCTTCTGTCTAGTTTTTATTTGAAGATATTTCCTTTCTCACCATAGGCCTGAAAGCGTTTGAAATGTCCGTTTGCAGATACTACAGAAAGAGTGTTTCAAACATGCTCTATGAAAGGGAATGTTCAGTTCTGTGACGTGAATGCAAACATCACAAAGAAGTTCCTGAGAATGCTTCTCTCTAGATTTTATATGTAATCCCGTTTCCAACGAAATCCTCAAAGCTATCCAAATATCCACTTTCAGATTCCACAAAAAGAGTGTTTCAAAACTGCTCTGTAAAAAGAAAGGTTCATCTCTGTTAGTTGAATACACACATCACAAACAAGTTTCTGAGAATGCTTCTGTCTAGTTTTTATGGGAAGATATTTCCTTTTTCATCATAGGCCTCAAAGCGCTGCAAATGTCCACTTCCAGGTAGTGCAGAAAGAGTGTCTCAAACCTGGTATATAACAGGGAACATTCTACTCTGTGACTTGAATGAAAACATCACAAAGCAGTTTCTGAGAATGCTTCTGTCTTGATTTTATATGAAGATATTCCCGTTTCCAACGAAACCTTCAAAGCTATCCAAATATCCACTTGCAGATTCTACAAAAAGAGTGTTTCCAAAATATTGTATCAAAAGAAAGGTTCAACTCTGTTAGTTGAGGACACACATCGCAAATAAGTTTCTGAGAATGCTTCTGTCTAGTTTTTATTTGAAGATATTTCCTTTCTCACCATAGGCCTGAAAGCGTTTGAAATGTCCGTTTGCAGATACTACAGAAAGAGTGTTTCAAACATGCTCTATGAAAGGGAATGTTCAGTTCTGTGACTTGAATGCAAACATCACAAAGAAGTTCCTAAGAATGCTTCTCTCTAGATTTTATATGTAATCCCGTTTCCAACGAAATCCTCAAAGCTATCCAAATATCCACTTTCAGATTCCACAAAAAGAGTGTTTCAAAACTGCTCTGTAAAAAGAAAGGTTCATCTCTGTTAGTTGAATACACACATCACAAACAAGTTTCTGAGAATGCTTCTGTCTAGTTTTTATGGGAAGATATTTCCTTTTTCATCATAGGCCTCAAAGCGCTGCAAATGTCCACTTCCAGGTAGTGCAGAAAGAGTGTCTCAAACCTGGTATATAACAGGGAACATTCTACTCTGTGACTTGAATGAAAACATCACAAAGCAGTTTCTCAGAATGCTTCTGTCTTGATTTTATATGAAGATATTCCCGTTTCCAACGAAACCTTCAAAGCTATCCAAATATCCACTTGCAGATTCTACAAAAAGAGTGTTTCCAAAATGTTGTATCAAAAGAAAGGTTCAACTCTGTTAGTTGAGGACACACATCGCAAATAAGTTTCTGAGAATGCTTCTGTCTAGTTTTTATTTGAAGATATTTCCTTTCTCACCATAGGCCTGAAAGCGCTTGTAATGTCCGTTTGCAGATACTACAGAAAGAGTGTTTCAAACATGCTCTATGAAAGGGAATGTTCAGTTCTGTGACGTGAATGAAAACATGACAAAGATGTTCCTGAGAATGCTTCTCTCTAGATTTTATATGTAATCCCGTTTCCAACGAAATCCTCAAAGCTATCCAAATATCCACTTTCAGATTCCACAAAAAGAGTGTTTCAAAATTGCTCTGTAAAAAGAAAGGTTCATCTCTGTTAGTTGAATACACACATCACAAACAAGCTTCTGAGAATGCTTCTGTCTAGTTTTTATGGGAAGATATTTCCTTTTTCAACATAGGCCTCAAAGCGCTCCAAATGTCCACTTCCAGGTAGTGCAGAAAGAGTGTTTCAAACCTGCTCTATAAAAGGGAATATTCAACTCTGTGACTTGAATGCAAACATCACAAAGCACTTTCTGAGAATGCCTCCGTCTAGATTTTATATGAAGATATTCCCGTTTCCAAGGAAATCTTCCTAGCTATCTAAATATCAACTTGCAGATTCTACTAAAGGAATATTTCCAAAATGCTCTATCGAAACAAAGTTTCAACTCTGTTAATTGAGGACATACAGCACAAAGAAGTTTCTGAGAATGCTTCTGTCTAGTTTTTATTTGAAGATATTTCCTTTCTCACCATAGGCCTGAAAGCGTTTGAAATGTCCGTTTGCAGATACTACAGGAAGAGTGTTTCAAACATGCTCTATGAAAGGGAATGTTCAGTTCTGTGATTTGAATGCAAACATCACAAAGAAGTTCCTGAGAATGCTTCTCCCTAGATTTTATATGTAATCCCGTTTCCAACGAAATCCGCAAAGCTATCCAAATATCCACTTTCAGATTCCACAAAAAGAGTGTTTCAAAACTGCTCTGTAAAAAGAAAGGTTCATCTCTGTTAGTTGAATACACACATCACAAACAAGTTTCTGAGAATGCTTCTGTCTAGTTTTTATGGGAAGATATTTCCTTTTTCATCATAGGCCTCAAAGCGCTGCAAATGTCCACTTCCAAATATTACAAAAAGAGTGTTTCAAACCTGCTGTATGAAGGGAAGTGTTCAACTCTATGAGTTGAATGCAAACATCACAGAGAAGTTTCTGAGAATGCTCTGTCTTGATTTTATATGAAGATATTCCCGTTTCCAACGAAACCTTCAAAGCTATTCAAATATCCACTTGCAGATTCTACAAAAAGAGTGGTTCCAAAATGTTGTATCAAAAGAAAGGTTCAACTCTGATAGTTGAGGACACACATCGCAAATAAGTTTCTGAGAATGCTTTCTGTCTAGTTTTTATTTGAAGTATATTTCCTTTCTCACCACAGGCCTGAAAGCGTTTGAAATGTCCGTTTGTAGATACTACAGAAAGAGTGTTTCAAACATGCTCTATGAAAGGGAATGTTCAGTTCTGTGACGTGAATGCAAACATCACAAAGAAGTTCCTGAGAATGCTTCTCTCTAGATTTTATATGTAATCCCGTTTCCAACGAAATCCTCAAAGCTATCCAAATATCCACTTTCAGATTCCACAAAAAGAGTGTTTCAAAACTGCTCTGTAAAAAGAAAGGTTCATCTCTGTTAGTTGAATACACACATCACAAACAAGTTTCTGAGAATGCTTCTGTCTAGTTTTTATGGGAAGATATTTCCTTTTTCATCATAGGCCTCAAAGCGCTGCAAATGTCCACTTCCAGGTAGTGCAGAAAGAGTGTCTGAAACCTGGTATATAACAGGGAAGATTCTACTCTGTGACTTGAATGAAAACATCACAAAGCAGTTTCTGAGAATGCTTCTGTCTTGATTTTATATGAAGATATTCCCGTTTCCAACGAAACCTTCAAAGCTATCCAAATATCCACTTGCAGATTCTACAAAAAGAGTGTTTCCAAAATGTTGTATCAAAAGAAAGGTTCAACTCTGTTAGTTGAGGACACACATCGCAAATAAGTTGCTGAGAATGCTTCTGTCTAGTTTTTATTTGAAGATATTTCCTTTCTCACCATAGGCCTGAAAGCGTTTGAAATGTCCGTGTGCAGATACTACAGAAAGAGTGTTTCAAACATGCTCTATGAAAGGGAATGTTCAGTTCTGTGACGTGAATGCAAACATCACAAAGAAGTTCCTGAGAATGCTTCTCTCTAGATTTTATATGTAATCCCGTTTCCAACGAAATCCTCAAAGCTATCCAAATATCCACTTTCAGATTCCACAAAAAGAGTGTTTCAAAACTGCTCTGTAAAAAGAAAGGTTCATCTCTGTTAGTTGAATACACACATCACAAACAAGTTTCTGAGAATGCTTCTGTCTAGTTTTTATGGGAAGATATTTCCTTTTTCATCATAGGCCTCAAAGCGCTGCAAATGTCCACTTCCAAATATTACAAAAAGAGTGTTTCAAACCTGCTGTATGAAGGGAAGTGTTCAACTCTATGAGTTGAATGCAAACATCACAGAGAAGTTTCTGAGAATGCTTCTGTCTTGATTTCATATGAAGATATTCCCGTTTCCAACGAAACCTTCAAAGCTATCCAAATATCCACTTGCAGATTCTACAAAAAGAGTGTTTCCAAAATGTTGTATCAAAAGAAAGGTTCAACTCTGTTAGTTGAGGACACACATCGCAAATAAGTTTCTGAGAATGCTTCTGTCTAGTTTTTATTTGAAGATATTTCCTTTCTCACCACAGGCCTGAAAGCGCTTAAAACGTCCGCTTGCAGATACTACAGAAAGAGTGTTTCAAACCTGATCTATGAAAGGGAATGTTCAGTTCTGTGACTTGAATGCAAACATCACAAAGAAGTTCCTGAGAATGCTTCTCCCTAGATTTTATATGTAATCCCGTTTCCAACGAAATCCCCAAAGCTATCCAAATATCCACTTTCAGATTCCACAAAAAGAGTGTTTCAAAACTGCTCTGTAAAAACAAATGTTCATCTCTGTTAGTTGAATACACACATCTCAAACAAGTTTCTGAGAATGCTTCTGTCTAGTTTTTATGGGAAGATATTACCTTTTTCATCATAGGCCTCAAAGCGCTGCAAATGTCCAATTCCAAATATTACAAAAAGAGTGTTTCAAACCTGCTGTATGAAGGGAAGTGTTCAACTCTATGAGTTGAATGCAAACATCACAGAGAAGTTTCTGAGAATGCTTCTGTCTTGATTTTATATGAAGATATTCCCGTTTCCAACGAAACCTTCAAAGCTATCCAAATATCCACTTGCAGATTCTACAAAAAGAGTGTTTCAAAACTGCTCTGTAAAAAGAAAGGTTCATCTCTGTTAGTTGAATACACACATCACAAACAAGTTTCTGGGAATGCTTCTGTCTAGTTTTTATGGGAAGATATTTCCTTTTTCAACATAGGCCTCAAAGCGCTCCAAACGTCCACTTCCAGGTAGTGCAGAAAGAGTGTCTCAAACCTGGTATATAACAGGGAACATTCTACTCTGTGACTTGAATGAAAACATCACAAAGCAGTTTCTGAGAATGCTTCCGTCTAGATTTTATATGAAGATATTCCCGTTTCCAACGAAACCTTCAAAGCTATCCGAATATCCACCTGCAGATTCTACAAAAAGATTGTTTCCAAAATGCCGTATCAAAACAAAGGTTCAACTCTGTTAGTTGAGAACACACATGGCAAATAAGTTTCTGAGAATGCTTCTGTCTAGTTTTTACTTGAAGATATTTCCTTTCTCACCATAGGCCTGAAAGCGCTTGAAACGTCAGCTTGCAGATACTACAGAAAGAGTGTTTCAAACCTGCTCTATGAAAGGGAATGTTCAGTCCTGTGACTTGAAGGCAAACATCACAAAGAAGTTCCTGAGAATGCTTCTCCCTAGATTTTATATGTAATCCAGTTTCCAACGAAATCCGCAAAGCTATCCAAATATCCACTTTCAGATTCCACAAAAAGAGTGTTTCAAAACTGCTCTGTAAAAAGAAAGGTTCATCTCTGTTAGTTGAATACACACATCACAAACAAGTTTCTGAGAATGCTTCTGTCTAGTTTTTATGGGAAGATATTTCCTTTTTCATCATAGGCCTCAAAGCGCTGCAAATGTCCACTTCCAAATATTACAAAAAGAGTGTTTCAAACCTGCTGTATGAAGGGAAGTGTTCAACTCTATGAGTTGAATGCAAACATCACAGAGAAGTTTCTGAGAATGCTTCCGTCTTGATTTTATATGAAGATATTCCCAGTTTCCAACGAAACCTTCAAAGCTATTCAAATATCCACTTGCAGATTCTACAAAAAGAGTGTTTCCAAAATGTTGTATCAAAAGAAAGGTTCAACTCTGTTAGTTGAGGACACACATCGCAAATAAGTTTCTGAGAATGCTTCTGTCTAGTTTTTACTTGAAGATATTTCCTTTCTCACCATAGGCCTGAAAGCGTTTGAAATGTCCGTTTGCAGATACTACAGAAAGAGTGTTTCAAACATGCTCTATGAAAGGGAATGTTCAGTTCTGTGACGTGAATGCAAACATCACAAAGAAGTTCCTGAGAATGCTTCTCTCTAGGTTTTATATGTAATCCCGTTTCCAACGAAATCCTCAAAGCTATCCAAATATCCACTTTCAGATTCCACAAAAAGAGTGTTTCAAAACTGCTCTGTAAAAAGAAAGGTTCATCTCTGTTAGTTGAATACACACATCACAAACAAGTTTCTGAGAATGCTTCTGTCTAGTTTTTATGGGAAGATATTTCCTTTTTCAACATAGGCCTCAAAGCGCTCCAAACGTCCACTTCCGGGTAGTGCAGAAAGAGTGTCTCAAACCTGGTATATAACAGGGAACATTCTACTCTGTGACTTGAATGAAAACATCACAAAGCAGTTTCTGAGAATGCTTCTGTCTTGATTTCATATGAAGATATTCCCGTTTCCAACGAAACCTTCAAAGCTATCCAAATATCCACTTGCAGATTCTACAAAAAGAGTGTTTCCAAAATGTTGTATCAAAAGAAAGGTTCAACTCTGTTAGTTGAGGACACACATCGCAAATAAGTTTCTGAGAATGCTTCTGTCTAGTTTTTATTTGAAGATATTTCCTTTCTCACCACAGGCCTGAAAGCGCTTAAAACGTCCACTTGCAGATACTACAGAAAGAGTGTTTCAAACCTGCTCTATGAAAGGGAATGTTCAGTTCTGTGACTTGAATGCAAACATCACAAAGAAGTTCCTGAGAATGCTTCTCCCTAGATTTTATATGTAATCCCGTTTCCAACGAAATCCGCAAAGCTATCCAAATATCCACTTTCAGATTCCACAAAAAGAGTGTTTCAAAACTGCTCTGTAAAAAGAAAGGTTCATCTCTGTTAGTTGAATACACACATCACAAACAAGTTTCTGAGAATGCTTCTGTCTAGTTTTTATGGGAAGATATTACCTTTTTCATCATAGGCCTCAAAGCGCTGCAAATGTCCACTTCCAAATATTACAAAAAGAGTGTTTCAAACCTGCTGTATGAAGGGAAGTGTTCAACTCTATGAGTTGAATGCAAACATCACAGAGAAGTTTCTGAGAATGCTTTCCTGTCTTGATTTTATATGAAGATATTCCCGTTTCCAACGAAACCTTCAAAGCTATTCAAATATCCACTTGCAGATTCTACAAAAAGAGTGTTTCCAAAATGTTGTATCAAAAGAAAGGTTCAACTCTGTTAGTTGAGGACACACATCGCAAATAAGTTTCTGAGAATGCTTCTGTCTAGTTTTTATTTGAAGATATTTCCTTTCTCACCATAGGCCTGAAAGCGTTTGAAATGTCCGTTTGCAGATACTACAGAAAGAGTGTTTCAAACATGCTCTATGAAAGGGAATGTTCAGTTCTGTGACGTGAATGCAAACATCACAAAGAAGTTCCTGAGAATGCTTCTCTCTAGATTTTATATGTAATCCCGTTTCCAACGAAATCCTCAAAGCTATCCAAATATCCACTTTCAGATTCCACAAAAAGAGTGTTTCAAAACTGCTCTGTAAAAAGAAAGGTTCATCTCTGTTAGTTGAATACACACATCAAAAACAAGTTTCTGAGAATGCTTCTGTCTAGTTTTTATGGGAAGATATTTCCTTTTTCATCATAGGCCTCAAAGCGCTGCAAATGTCCACTTCCAGGTAGTGCAGAAAGAGTGTCTCAAACCTGGTATATAACAGGGAACATTCTACTCTGTGACTTGAATGAAAACATCACAAAGCAGTTTCTGAGAATGCTTCCGTCTAGATTTTATATGAAGATATTCCCGTTTCCAACGAAACCTTCAAAGCTATCCGAATATCCACCTGCAGATTCTACAAAAAGAGTGTTTCCAAAATGCCATATCAAAACAAAGGTTCAACTCTGTTAGTTGAGAACACACATTGCAAATAAGTTTCTGAGAATGCTTCTGTCTAGTTTTTACTTGAAGATATTTCCTTTCTCACCATAGGCCTGAAAGCGCTTGAAATGTCCGTTTGCAGATACTACAGAAAGAGTGTTTCAAACCTGCTCTATGAAAGGGAATGTTCAGTTCTGTGACTTGAATGCAAACATCACAAAGAAGTTCCTGAGAATGCTTCTCTCTAGGTTTTATATGTAATCCCGTTTCCAACGAAATCCTCAAAGCTATCCAAATATCCACTTTCAGATTCCACAAAAAGAGTGTTTCAAAACTGCTCTGTAAAAAGAAAGGTTCATCTCTGTTAGTTGAATACACACATCACAAACAAGTTTCTGAGAATGCTTCTGTCTAGTTTTTATGGGAAGATATTTCCTTTTTCAACATAGGCCTCAAAGCGCTCCAAACGTCCACTTCCAGGTAGTGCAGAAAGAGTGTCTCAAACCTGGTATATAACAGGGAACATTCTACTCTGTGACTTGAATGCAAACATCACAAAGCAGTTTCTGAGAATGCTTCCGTCTAGATTTTATATGAAAATATTCCCGTTTCCAACGAAACCTTCAAAGCTATCCGAATATCCACCTGCAGATTCTACAAAAAGAGTGTTTCCAAAATGCCGTATCAAAACAAAGGTTCAACTCTGTTAGTTGAGAACACACATGGCAAATAAGTTTCTGAGAATGCTTCTGTTTAGTTTTTATTTGAAGATATTTCCTTTCTCACCATAGGCCTGAAAGCGTTTGAAATGTCCGTTTGCAGATACTACAGAAAGAGTGTTTCAAACATGCTCTATGAAAGGGAATGTTCAGCTCTGTGACGTGAATGCAAACATCACAAAGAAGTTCCTGAGAATGCTTCTCTCTAGATTTTATATGTAATCCCGTTTCCAACGAAATCCTCAAAGCTATCCAAATATCCACTTTCAGATTCCACAAAAAGAGTGTTTCAAAACTGCTCTGTAAAAAGAAAGGTTCATCTCTGTTAGTTGAATACACACATCACAAACAAGTTTCTGAGAATGCTTCTGTCTAGTTTTTATGGGAAGATATTTCCTTTTTCATCATAGGCCTCAAAGCGCTGCAAATGTCCACTTCCAGGTAGTGCAGAAAGAGTGTCTGAAACCTGGTATATAACAGGGAAGATTCTACTCTGTGACTTGAATGAAAACATCACAAAGCAGTTTCTGAGAATGCTTCCGTCAAGATTTTATATGAAGATATTCCCGTTTCCAACGAAACCTTCAAAGCTATCCGAATATCCACCTGCAGATTCTACAAAAAGAGTGTTTCCAAAATGCCGTATCAAAACAAAGGTTCAACTCTGTTAGTTGAGAACACACATGGCAAATAAGTTTCTGAGAATGCTTCTGTCTGGTTTTTAGGAGAAGATATCTCCTTTTTCACCATAGGCTTCAAAGCGCTACCAATGTCCACTTCCAAATATTACAAAAAGAGTATTTCAAACCAGCTCTATGAAAGGAAGTGTTCAACTCTATGAGTTGAATGCAAACATCACAGAGAAGTTTCTGAGAATGCTTCTGTGTTGATTTTATATGAAGATATTCCCGTTTCCAACGAAACCTTCAAAGCTATCCAAATATCCACTTGCAGATCTTACAAAAACAGTGTTTCCAAAATGCTGTATCAAAACAAAGGTTCAACTCTGTTAGTTGAGAACACACATCGCAAATAAGTTTCTGAGAATGCTTCTGTCTAGTTTTTATTTGAAGATATTTCCTTTTTCACCACAGGCCTGAAAGCGCTTGAAACGTCCGCTTGCAGATACTACAGAAAGAGTGTTTCAAACCTGCTCTATGAAAGGGAAAGTTCAGTTCTGTGACTTGAATGCAAACATCACAAAGAAGTTCCTGAGAATGCTTCTGTCTAGATTTTATATGAAGATATCCCGTGT